>NC_000014.9:64763228-65066258 GCF_000001405.40 Homo sapiens
CCAGGGCCACAGCCCCAGGTGAAGGGGAGATGCTTAGTCTGGAGCAGGTCTGCCTGCCCACTGCCGAGGGCTCCCTCGCAGACCTGGGCCTCCTTCAGGGCACTGTCCTTACCGTAGCAGAGGTGCAGCCCCACCTCTAGTCCCCCACAGGGACGAAGGCAAACACCCCAGCCCTTTACTACTTCTTTCCCATCTCCCGTCTCACACCAGTGGGTACCTGAGACCAGCCAGGTACCACAGCACTAAGCACCAGGCAAGAGGAAAGTGGTGAAAACCACCTCTCCCAGCCCCTCCCTGTAATTTGCTAAATTGCTGACATACAGAAATGTTCCAGACTTTCCGTAATTCTCCAGAGAAGGCTTTATAAGAGCGCGGAGACTCAGGGGATTAGGTGGTTTTTATCTCAAATCACGCAGGAAGTTACCAACAGAATTAAGGACTAGAACCCAGATGTCCTGACTTCCCCTCCAGCAGTTTTGTCTTTCGTGAGTGAGGTCTTGTTTCTTCTGCCTGGCCTCCCATGCACTTACCTGTATGAACGGATTGGCCTTTACCAGAACGTGCTCTAATGTAAAAAGGCAAGAGGTGAGGGAAGGCGGTGGGACCGTGCAGTGATGTGCTTGAGAAAGAGGCTGATGTGTGGGATGGCAGCTTCAGTCACCACGTGCACACACACGTGGGGAAGGGGAGGACTGGGGTGGGGTGCCACCCTGTGGTGTGCAGCTGTCCAGACAGGAGCAGGGGTGCCTGGTCCACTCCCATCAGTTCCCCCCAGCAGGAAGCCGACATGCACAGTGAGGGATTGTACATGAAGCAACACCGCATGGATCTATTCTGTAGGGCACCGACACCAGACCACACACAGAGGACCAGCAGGAGAGCCACCATCCCCCAGGACTATCCCCAAGGGGAGGCGCAGCCATTGGCCATCCCTTCCTGGGAGAGGCCTGCGGTTCTGTGAAGGGGTAGTTCCAGGCAGGCTGGAAGGACCAGCCACTGGGCTTGCAAGGAGCCTTCTAGAGCCAGGTTGGGCTTTCCCGACAGGCTCTGTCCTCCTCTTTCTTGCATCGAAGGTGGATGGGGTATTAGGCCCTCCCTCTGAGGTTCGTGGATCCCCATGAGAACTTAACAAAAGGCTCAGAAGGGAGCAGCAGCAGGAAATCTGTGCGTGAGGCCTTGGGTCTGTGTTCGTTTGAGTCACCATCTGGTTTCTTTCCGGTACCGGGCACAAGCCAGTCTTCCCATCTGCTGGAGTGGCTGGCTCTCCGGAAAGGGTCTCAAATGTGGGCTCACTTCTTCCCCCAAAGAGATCATCAGGTCCAAACAGGTTTTATTCCCCCCAACCCAGTGACATTCAGGTGTTGGCTGGAGGCGGCTCTGATGCACAAGTAATTACATTTGCACAGACACAGATGACACAGACAGTGGATGGAGTCGCTCTGGTGCTCACAGAGGAGCCCGCACACCAGGACACCGCCACATGCAGACACACAGGGACGCATGGCAGAAGCAGGCGGGGGCAGGGTGCAGGGCCCTAGCCCGTGTCCGCAGTCTGTGCCGGCCCCCCAGAGTTCGCTCTCCTTCCGGCAGGGGCTGTTGCTGGGAAAAAGGGGCTGGGACACAGTCCACCACAGACAGGGAGGCGACCCCACATGCGATGACGGGAGCTTCGGAGGGAACTTCTGGGAGAGACCCTTCAGCAGGAGCCCAGCAGTGCCCTCTGCTGGGCATGGTGGGCTGGTGCAGCTAGGAAAGGGAGGCCTCTGGCCAGGCTGGAGGCCACAGAGGAGTGTGTGCGTGTGTGTGTGTGTGTGCGCGCGCGCGCGCGGGTGGTGGATGGGGGTGGGTGGGGAGGGCATCTGTCTCTCTCAGAGGGTGAGAAGGGCTGAAAAAGGGAGGCCTCACTATCTGTATATGTTTCTGGGTGTGACTGGTGTACCAGAAACTTCCATGTGGAATGCCAGTCTTCCTAACCTCACCCCCAGGTTCAGGCGGGCTCACGGGACACCTGGAGAGGTGGGCTGCAGGAAGGATCTGTGGCTCCCTTGGCCCCCAGTGCAGCCTGCCACAGCGGGGACATGCAGGGGGAAGCCGTGCAAGCCGTGTGCTGAATTCTTGCTTTCTTCTCGGTCAGCTGCTCCCCAGAGCAGCTCCCTAAGCCTGGGTGACAGCCTCCCAGGCTCCCTGCACAGACCCCATGGAGTCCTAAGGGGCCTGCTCCAGGTAAGGTCCTGAGGCGCATGCCCTAGGCCTCTGGCAGCTGCTGTCTTGGGCTCTCCCTGTCCCTTGAGCCAGGCCTCTGGCTCATCCTCCTTTCCGACAAGTTGGGGGGCTGACCTCTGTTACTCAAAGCCCTGGGATTCTCCTCAATTTTGCAGGCTTCCTTCAAGTCTGTTCTTGCCCCAGAACCAGCTCCATATCCAGACTCACTGACCCACAGGCCTCAGGCCAGATCGGTGGAAAGAGGAGAGGGCTCTGCATAGGGGGAAAGAATCGCCTACAAGGATGGGCACCCCCACTTCACCACTGAAGATGCCTGTGGTGGGGCAGGTGGGATGGGACAGCTGAGTGATTGGGGTGTGTGTGTGTGTGAGTGTGTGTGTGTGTGGGGGTGTGGTGTGTGCACATGTATGTGTGTGTGTGTGTGGAGGTTGCGGTGTGTGCATGTGTGTGTGTGTGGGGGTGTGGTGTGTATGAGTGTGTATGTGTGTGGGTGTGAGTGTGTGGATGTGTGTGTATGGGGTGTGGTGTGTGCATGTGGATGGGTGTGGTGTGTGCATATTTGTGTGTGCATATGTGTGTATGTGGGTGTGTGGGTGTGCGTGAGGTGTGTATGGGGGGTGTGGTCTGTATGAGTATGCGTGTGTGGGTGTGTGTGGATGTGTGTATGGGGATGTGGTGTGGGTGCATGTGGGTGGGTGTGGTGTGTTTGTGTGTATGTGTATGTGTGTGTGTATGTGTATGTGGGTGTGTGGTTGTGCGTGAGGTGTCTGTATATATGGGGGTGTGTGGTGTGTGTGCATGTGGGTGTGTATTTGTGTGTGCATGCATGTGTGTGTGGGCATGTGCCTGTGTGTAGGTGTGGGTGCAGGGGGTGAGTACTGCCTAGAGGAAGGAGTTGGAAAATGGGGAAAAGGACGGTGTACAGAAATGCACTAATCATCTCTGGCTAGTGTTTCCCCTCATGTAAATGGTGATATATTTATACAATAAAATTTATTACATTAGGTAAAACAAAACTAATAACGTCATGTCACTGGGCTGGCCTGTTTCCTCTGCGCTGTGGGGAGGAGTGGAGGAGGCTAGTACTCTCATGAAGAACACCTCAGTGAGGACGTAGCCTGCTCTGCTGGGAGGTGGCTGCAGGGATGTGGGGAGGATGGAGGGCGGGGCTGCGCCAGCTCATCTCGCCTCCACCTGGGCTGAGCCTAGTAGGGGTGAGAGGGCTCTGGCTGCAGTGACTCCCAGGAACTAGACAAACGAGACCAGAGACTGACCGGGGACGTTCTCTCGGTGGCCGCATGGTGGGAAACTGGAGCCTCCCCTGCTGTCTCGCCTTCCTCCTCTTGAGGCCTAAGGAAGACACAGTCTCTCTTTAGAAACAAGCACCCCTCTGAGGCCAGTGCCTCCTGCGAGGCCTGGCTTTTCACCTGCGCCCACAGGGAGGAGCACCAAATAGCTCCCCCTCCAGTCAGCCGGCAGCCTGGATGGTGCTTGGCAAGGAGCCGCCCAGCGACTTCTTCGGAAAAGCCAAGGCAGATTCTTCAGAAGGGAGCCAGGTTCCAGGCAGAACGGCCTGTGGGGCCCCGTGTTCAGGTGGCTCCGAGGTGGGGCCTCGCCTGGCAGCCACTGCTCCCAGCCCCCTCCTCCCGCACCAGGCCTTCAGCCCGCCTGTGACTGGGGAAGCAAAAGGTCCTCTGCGCTCATGCTCAGGCACTCTGGGCCTTCCTGACGAGGGTGCCCAGTGTGAGAAGTCAAATGCAACTGGTCCCAATGTCAGGTTTCTGATGAAAGGCACCCCCTACTCCCACTTGGCAGAGCATTCAGCTCCCTGGACACACGGCCACCACTCACCCAGTCTCCTCTGCGGGTCTCTCTGCAATCTGGCGTTCTTTCAGCTCAAGCTAGAGGAGGAGAAGGCCCAGGGGTCAGAGCAGCCACAGAGGCGAGTTGTGTTCTCAGACGATCTCCCTCTGGATGCGGCCCTGCACCCCCACATGCCCTGACACTTGTTCCTTCTAGAGTCAGCCCCTTCTGTCCTTTGCATTCGGAGGTCAGTACTTCCTGCCACTTGTCTTTCCTTCCCATTGTCGCTGCTGGCCAAGCCTGTCACACCATTCTAAGTACCTAACAACTGGCCTGGAGTCCTTACATGAGACCCCTGGGGGCACAGTTGCCACCCTCCTGAGCCTCCCAGCACTGTTCCCTGCTCACCGTGGTGGGCTTCTCCAGGGCAGCAAAGCGCTCTGCCCAGCTGGCCGTGGACTTCTCAAAAGCCTCATGCCTCTTGATGAGCTTCTCCACACTGTCCACTGTGTGTCCAAAGTCCCCGCTGGCCAGGTAGGGCTCCTGGGCAATCAGCCACGCCTCAGCCACAGAGGCATCCCTCGAGAACTGGCACACCTCCAGCACTGCCAGGGGGAACAGGACACAGACCCCCCACAAGGCCCAGGGCCTGTTAGCACCCAATCGTTCACTCCTGATTGGGGCCAGTGGTCAGGCAGGTGGCCTGAATAGGTGTCCCTAAACCACATGGATACGCTTGCTGCCTGCAGCCACCCCATTCCACACTGGGCCCCTAACCGATCTTCACAATAGTTATATTTTTTTAGAGGGAGGGCTTCAATCTGTCACCCAGGCTGGAGTGCAGTGATGTGATTATGGCTCATGGCAGCCTCAGCCTCCTGGGTTCAAGTGATCCTCCCATCTCAGCCTACCAAGTGGCTGGGACTATAGGTGTGCACCACCATGCCCAGCTAATTTTTTCTGTCGTTGTAGATAGGATCTCCCTATGTTGCCCAGGCTGGTCTCAAACTCTTGAGCTCAAGCAATCCTCCTGCCTTGGCCTCCCAAAGTGCTGGGATTATAGATGTTACCCACCATGCCTGGCCCAATAGTTATATTTTTTAAGCTATATTTTTCACTAATTAGAACTCTATTTTGAAAACAAAATGTATTTTAGATGTCTCTGAAAAGGAGTCTTCTGTGTTGAACATTCTTCCCAGCCCTTGGCTGTCTCACATGATGCTGGATGAGTGGCCAGGGGCACCAGTTGGCCCTTCTTGGCTCACAGCTCCTCCCTGAATGGTGGCTTTTCCCCACCTCTCATCAGCACCCAGCTGAAGGACGAAGAGCCGGTTCTGTGCTTGACATTCCTCATGAGGAATGTCTGGGATTCCTCAGAGCCTTACCCCAACCCCTCTCCCAGACCCCCAACTCCTCCCCCGGACCCTCAACCCCTCCCCCAGGCCCCCAGCCCCTCCCCCGGGCCCCCAACTCCTCCCCCAGGCCATAGCTCTGCAGGCATACCAGCCCGGGCATGAGGCTGGGGACAAGTGCGGCAGAGGATGGGCAGGGAGTGGGGGCACGCTGGCTAGTTAGAGTGAGGCTTCCAGCAGCGTGTCTACTCTGGCCTTCTGCCTGGACCGCTGAGGCCCCTGGCCCCAGAGCTTTGCTGAAGAGCAGTGCTGTGGGGGGCTCCTCTCTAGGCAGTAGTGAAAATCCACCCATTGTGGCACCTCCCCATTCCCCTACTCCTGCGGGGGTACTCCTGCCCCTGGGCCCTGGCTCCAGGGCTGTACTCACACATGCGGAGCCGCTCCCAGCGGGCTTCCCACTTCTCATTCATCTCTTTCCTCCTGGACATCACCTGCTGCAGTTTCTCGCGGATCTATGGGGAGGAAAGGGAGAAAAGCTCAGGCTTGGCTCACCCTTCACCATCTGAGGCAGTGCGCAGATGGGTCCTGCAAAGAATGCCAGGTTTGGTCCTACAGCCCTGGCTTCAAGTCTTGGCCCAGCTGCTTGCCAGCTGTGTGGCCTGGGGCAAGTTATTTAACCTCTCTGAGGCCCATGCGCCTCTCCTATTAAAGGAGGTCACCAGCTCCAAAGTGTGTGCACCTGTGGGTGTTAGGCCGGTTATGAGGCTGCTCTCCGTTACTGAGTGGCCAGCTCCTTAAGGCAGGGAGTGCGCTTGCTGGGGCTCCAATCCCCGGGCCTGTGTGTAGCCCCGATCTCCATGAGTGAGAGCAAGACAAGCTCCTCAGAAAAGCTGCAGCTCTCATCTCCCTCCCAGGAGGCTGCCTGGCTGGCACAGTGGGGACGGAGACGGAGGAGCTCGCCTCCATCCTTGCAGTCCCCTCACCTCCTCTGAGGCCTGGTGCTGCCGCTGCAGCAGGGACTCGCCAAGCTCCAGGCAGGCACTGAAGTTCTTGCTCCGGGTTTCAATCTCTGCATTGATGCCCTGGTGATACTTCATGAGCAGTTCCACAGAGGAGACATCCCTGGGGGACAGGAGGACAAGGGAAGAAGGGAACTCTGGGTCACTCTGGCCTGCCTCTGTGTCCCAACCAGAGGGGCCCACCTCCCCCTGCCTGTGGGAGTGTGACCGTGCTCCCTCCTCTCTCTCTGGCCAGCCAGGGGGTCCTCCGCCAGCCCAGCCCCAGCAGGAACACAGATGCCCTGGTATCTTCCATTGCTCAGTGGCCAGAGCATGGGCAGTGGGTACAGAAATCCCCAAAGAAGCCTGGGATTATTAGTGGGCAATAAAAAGGAATGGAGTACTGATTGATGCTACAACAGGGATGCATCTTGAAAACATTATACTAAGGGAAAGAAGCCAGTCACAAAAGACCACATATTGTATGATTCCATTTATATGAAATGTCCAGAACAGGCAAATCTAGAGAGACAGAAAGTTGAGTAGTGGTTTCCAGGGACTAGGAAGAGAGGGGAATGGGGAGTGACTGCTAATAGGGGCGGAGTGATGAAAATCTTCTAACCTTAGATTGTGGGGATAGTTGTGTAACAGCGAATATATTAAAAACCACTGAATGATACACACTAAATGGATGAAGTGTGGTATGTGAATTATATCTCCATAAGGATGTTAAAAGTAAGACCATCAGGACAGACACCTTAGGGGCAATAGGATGGAGATGGATCAGCAATAACTGATGAAGTGACACAGACTGGGCAGAGTGGTCTGATCTCTGCAGGGGCTCTCACTGCCCACATGCCTGACTCCTCCTCTCATGGACGATGAGCTTCTTCCTGAGTTTTGGGGGAAGGGCCCCCTCACATCCCAGGGCTGGGAGAAGAATGCGCAGTCTTAGACCTGCCCAGCTTTGGATATGTGAGTTGCTTATTTTCACTGACAACCATGGTCACTGTTCCCATTAGAGAACCTGAATGACAGATGTCTCTCTCTCTACACTCAGGACTCTCCTGACTCTGGAGCGATTGGTCCTCCCAGTGGAAGCTGACCCAGGCCATTTCTGCCTCGATCCAGCCTCAGGCCTCAAGTGTCCCCCAGGGATTTTCATGGAACGATAGTCCAGGACTGTCCCTTCACGGAGGAGCCACAGTGCAGCACCCTGGTTGGCCGGGCTCCTCTGGCCTGGAGAGGAGCTGCCTCTGCCTCAAGGACACTCCCCTCACCTGGGCCTCTCCTGGGTCTCGATCTGCCGGATGATGCTCTCCATCCAGGAGAGGAGGTCACGGGCCATGCTGAAGAAGCGGAATTTATCCGCCGTGTCCACTAGCTGGGTCCGGCGCCCGGCACAGGCATCGAGCAGCGCCTGCCACGCGGCAGACACCTCCTGCTCCTTGTTCTGGATGGCCTCTGCCTTCTCCCCAGCATATGCTGTCTGCAGACGGGTGGCCACGTCCTGGAACTGCTGCACCTGTGGTCAGGCAAAATCAGACATTGTTCCCTGGACATTGCTCCCTAGGTGCTGTGGGCCTAGGACTGGAAGGGCAGCTACCTCCTCCTGGCCTCCCTGCCCAGGGCACTGCTGGAAGGTAGGATCTTCAGCCTCCACCCAGTGGGTGCTGTAGGAGAAGACTCCTTGCTTTAACACCTCTGCCTACCCAAGATACCTCTTGAACTTTGTGAAGGTTTGGGAGTGAGAGGAAATCCTGCCCTTTGATCTCCTCAACAATACACTAATGAGAGGAACTACATATCAGGCACTGTTCTAAACACTTTCTACTGATGAACTCTCTTCGTCTTTCCAACAAACCCAGGAAGGAGGTACTATTACTATTGCTGTTTCTGAGATGGGGAAAACGAGGCACAAGGAAGCTAAGTAACTGGTCCAGGGTCCTTCACACTAGTAAAGGGGTACAGCTGGGATTTGCACCGTGCTCCTGAGTCCCCGTTCTTAACCATTCTGTGTGCTGCCTCTCCAAGGAAGTGGTTGCACCAGATCCCCTGATTGAGGCTGGCCCTGGGGACAGTGAAACCTCACTCCTAAGACCTCAGTGGGGCTACACCTATCTCAGGGGCCCTGGCATCCCCAAATGCAACAGCCACACACCAGGCCCTCCACTCCAGCTGGAGGACACTTCCCTAAGAGGTCCCCTTTTGGATGAACCAGGGGCCCAGCCAACCCTGGTGTTCTGTCCCCAAGCCCTGCAGGGCTGGCCTGGGATTGCGCAGCCAGCCTACCTCTCCCTGCTGCACTGGAAGCTGGGGGAGCCCTCAGCAACAGGGGCCCCCTTGCATTTGCCCTTTCTATCACACCAAGCTCTGGGGCACCCTACGGATCTGCGGAGGGCACTCCAGTGATGGGGCAGGGGTCTGAACAGTAGAACTTGGGGGCTCTCCAGCTCCCATGTGGAAAGGCTGAAGTGCCCGGTGGCTAAGTATGTGGGGTCTATAGCTAGACTGCCAGGGTCTGAGCCCTGGCTCCACTTCGTACCTACATGTTCCTGGGAAACTTATGGGTCTTCTACCTCTCCCTTTTCTCATCTACAAAGTGCAGGGAATATTAGTAGCTGCCTCAGAGGACTGCCATGAGGGTCCAGCGGCTACATACATTGCTCAGAAGAGCACCTGGTGCTAGAAAAGTGCTGTGCGTGTGTCCACTAATAGTACTGCACAACTGGAGAAACTGCAACCGTATAGTATTGTATGCATTGGCCTTTTGTGAGGATTCAGTTTAAAGAATGACTTCTGAAGCTAAGGAACATCTGAAAGCCACTGCTCCCAGCCCTGAGCTCCTGGCTGTCTAAGGAGGCAAAACCTCCTGGCACTTATCCTAGAGGTTTTCCTGCTGACAGCCAGGTGGGGACTGACACCCAGGGCTCCTGGAAATTGGTAGCAGGTGGGCGGCAGGGGGCTGAAGGTACCTGGACACCCAGCAGGTGGAGCTCCCGCTCGAAGGCTGTGTGCACCCGGTGGAAGGACTCGGCCGTGCTGGCGTCCAGCCCCACGTCCTCGGGCAGCTCGCGGTGCTTCTCGTCGATGAGGCCCAGGATCTCGGCACCCGTGTAGAAGTAGCGGTGCAGGTCATAGGAGGCGGCCAGCAGCTGCATGCGCGTGTCAATGAGCTCCAGGAGGTCTGCCCACATCTCGTTCAGCCCGTCCTTCCACTCGGCGATGGTGGCCGCCTCGCTGTGGCCCGCGTCGATGAGTCGCTCGATGAAGGCATTCACATTGTCCACCCGCTCCTGCCCAATCGCCCCGGTCTCCCGGGCAAAGTCCCGGAACTTGTCCCGCAGAAGCTAGGCATGGGGCAGACAGAAATGTGGTTATGGGGGGCACAGGGGTTACAGGTGTCACCAGCTTAGCCAAAGACTTTCCCAGGCAGCAACTGCAGCTCCGGGAGCTGCGCTGTCACACCTTCCCCAGGGCAGGCCTGCATCGGCTGGTCCCGCCTCACACTGGGGAGGTTACGTCCTATGCAGCACTCTGTGTGTCTTGAGTGACGGCTGGCTGCGTCTACCGCATTAGAGAAAGACAAAAACAGCAGGAGTTGTGGCTACTCACAGTCACGTGGTCAAAGTCTTGCCCCATTTCCGGGGAAGAGGCCACTAGCTCCTTTTCTGAAATCCACTGCTCCAGGTCGTCGGTCTCCCGCTTGAGCTGGAACAGGTGGTACATGTTCTCCAGCTTGCGCTTGCGCTCTTCCGCCACGTCCTTCAGCCCTGCGTAGTGCTTGTCCACTTGCCCCTGAAGTCTGATGATCTGTTCCCTGGAATTCAAAACCAAAAAGGCCCTCAGAGACGGCAGCCACGAACCCAGAGCCGTGGCTCCAGGGAGCCAACATATGCCAACCACAGCCCCCTGGCAGGGATAGGTAGGGAGTGAAGCTCTGGAGAAATGACAGGGGCTTTGCCGGGGAAGAGCTGGGGAGAGAAGGGGCCACACCCTAGCCTCAGGGGATGACACACTGTGTCCTGGAATTCTGTCCTGGAGGGGTGCTTCCCATGGTGCCCCTCACTCTGGCAAGCTTACAGGGACAAGTGCAAATGGGGAACGCCTCCATTGTTCTTCCAGAGAGGCTGGGGGAGCAGCACTACCTGAGTGGGGCTCCCGCAGCAACAGCTCTGCTCAGCCCTCCAGGGAGGGAAAAGACATACTAGGGGCCCAGACAATGTGGCTCCCAGGGAAACCTCTGGGGTGGCTGCTGAGGACCCACAGTGGTGGGCACCCTAATGGCAGCTGAGGACAGGGCCATGGCTGGGGGCAGTGTGTGGTCTGTGGCCCAGTGGGCTTCCATTTATGCAGGATCCACAAAACCTCGCAGCCCATGTGGGCACAGGTTTCCACCTGCACTCCTACATCATGGTTCTGTCTGGACTGTGAAGTCCTGGAGACCTTCTGGACCATAAAAATAAAAGCTAAAGTAGTCTTCAGTGTCCCTTAGCATATTGTAACCCTTCGGAAAATTGGTGCTCTCAGGTCACCAAGAGGGTAGTTTTGCTAACCCCTTCTCTGATCATTTCGAAAACCAGGGCCTCGATGGCCCAGCTGGAAGTGATTCACACAAAACCAAGGCATAAAATGAAATTGGATCCATCACCAGTCCCGCAGCAATTTTCTCCAGCCCTATTTGATGGGAAAACTCTTTCCATTTTCCTTTTAAATCTGAAGGGACGTTGGCTGGTGGGCCCCTGGCTCAATCCCCATCTCCTGACCGAGTCACCACAGGGGGCGCACGCACCCCTCAGGGTGGCCTGCAGACAGCAGGCCCTGGGCCCGGCTGGCCAGCTGCTTGATGTTCCGGCCGTAGTCCTCCACCGCACGCTGCTGCCGCAAATGTCGCTTCAGCATCACAATGGCGCCCTCTTCATCCTAGGAGGCAGCAGACGGTCAGCGCCAGAGCTCAGTCTGGCCATGATCCCTCCCTTGGCAAGTTGTGCCCCCACTCCTGGAGGTGCCCGAGGGAGGAGGGGAGTAGGCTTGTGGGACACCCGCAGGAGAGCCACACATGCTTCCTTCCTGCCCTTCTGATTTCCCAGCAATGCCCGTGCCCTACCTTCCTCTCTGGACTCCCCTGATTCGTATCCGACATATACCCTTCCTTTTGTGCTCTAACCCCTGTCCCCATGAAAACATCCTATATCATTCCAGCTTTGAGAGACCCCCACCTGTCACCTCTCACCCCATCTCTTTCATAGCGTACAGAATCCAGGGTAAAGAAAAGTAGAGAACCCTTGGGTTAGAGCAAACCTAAGTGGGTAAACAGGAGGCACCTGGCTTCAGTGTGTGCCCTGCAGGGGTGTGTTCAAGGAGGCACCAAGGGAGGGCAGGGAGTCTGTGGGTTCCTTGTGCCCCTCCCCTGGCCTCACTCCTCACACAGTTGGACTCACAAGGCTCCCTACCGACAGCCAACCTCAACTCTTCCTCTCTGCCTGGGCACCCTGGCTGGTATCCCCTGCCCGAACAGACCTTGGGGATCTCATCGGAGATGACGTAGAGCTCCTGCTCGCCAATCCAGGCCTCAGCCTCGTCTGCATCCAGGTAGTACTGCTGTGCCTCGTTGGCGTCCCTCAGTCGCTGCAGCCTCCCGGCCGCTGCCTCCCGCAGCCTGTCCCAGGAGCTCTGCAGGTGCCCCAGGCGCTCCTCAAGGTCCTGGCAGTCGATCTCCGCCGCCTCCACCAGCTGCTGCCCTCTCTGCAGCACATCCTCAACCCGCGGCGTATGGCCCAGAATCTCATTCTGCAGTGTCTGCGGCCAGAAGGAAGGGCTCGGGGCAGGGCCTTCCCACCATGCGGGGGAGGCTGCTTCAGCAGTGGCAGCACAGCTCTGACACCCTTGGTCCCTCTCACCCCCGTTGCTAGAGCAGAGCAGGTGATGGCGATAAGAACTACCAATGACCTCTTGCGGGCTGCTAAGCACCTCATGTGCACCATTCTTGCACCCTCAGGTGGCCTGCTGAGATAAGCATGTGGAGACCAGCATGCAGCAGTGAAGTCACTCAGTGGCAGAGCCGGAGTTGAACACAGCTCCACCTGACCTGGCAGCCTGTGCTCTTGACTGTCCCCTATCTTCCTGTGCTTCAGCAGAGCTTGATTCCTTAGGTGTATGTGTTGGAAGGAAAAGAAAAATGGCCTTTTTGATACCTTATTCTAACAGCTTTTGCAGGATTTATGCAGGATCATTTACGCAGGATACGCCCAACCCAGCAGCTCAGGTGGGCACAGTTTTTGCCTTCCATCTAAAAGAACAGGTGACAGCAGCCCCTTGCTTACAGTCTCAGCTTTTGTTTTTCCCTACTTCTATTTCTCATATTTTTGTGAGCTTTGCATTAGTCCCTGTTTGAGCCTTTGGTCATGAACACAGCCTCTTCCTCCCACCCTGGTGGCTGGTCACCTTTTTCTTCAGGAGGCCCTGACACGTGTTACTTGTTTTCTGGGTCCTAAAGACTGGGCTAGCTGCTGCTGGTGTGTGGGCTCCTGAGCTCCATATACCTCACTACCTGTTTCTTCCCTCTCTATATAATTTTCCTGTGGCCTTTAAAATTGGAAGGCAGGGGCAAGAGCAGCCCACATGAGCAGCACAGTGATGGCCAGCATTTAAAATATGCACAAAATAACCACATCTACAAGTCACATAACCTGCTGAAATGCATTTTTACACTTTATGCTCAGAACCTCAATTTTTACAATTTCCTATAGTCTCTGCAGTTGCATTCAAACAACCCATGTTTTCAGCTCCATTTGCTTGTTTACTCTGAGATCTTATGACCTCTGCATGGTGCCCTAAAAATTAATTTCTTTTTTTTAAGATAGGGTCTCACTCTAGTCACCCAGGCTGGAGTGCAGTGGCACAATCAGCTCACTGAGCCTCAACTTCCCAGGCTCAGATGATTCTCCCACCTCAGCCTCCCAAGTAGCTTGGACTACAGGTATGTACCACCACATCTGGCTAATTTTTTGTATTTTTTGTAGAGATGGGCTTTTGCCATGTTGCCCAGGCTGGTCTCAAACTCCTGGGCTCAGGCGATCCACCCGCTTCGGCCTCCCAAAGTGCTGGGATTACGGGTGTGAACCACTGCGCCCGGCCTAAAAGGGTATTTCTTCCTTTTTAACCAATTACTTTCTAGTATCTGTGCAGGGTACTTACATTTAAAGTCTTCTTCCCTGTCTTCATTCATTCAACAACTATGTATTAAGTTCTTTTCTATGTACCAGACCCTGGTCTAGGTAATAGGGACAATATAGAAACAAGAGAAATGAAAATCCCTGCACTTTAAAGCTTACAACCTGGTAGAGGAAATAGAAGGTAAACATGCAAATAAATGAATAAACAAAGGCTGGGCCTTCCTCCCTGGGGGCTACGAGGAAAAGACAACAGTGGGATGGAGAATGTCTGCTGCGATGTGGCAGGAGCCACTTTAGCTAAGGGAGTCAGGGAGGGCCTCTCTGAGGATACGAAACTTGACCATGACATGAATGACGGGAGGGAGGCAACCACACAGAGATCTGGGGTTGAGTGTTCCTGGCAAGAGGACTGAACAAGTGCAAAGGCTCTGGGGTGGACATGAGCTGGGACCGTCTGAGGCCACAGAGAGGGCCAGAAGAGCTGGAATACTGTGAAGGAGGGCAAAGTGAGAAGAGCTGAGTTTCAGAAGCAGGCAGGGGTCAGGTCAGGCAAGAGTGGTTCTTAATCCTGATTGCCCACTGAATAATCCAGGGAAACAGATGCAGCTAGGGGCCTACCCCCAGAGATCCTAATTGATCTGAGGTGAGACCTGGGCATTCATCTGTCTAAAAGTTCCCTAGGTGATGTGAGTGTACAGCCAGGGGTGAGAGCCCTTCATGTACTACCTTGTGGAATTTGTTCTAATTGCAATGAATAGCCCTGGGAACAGTGGTCCCCAAAGTGCAGTCCTGAACCAGCAGCATCGGCATCACCTAGGATCTTGTTGGAAATGCAAATTATTAGGCTCTACCCCCAGAGCTTGATGCAGTAGGGATCTGGGGGTGGCACCTGGTTAAGTCGTGTAAACTCACCCAGAAGGCTTGTTAAAGGAGTTGCATATTGGAGTTTGACAACCATTGCAACAGAGGGTTTTAGGTGAGGAAATGATAAAATTGGATTTATGGTTTAGCCAGGTGAGCCTAAAATAGTCTTCATTAGGGCAGTCACGCTGTCCCAAGAGGCTGCCTTTCCCTTCTTGGTTAGGGGAACCCCATCCGTATTTGTCTTGCCCTTTTCCCGAAATAGCAACTGCCAGCCAGGGGAGTTAAAAACCTTTGAACAATAACACTTACAGAGGCTGCATAGAATCAAAAATCCTAGTGTTGGAAAGACTAGAGTTGGCTCATTTTACAATTAAGGAAACTGAGGTCCCAAGGATACCATGTCCTACCAGCCTTCCACCTTTAGCTGAAGGTTGTGGCATTAACTGAGGCTAGATTTCTATCATCTTCTAGCCCAGGTCCCTGCGTGTGGCTGCTGGAGCCTCTGCGACTAGATCATGTCAACCAGAAGCAAAGGGCCTAAGGCAGCTTTGAAGAAACTTCTCTGAATATAATCTAGGCCTCTGCACTGCTGCTGGGCTCACATGGTCCTGTGAGCAGATGTCAGCTGCTGCCAAGCTGGGGGAAGGGAGTGCTGTCTGCCATGACCTTCCTTCCTCAAGGAGCTGCAATACTAACCGGGCACTCTGGGACATGTCACTTTTATCTGGGATCTAAGTTCCTGGGCTCTCCTTGCTGACCCAGAGAGCATGCAGAGGGAGGGTCTCTCTGTCCAAGAAGGGTCTGTGGCCATTCCCCTGGCCGCTGCGACCCCACACAGCCAGCTTCCTTACATGATTCAGGCTCCCACTGCAGCCCTGACCCAAGAGGGAGTGCTTGGCATCTGCTCACATCCAGGATCCTGACCAGGGCCACAGGAGTTCCCAATCAGGGCTAAGCGAGTGCCAAAAAGCAGAGGGATGTTTGCTCCAAGGGCTCAGAGTCCAAAGTTAGTGGCTTCCTAATGGAATTTGAGCCCCACAAGTATCCTCATATGTCGAGAGAAATGGGGCCTACTTACCCCAAGGACACCACACATGCCAAGCTCAGCCCTGGAAGAGGGGCAAGGCAGTGTTGTGGGAGAGAGATCAGGAGTTACTGCCCTCCTCTCAGGCAGACCACTGGATACACCGAATACACAGCTACTGAAGCACATCAACCTCCAGGCCAGGCCCCCGAGATCCTGCATTCACCTGTGCCTGATGGAGGCTGAATGGCCCTGAATCCCCAACTACCTCCCCTCCTCTGTGATCCTCCCAGAATTTGCTCTGTAATCACAAAAACCTGCTCTTTCTGCTATAAGATTACCAATACGGTTTGGAGACCCCAAAGCTACCAACAAGAACAATAATCTGCTGTTGCTAGCCTTCTGCAGGTCAGGGCTGGGCCTACCCCCGTGGGGCCAGGTGGGGGTGAGGAGGGGTGGGTGGGGCTGGTGAGGTGACGCAGGACTCACCTGGTTCTTCTTCATGAACAGTTGCACAGTTTGCAGATTAGTGCCATAGTCGGCTGACTGGGCCAGAGGCAGCCTCTCCTCCACCCAAAGCTGCAGAGACCAGGAGGCAGGAGAGAGCTGATGACAATCACGGCCAACCTTTCCTGAGTGCTCACCATGGGCGGCGCAGAGCTTTGCTGGCAGTGTCTCCCCAGTTCCTCCCAACACCCCATCAGGGTTTTGCCCCCATTTTATAGGTTAGAATATTTGGGGATTTTGAACTGAGGTTCCAAATAACTTGCTCCTAGTCAGACAGTGGGAAGGTAATGTAGCTGGATCTCGAACCCAAGTCTGTCTGACCCAAGTCCATGCTCTTCACCGAGCAATACTAGCAAGTGAACAGTGCATTCCCAACAAAAGCACTGGCTTGAGCTTTCCATTTAATGTAATCCTCACAAGAACCCTATGAGATAAGGGGTGAGGTGACCAGTCATCTACTGCCAAAAATTGCTCTGGGTGGCAGCCAGCTACTCTGATGGCAGCTGGTGGCTCAGCCTCAGGAGGTAGGGAGAAGCTGTGGCCCACGCACCGTCTCATCCTCTAAGTCCCGGCTGATCTGCAGCTTGGCTCTGGATGATTCCAGCTGCTTCTTCCTCCTTCCTAGGGGTTCCAGGAGGTCCAGGAACCGCTTCTCGATGCTCAAGTCTGCATCTCCTCCCTCCTCTCCCATTGAAGGCACCTGGGCAAACAGCTCCCCCAGCTCCTCTTTTCGCACATTCACTTGGTCCTCCACTCGCTGAGACACAAGGGGACGGTGTCAGCACCAGCCTTGGCACCTGCACAGCCCCTCCATCTTCTTCATTCATCTGCATCCCACCCATCCTTTAAGGCCCAATTTGAGCTCAACTTCCTCCAAGGAGTCTCCTTGGATGCTCCCAGTCATCTTTCCCTCTTCTGAGTGCCTGTTTTGTTTCTCATGCATCATTTTGGGTCTCTGTCCTACCCACTGCAAAAGGGGTTGGAGATGGATTAGAAACCAGGAGACATTTTTGCATGATAAAAGCAAGTCCAGTTAAGAGGAAGAGTAGGACTGCTTAAAGTTTCAGACTGTGCTCAAAGAAATCAGAGAAGACACAAACAAATGGAAAAACATCTCATGCTCATGTGATAGGAGGAATTAATATCATTAAAATGGCTATACTGCTCAAAGCAATTTACAGATTCAATGCTATTCCTATCAAACTACTAATGACATTCTTCAAAGAACTAGAAAAATTATTATTATTATTATTTTTGAGATGGAGTTTTGCTCTTGTTGCCCAGGCTGGAGTGCAATGGTGCAATCTTGGCTCACTGCAACCTCCGCCTGCTGGGTTCAAGTGATTCTCCTGCCTCAGCCTCCAGAGTAGCTGGGATCATAGGCGTGTGCCACCACACTCAGCTAGTTTTGTATTTTTAGTAGAGACAAGGTTTCTCCATGTTGGTCAGGCTGGTCTCGAACTCCTGACCTCAGGTGATCTGCCCACCTTGGCCTCCCAAAGTGCTGGGATTACAGGCATGAGCCACCATGCCTGGCCTAGAAAAATTATTTAAAAATTTACATGAAACCAAAAAAGAGCCTGAATGGCCAAGGCAATCCTAAGCAAAAAGAACAAAGCTGGAGGAATCACATTACCTGAATTCAGATTATACTACAAGGCTACAGTGACAAAAACAGCATGGTATTGGTACAAAAACCGGCATATCAACCAATGGAACAGAGTAGAGAGTCCAGAAATAAGGCCACACACCTACCACCATCTGATCTTTGACAAAGCTGACAAAAACAAACAATGAGGAAAAGACTCCTTATTCAATAAATGGTGCTGGGAGAACTGGCTAGCCATATGCAGAACATTGAAGCTGGGCCCTTTCATTAGACATATAAAAAAATAAACTCAAGATGGATTACAGACTTCAATGTAAAACCCAAAACTATAAAAGGCCTGGAAGACAACCTAGGCAATATCATCCTGGACATAGGAATGGGCAAAGATTTCATGACAAAGACACTAAAAGAAATTGAAACAAAAGCAAAAATTGGCAAATGAGATCTAATTAAACTTAAGAGCTTCTGCACAGCAAAAGAAACTATCAACAGAGTAAACAGACAGCCTGCAAAATGAGAAAATATTTGCAAACTATGAATCTGACAAGGGTCTAATATCCTGCATCTATAAGAAACTTAAATTTATAAGAGGAAAACAAACAATGCCATTAAAAAGTGGGCAAAGGACATGAACAGACACTTCGCAAAAGACACACATGCAGGCAACAATATATGAAAAAAAGCTTAATATCACTGATCATTAGAGAAATGCAAATCACAACCACAGTGAGATACCATCTCACATCAGTCAGAATGGCTATTATTAAAAAGTCAAAAAATAACAGACGCTGGCAAGGTTGCAGAGAAAAGGGAACCCTTATACACCGTTGGTGGGAGTGTAAATTAGTTCAACCATTGTTGAAAGTGGTATGGCAATTCCTCAAAGAGCTAAAAGCAGAACTACTATTTGACCCAGCAATCCCATTACTGGGTATACCCAGAGGAATATAAAACATTCTACCATAAATACACATGTACACTTATGTTCACTGCAGCACTGTTCACAATACCAAAGACATGGACTCAACCTAAATGCCCATCAATGACAGACTGGATAAAGAAAATATGATACATATACACCATGGAATATTTCACAGCCATAAAAAAAGAACGAGATCATGTCTTTTGTGGGAACATGGATGGAGCTGGAGGCCATTATCCTTAGCAAACTGATGCAGAAACAGAAAACCAAATACCACATGTTCTCACTTATAAGTGGGAGCTAAGTGAGAAGAACTTATGAACACAAGGAAACAACAGACACTGGGGTGTACTTGATGGGGGAGGGTAGGAGAAGGGAGAGGAGCAGAAAAGATAACTATTGGGTATTGAGCTTAAAACCTGGGTGATGTAATAATATGTGCAATAAACCCCCATGACATGTGTTTATCTATGTGACAAACCTTCACATGTACCCCCAAACCTAAAATTAAAAATAAAGGTGTCAGACTGGCTTCCACTATCCCTTCTATCCTAACACTCTGAGTCTACAACCCACTCACGTGCCTTCAGCTTAGCCAACATCCGATTGACACTGGTCAGGTCCTTGCCCGGGTCGTCTGACCGCAGCTGGTCCTCCATGGCGCTGATCCACTTGTTGAGGTCAGCATGGGTCTGCAAGCGCAGGTCGGAGCTCCTGGCAGCCGAGAGGTGCTGGGTCTTCTCCTTTGTGGTGGCCTGCAGCTCGTCCCAGAGCCGGTGCAGGGCTTCCAGCTTTTGGGACACCAGGGCTGTAAACTGGGGCTTCTCATCCATCAGCTGCTTTCCTTCCTAGGGGCAAGAAGGAGGAGAGCTCACATTCTGGGCTGACTGGGCCTTGGATCAGCCCTGCTCCTGATGGTTGCAAGAGGCTACCCAAGAGGAGGTCAGTAAGGCAAAGAATCTTCATAGAACATGGGTAAGACTCAACTGAAATGAACTCTGAATCCCCAGCATTAGCAGGGGTGTCCAAACTTTTGGCTTCCCTGGGACACTTTGGAAGAAGAATTGTCTTGAGACACACATAAAATACATTAACACAATAGTTGATGAGTTAAAAAAAAAAAAAAAAAGCCTGTGCATAATTTTCATGATATGCACCACCACAGATAAGGAAAAGGTCCTCATATTCAAAGGGTTAGACATGGCTGGTAGGGGAAGCTGGGCAGGGAGAGCAGTGCTGGGGGCAATGACTCAGGGAGACCGCAGCATGGGAGTTGCAGACAAGGGTCAGCTGCTGTGAGAAAAAGGATTCCAGACCCATCCAGGTACAGTCAGTGCAGAAACTGCCCCGTGAGTTCCTGAGGTTGTGCACTAACCTTCGCTGACCTCCTTCGGTTACTGAGGTTGCCTTACCTGGTTTTCATCTGCATAGATGTATCATTTTTGGGTGGGCACAGTGTGATATAAATTGGACTTAGGAATCTATATCACTAATAATAGTTAATTTTTTTTTTTTTGAGACAGCGTCTCTCTCTGTTGCCCAAGCTGGAATGTAGTGGCACAATCTTGGCTCACTGCAACCTCCGCCCCCCAGTTTAAGCCCTTTTGTGTCTCAGTCTCCTGAGTAGCTGGGATTACAGGCGTATGCCACCATGCCCAGATAATTTTTGTATTTTTAGTAGAGATGGGATTTCGCCATGTTGGCTAGGCTGGTCTCGAACTCCAGACCTCAGGTGATCCGCCCACCTCAGCCTCCCAAAGTGCTGGGATTACAGCTGTGAGCCACCGTGCCTGGCCTAATAGTTAATATTTATTGAGTGTCTCATAATTGCCAAGTACTATGCTAAATGTTTCATTTGTCTTTAAGCATTTAGTGCTCACAACTCCACTGGGAAGGTCCTATTATTACTCTCATTTCATAGAGGGAGAAACTGAGGCACAGGGAGGTTAAGAAGTCAGTCTGATCCTAGGGCTGCTTTTTCATGGACAGCCATGGTAGAGATGAGCAAAGGTAGTGATTTCCACATCTAATTCCAGCCACATTTGGACTTGTCCACTGGGCAAACTCACTACAGAGGGGTCCCTTGGTTCGCCATCTATAAGGAGTGGAAACGACCACTCCCCAGTGGTTCTGTCCATCCAAATGATGAGGATTAATGGCTCCCCTGGACCACTGTGATCATCTTGCCTATTCCTCCAGCCCTGTGCAGGACAGTGCTGGAGCCCTGGTGAAGGCAATGGAAAGCAAACATTAATAACTGCTGTCCTGGCACTGGACACTGAAGCTCTAACTAGATGTCCTCAGTGTCCTGGGCTGTCCCCAGATTCAGGTGACCCAGAAGAGGCACTGATTCTGACCAGGTGTACTAAGACTGACTACATCAGGAGCTCTGAAGGTTTAGCTACTATTTAGAAAAGTTGTTCGCTGCCACGTTCTGTACTGTCAGCAAGCTTTAGGACAGGGTCCACACCCTGGGTGAAGCCCATCCAGGCAAGCCTATCTGAGCAGAGCACCCACCCGCCGCCCAATCACTTTACTTACCGCATCGATGTTCTCTAGCCACCCTTCATGGGAAGCCAGCTCTGCCACAAACGCCTGGTGCTTTAGCCATTTATTGTGAAGGTTTCGTGCTTCATCATAGGAGACATCCTGAGATGTCAGCAGCTTGTCGTTGATCCAGAGAGTGAGCTGTGTGCATAAAGAGTGGGCTGACTATCCCTGAGTATATTTCTTTGGCAGAGCAGAACCTGCTGCCCATCCCTGGCTGCAGAAGGAGAAGGCCATGGGGAGGAAGTGCAAGCACAGAAGAGAACCCATCTGCAGTTCTGGATCCCTCTGTACCAGCACAGGCAACTTTACCCATGACAGGCCAGGGCTAAAATGTGGGCACAGGTGCATCTTCCCCACTGGAGTGTGTGTGGTGTAGACCAGGGATACTTTACGCTCCTCTCCATATTTTGAGGACCTAGGACAGGGCCTAGCATATTCTAGGAACCCAACGAGTGTTTACTGGATAGGTGGATAAATCCGTCCTTTGGCCGTAGGGTGAGAGATCCTTGATAAACACAGGAAAAAATGTTATTTGAGGAAGAAGCCAAGGACAGAGGTCAATGAAAACAAAGTTGTCTGGGCTGAGAGAAAAGGAGTATGACAAGAAAGAAGTCAGGGAAAACCCCATTCCATGTAGAAAGTACTGTCAATGGAGGGACCTGGGAAGGCGGATTAAAGACCTTCCTTGTACAGCTGGTCCCAGGTTGAGCAAGGACCTTCTGAGCTAGCAGTTTTCCAACTGGCAGGTTTGTTTAAAATGTTCTTTCTCTGTCTCACCCCGTAAAGTTCTGATTCATCTGGCCTGAGTGGGACCCAGGGGTCTGCTTTAACTAGGACCAGGACTGGCTCCATAATTTGCAGGGCCCAGTACAAAATGGAGTTGTTCAAAAGCATGAAGAATTTCAAGATGGCAAGAGTAGAGCATTAACCTGAGCCCAGGGCCCTTCTAAGCAAAGCACAGGGTGTGACACAGGTCACACATCCTCAAAGCTGGCCCAGACTGGGTCCTAGGTGATTCTAAAATAGACTGTCCCTAGACTACTCTTAAGAAACTCTGGCCTAGACTTGACAGGTTAAGGATGACTTTTCAGATTTGAAAAAAAAAAAACAGTGCAACTGAAGATTCCAGAGAATGACCCAATTAAGTACCCAGAGGTCCCCGCTCATGGAATCCCACAGCTCTTGAGCTAGAAAGGATCCCTGTGGACTTCCTGCCTTGAGGGAACTCTGCTTCTAGAAAGGAATCTCCAGGAAAGCAGCCACTCCTTGCTGGAGCCTCACCTCCTGGCAGTTCTGGAGGAAGTTCTGTAGCTCCAGGTTGTCTCTCAGTAGGACAGAGGCCTCCTGGGCCTTCTCGTTGTTCTTCCTGTGCCTGGAAAGGAAGCCAAAAGCACAGTCACAATAGTGCCGAGCTTGGGGTCCTCACCAAGCTTGGGGTCCTCACTACCCCCGTGTGGCTCTGGGGGCCTCGTGGCCCTGGGGCCCGGGAGTACCTGTCCTCAATCAGCTGCACCTTCTCCTTGATCTTGTCTGAGTATAGGTTTCCCTCAGCTACCAGCTTGTTTCCAGAGTCCACAGGACTCAAGACCTTATCCCGGTTGTTCTCCATAGACCCCAAGAAATCCTCAAACTTCCGGATCCCAGCCTCTGCAGCTTCCAGGGAGTCTGGGGGCTCCAAGTGAGCCAGAGTGTATTCCTGTTGGAACAAGTTTCCAGACAAGGCATGAAGACACACGGAGGAGGTGATGAGCACACCTCCCAAGTGGGAGCACCACGTGCAGCCACACAGGCCACGGTATGAATGAGCCCCCTAGAGTAGTACAGGGAGGAGGCACTACTCCCCAGGCCTTGCCCCCACCCCTACCCCAGGGGCACACAATAAACAGTGTGCCTAAAGCCACATGGAAGGCTAACCACCCAGGGCAAAATGCGCTTCTCTAGCCTCTGATAGACCCAAGAACAAGGCGTAGTTTGGGACACAAGGCTGGAAAAGGCCCCTAATGAGAAACAAAGATTTCCCCCATGAGTGAATACAGAGTACAAGACAAGAGTAATGTGGTCCCTGAGTCTTACAGCACATTTGTGGACTCACCACAAGAGCTACTGCCCTGAGAGACCCGCCTGTCCCAGCCCTGAATGCCTCTCTACCTGGTTGCTGAGGATGGCTTCAGCCTGCTTGGCATCTTTCTGGAACTCCTGGAAGCCAAGGCACTGAGCGAGGGTGTGGCTGCGGCTCTCCCACATCCTGCCCAGGGCATTCCAGCCAGTATCCAGGCCCTCCAGCCGCTGGCCCAGAAGCAGATACTCTGGGTCCGTCTGGCCTTGGATCACTTTCTCCCCAGACTCCTTAACACGCTGGTAGCTGTCTTGGTGCCCGTCAATCTCATCCTTGATACCTGCATGCTGCTGCAGGAGCTGCTCAGCCTCTGGGAGGGATTCGGGCATGTCCTCAGAGGCCACAGCCTTCTGGGTGATGGAGAGCCAGGCCTGGAAGTCATCCAGATCCTGCAGGAAGGCCTGCAGCTGGCTGACTTCCCCCAGCAAGTCCTCCTGGCCCTGCAGGGATTGCTGCAGGCCCTGCCACAGCTCCTCCAAGTGTTTTTGCCGCTGACCAATATCCTCCTTCTGCTCAGGGTGCGAGTCCATCAGCTGCTGGGACTCACGCTCCAGGGCATCCACACGGGCCTGGATGGCGGCCACGTCACGCTCCAGCCCTGACAACTTCCTCTGGATGGCGATGATACCTGCCAGGTCCCGCCCCAGGTCTTTTGTGGACTCCACTACCTTTGTCTTGTCCGTGATCCACTTGCTGGTCTCCTCGCAATCTACGCAGTAGTTGTGCACTCGGAGGGCTGAGTCCACAGCCTCCCGCCGCTCCGACACCAGGGTCTGAAATGCCTGCCACCTGCCGGATGGGGACACAGCCCGGAGGAGAGAGACACCTTCTCCCTTAGCTCTTCTTCCCATAGGAGACCCTGACCCCTTCCCACATTTCCCACAAGTCTCCCCCCACAGACTTTGTATGATAAAAAGAAAAAAAAAAATCTACCTAACGAAGTGTAGGTGAGCAAAATTCACTTCTCCAATTTTACTCAAGACATATATAACTGTCAATCAGATCTTTTGATCAGCAGGGGGCAATTAATTATGTGACTCCAACCATAAGTAAAGGAACATGAAAGCAAAGTCTATGCATGTAGTTGGAGTTCAGGCAAATATACAATTTCCCCAGAGTTTATGAAATATCAAAATAATTAAAAGGCTCACATTAACTTCAAGAATGCTTCAGGACATAGGGTCCCCAGCTGCCCTAGAGGAACCAAGTAAATGCCCAAGGCCACATGCAACGTCTCCTAGGGCCTGAAAGAGATCACCTTGGATCTAAGAGAAAAGATGCCCTGGTGAAAAAGAAGAGGAAGAAGAGGACAGGGAAGAAGAGAATGGGGAGGAATAAGTTGTGATGATAATTTAAGTGACTAGCATAATCTTAACCTTCGAGTGCAGTGTTGCTATGAAATACGGAAATGTGCTAAGGTCTGGCGGATGCCTGGGGGCCTGGGGTCAGTCTGCAGTACACGATAAGCCTCTTTCAAAGAGCTGCCCATCAGCCAGGCCAGACCACTAGGGACACTGCCCTTGGGCCTAGGTTCACTCATTCTGCATCACTGTAATATGCAGGCTGAATGCTCATTCTCTAATCGAACCCATCTTTCTCGAACACCCACAGGGGTATAAGCCATTTTATTGGCCTTTGGGAGAATATAGACATAACCAGACCATGCCCTGTGGGGTGTATGATTTAGAGAAATATTCAGACAAGCTCACAAATAACATAGCATAAAGTTTCATGTGCACAGCACCTAACAGGCAGAGAGGAGGATTAAGGCAGCTGGAAGGAGCAATGGGGTGACAGTTGCTCACGTGACCTCCACACAACCCATCACTGGACACAAAGCCCCAGTCAGTGAACACACCCCCAGTGCCTCCACTGGAGTGACCAATTAAAGGATGGGACCAAGTGTCTCATTCATCTTTGTACCCTGCCTCAGGGGATGGAGGCTGAGGGACTAGGAGATGGACTGGACAGAGAGCGCTGTTGTGCATTCCCAAGGTGTGACAACAGCAGCCAGTATGATTTGAAAGGTCTGCAGAGAGATATAAGAGACAGGCTGGGAGAGACCAGGGATACGAGAGAGGAGAGAGAGCCTGCAGATTTCTCGGCTCCCATCCTAGACCATGAAGACCCCGTGCTCTGGGAATTCCGTGCCTGTCTGGCACACAGATGGTGCTCTGAGGCTAGGAAATCAAGGGGTTTTCTCCAAGTTTGTTTGAAAGCCCTGGAATCGACAGGGAAGTGTTCCTGGGAGAGGGTCTGGCTGTGTCCCCAGGCAAGAGGCCCCATAGTGATTTTCCAGGCCTTTCCTGGAGTGGCCTCACTGTAGCCATTGGGTGGAGGCCACACCAAGATGCACTGGAGCTTGGGTCTAGTCTGCTTCCCAAACCTACACTTGCCCCCTCCACTGCACTGTCTTTGAGATGGAGGAGGTTGATAGAGCCACTCTAGTTATCACTGGTCAGGCAACATCAAGAGTCTAGGTTTGGTCCTGGGCCAGGTTTTTCTTCAACTGGAAAGCATACGGTGAAAGATGATCACACATTCATCAAGTGTTTGAATGACTCACACATAAGCTTGGCAGAAAAACCTTAGTTTTTTCCCAGTTCACTCATGTACTAAGCATTTATCAAGCAACTCTCAGTTGCCTTGTGGCAGACACTGACCTAGGCACTAGGGATATGACAAAGAACTATGCAGGCTGGGCTCAGTGGCTCACACCTGTAAATCACAGCAATTTGGGAGGCTGAGGCCGGAGGATCTCTTGAGCCCAGGAGTTCAAGACCAGCCTGAGAAACATAGTGAGACCTCATCTCTACAAAAAAAACAAAAAATTAGCTGGGTATAGTAGTGTGCATCTGTAGCATTAGCTACACAGGAGACTGAGATGGGAGAATCACTTGAGCCTGGGAGGCTGAGGCTGCAGTGAGCCAAAATTGTACCACTGCACTCCAGCCTGGGTAATGGAGTGAGATTCTGTCTCTATAAAAAATTAATTAATTAATTAATAAAGAGTAATGCAAAGTCCTTGCTTTCATTCAAGTGGATAGAGACATAAACAAGTCTATAATCCATCAAGTGGTGATAAGCGCAAAGAAAAAATAAAAGAAGGTAACAATATAGAGGCCAAGTGGGTCAGTGAGAGGAAGGATGTGCTGCTTTCCATGGGGCGGTCAGCGGGGGCCATGCCAGTAAGCTGACATTTGAGCTGAGACCTGAATAAAAAGAGTAAGCCAAGGGCATAGCTAGGAAAATAATACTCTAAACAGCAGGAACCCCAAAAATGTATTAGGTGTGCAAAGCCCTTGGGCAATATAAATAGATACAGGTCTTCATTTGTTTACATAGTCTAGCAGGAAAGTCCTTGGGGACAAAAATAATTAGAATGTAAGATAGGATATGAAGCTCAAAACCAGTACAAAGGAGGAAAAGATTGCTTTTCATCTGGAAAACTGGAAAGCAAGCGACTTGGACTGGCTCATGCAGAGACAGGATTTGGAATATGTAGAGGGAGGGAGAATGCACCCTGAGGGAAAGAACCGCAGAGGCATGAGGCGACACTGGGGGTGGAGGTATAGAATGAGCATTGTTCTGAAAAATAATTGAAGAGCTATACACGGAAGAGGAACCAGGGTAAGTGTGATATCTCTCAAGGGCAGAGCCAGAATCAATATGTACGCATTTCAAGGAGGCAGATTTCCACTCAATGGAAGAGCAAACTTTTTAACCAAAAAGAATTGCCCAAAAATGAGATAGGCTGCCGGGTGAGGGAGTGAGTTCCCCATCACTGGCTAGACTGGGTGACTTCTCAGGTTCCTTTCAACTCTCAAATTTAATTTCATGCCTCGGGTTTTTTTCTCACTTAAGGATGGCAGGTACCTTGATATTTTTCTCTTGGGGATGGGGCCTGTTTTAGGGGTCTGTAAAGATCAACATTCTCAGACTATAGTTTATTGTTGAGCTGATGAGTTCTTCCTCTCAGGAAGTTTCTCTGGTTTAGACCTGCTCTAGTTTCCTCAATTATGCAGCAATTGCAATAATCTCTACCACCTCCTGCCCACCAACACACACAAACTCATTACCTACAAGGCGAAAGAAGAGGGAAGAGGTATTCTCTTCCTTTGTAAAACATCAGATTGACAAAGGAATCTCCTAAACCGCACTCTGCAGCTTGGGCTGCTAAGACAATCATCCCATTCTAGTGGCTCTAAAGAATTCTGGTCATCGCTGCCTCCCCTTAGCCCCCCAGTGAACTCTCCACTGTGCCGATCCCTTTCTTTACAATGGAGTCTTCCCTAGGCCCACCTCCCAGATTGCCTCAGGCAGAGCAACGCTCAGGCACAGGTGTGGGGAAGGGGCTGGGGTAATGGGGAGGTGGTGAACATGTGGCATTGCATGTGCAGGGCCCACGGTAAAGACAGGGAATGCAGGCATTTGCGGTGTCCTCAAAGATCCTCCAGGAACTCATGGGCAATTTCACCCCACACTGAAAGCACCCCCTCTCTAAAGGCTCCTTGGGGCCTATTTTTTGTTCTGGCCACAAAGCTTGCTTAAGGCTCCCTGCTAATTCTCCTCTTCCTTCAAGCCAGCCTCATTATCGATACTGCATTTGGCAGAGGCAGGAGCATTATTTTATGGACAGTACTTAAGAGCTCTCAGAAAGCAATTTTCTCTGCCCAAGAATGTCCAGGGAAATATAGCATGAGAAGCATATGGCCTGATTCTAAGTTTGGGCACACTTGGGATGTGCCCTCCATCACACATACACACCCACCCTCCCCAGGCACAGCATTCGAGCCTCCCAGGACTCGTCTCTCTCCCTCCCTGGGCTGTTCACCACCTCAATCATTCCTCCTTGCTGCTATAGTTCCAGTACTACTGGGAAGGGGACTGTGGCTGAGACAGACAGGAATGTCGGTGGGGGCGCGGTGGCTTATGCCTGTAATCCCAGCACTTTGGGAGGCCGAGGTGGGCAGATCGCTTGAGGCCAGGAATGAGACCAGCCTGGCCAACGTGGTGAAACCACATCTCTACTAAAAATACAAAAACTAGCCAGGCATTGTATCGCACGCCTGTAATCCCAGCTACTTGGGAGGCTGAGGAACAAGAATAGCTTGAACCCAGGAGGTGGAAGTTGCAGTGAGCCGAGATCGCACCACTGCACTCCAGCCTGGGTAAAAGAGTGAGGTTCTGTGTCAAAAAAAAAAAAAAAAAAAAAAAAAAGACAGGAATGTTGAGGGTATAGAAGTGTTGGTGCATACTAGGTGGACTAAATTTTGGGCCCGGCCCCCAGCAGTGTGTCAGATGTTGAGAGACAATGCCCCCGCCCCATGCCCTACCCACACCCCACCTGGTGTTCAGATGGTCCTGGTACTGCTTCACCTCCCTGCTGCGTGGGTGGCCACTCTCTACCAAGCTGTTGGCAGCGAGGTTCACACCATCAATCTGAGTCATCAAGGTCTTCATCTCCTGGTCCAGGATGTCGAACCTGATATGGGCAAAGGAAAATATGAGGATGGGTGAGGCGGCAGCAGACATTTCCTTGCCAGTGGCACCCCCAGTCTCCAGAACATGTAGCTCTTGCTTTCTCCTTCCACTGCCTAAACCATTTGCCCAGGTGAGGCAGGAGGAAGAAAACAGATATGCTGGCCCTCCTTTCTGGTTCATGGGTTTGATTTCATGAGTTAGCATTGCCTGGAACAGGCCGGGAGAGAGCCAGTTACTTCCTACACGGGCTTCTGGCTCAAGAGAGACATATGAAGGGGAGGGAGGGCTGAAGAGAGGTTACTGTGTATTTGTGTGGGGGATGTCAATTGTCACAAGGGCCACCTTCCAGGCCTCTGCTTTTCCGGCTGTTGCTTTTGGACTCTGAGTCCAATGCCTTGACATCTTAACCCAAAAGATACCCTTTCCAGCCAGGTGCTCCATTCCTGGGTAAGATAAGGAAAAGCTGCTGGGGCGGTGGTCGGGGGGAATTTGTGGTTCTGAAGGCCGATCCTTCTAGGGTAAGAGCCCAGGACTCTCCAGCATCAGTGCAGCACCACCTTGGCACTGTTCCAGAGAGCGGCCTCTCCTTCTCCTGACTGCCTGAATTCTGTGCTTCAGCTGCTGAGATGCTGCACAGACTGGGGCATGCCTCATCATCTGGGGTGCTGACAAAATCAGAACACCAGGGGTGAGAGTGGCCTTGCAGACAGGGGGTTTGCAAATTCTCTCTGTGGCCCCTCAGAGTCTCCTGGCTTAAGGACTGCCACAGAAAGCTAGAGCTGGCAGGGTCCTGGCCTCTCAACCTCCTTCTCCAGAGTAGCTCCATTTTTCCTCTGTGTGACCTGGGGGTTCCATACACAATTCATCTGAGCAAAGACTGCTATTGCTGAAAAGTAATTGAATAACTGGACTAGATAAATTCCCTTTGTTTGAGGAACACAAGGCCCCAAAGGGTGAAGTACCCCAGGCCACAGAGCCAGAATAGAACTTATGACTCCTAATGCCAGGACTTTGCAACAAAGGACATCCCAGGGCCTCTCAAAGAGACCTTTGCTGATCCAGAGACTATTACCAAACTAGGTGGGAGATGGTGCCCAGGCCTGGGTACAGGGACGTGAGGAAAAGATGAGTTAACTCTGACCTGTGCTGCACGACCTCCAGGTCCTCCAGGGTGTCTGGCATTTCCATCTCGGCCAGCCACTTCTCCTTCTCTCCCATCCACAGCTCACAGGCGTCTGTCTCCCCGAACACCGTGTACAGGTCCAGGGCTTCCTGCAGCCTCTGCTGACGCAGGTCCGCCTGGGCCACCACCTGTTGGTAGAGCTCCCGCAGGGCCTGCAGCCGATGGGTCACATCTGGGGAATCCCGAAACTCTTCGGGGAATCCCTGGGCCTGCTGCTCCAGGTGCTCCATCACCCCACGGCTCTCCTCCAGCTCCTCCAGGAAGTCCTTGTGCTTTTTCCCCAGGGCCCGCGTGGCCCCTTCGTCCTGCCCCACATCTTCACCAGAGAGCAGCCGGTGGGCGTCTTGCAGCCAAGCCTTCAGGTCATCCGCATCGCCCTGGAACTGGAAAAAGTTCTCAGCATCCTGGAGGTTCTTCTTGCAGAAGGCAGCCAGGTCCTTCAGCTGGTCCCACTGTGCCGACACCTCCTTTATGCGGGCCTCGATCTGCGGGTGCCCAAACTGCTTGCGCGCAACCATGCCATGAGCCTCCTGGAAGATCTGCTCCAGGTGAGCATCCAGCCCACGGAGCTCATCCTCAAAGGCCTTGTGCTTGCGCTGTAAGATGAGCACACTGGTCAGGTCTTTGCCATAGTCCAGGGAAGAATAGATCTGCTCCTTCTCCTTGATCCAGCTCTCAGCCTCATCCATCTCCCAGAAGAACTTCCAGAGTCGTTTGGACTGCTCCAGTTGGGCCTTCCGCCCAGCTGCCATGTTGCTCAGCTCCTCAAAGCACTGCTCCAAGTGGCTGATGCGGTCCTGGATGACCTGGGGGTCACAAGGCTGGTACCCTGGAAGAAATAGGGGGAAGGAGGACAAAGTGGGGGATGGGCTTCATTTATGGGCACGCTTCAGATAAGCTGCTAGGTTGGAACTACACAACCCTGAAGCTGCCATGTCACTGGGGCTTTGGGGTTGGATGCAGGGGGGTCCCAGTTGCTCAGAGGGTGGACAGATTCTTTATAATTATTTCCCACTGAACTTCAGGGTTAAGGAAGATAAAAAGTGGGGTTAGTTCTTAATAGAAATGTACAACATAAAATTATTTTTAAATTAATTAAAAAAATTTCAAGGTCATTCTTGAAAGATGCAGTGAGGTCTCTTATTTAAAACAAGAATCTGGAAACCTAAATTGTCTCAGCCATAACTTGAACTAGCAAGGAGAATGAAGGACAGAGGGTGCCTCCTTGGTGATTATAGGTTACCGAAGCAGTTGCCTGCTCTCTAGAGAATTTGGCTGGTCCCTCAAGCTTCTTTCTTGGACCATTACTTGATGAAAGTAACAGAACTTTAAAGTTGGTTCCAGGAGATTTATCCAAGTTGGGTTGTTAGGCCAGAGGTGAGGCTCTGGCATTGGAAGCCTCAAAAGGGGAGACAGACTTGGTCTCACCTTTCCCCTCGGTGAACTTCAGGGTGGCTGCGGTGATGGCCTTCACTTTGTCCCCTTGGATGGCGATGTCAGCTTCCATCAACTTGTGCTTCTGTAGCAGGTCTTCAACCTCCAACAAGTGCTTCCCAAACTCGGCAGACAAGAGGTGAGCCTGGCAAAGAGAACAGCAGAAAGGAAATGAGGAGAAGTGAAGAGACCTACACATTAGGAGAAGAGACCCCTGCAAAGGGCATGTCTCTAGTAATCTGAGCAAGGGTGAGCCAAATGCAGCCAGAAAAGGGCTGCTGCTGAGGATGGAAGAAGCTCCAGAGGGAGAGTGCCTACTGGGGGTGCCCATCAGCATCATCCATAGAACATCTTACAGATGCTCAAGCCCCACACTCATCTACTGCATCGGTCTCAGGGTTGGGGCCTGGCCATGTGTATTTTCACAAAGCTCCAGGGGCAGTCTGATGTGTGTCCTCAGCTGAGACCCACTGCGGCAGAGAGAGAGGAGAGGTTGCCCTCATGCTGGGAGGTCTGGATTCTAACCAGAGTCAAATTGTAATTACTAAGAGCTTGATTCTCCAGGTTCCTGATTAATGTCTGTCTCTTCAAGGCCCTGAAGGTTGGCACCGGTGCTGCCACAAACCCAAGATTTCTCGGTCACCAGGGTACCATGGACCTGGGCTGGTATCACCTGCTGGAGCAGAGTGGACCAAGAGGCAGAGAGGCAGGTGCAGCTAGACACTTTGCTGCCTCAGTTTCTCTATTTTGACTCAGAGATATGACTGGCTGGGAGGTGTCTAAGGAAGCCTATGCTAACTGCAGGGCCACTGAGACCCAAGGTGAGCACTGCAGGGCATGGCGGGGGCGGCCCCCAGGGCCCACCTTGATCTCATCCATCCAGTCGATGCTGTGCAGCATGTCCTGGAAGAGCTTCTGCAGTGCCAGGGTGGTCTCGAGCCTCTGGCGCCGGGACTGCAGCAGCTCCTGCAGGTAGCTCCATAGGCGCAGTATATTGTCCTTGCGGGCCGTGATGCGCTTCTGGTCATGGTAGTTCTCTTTCTCCAGCTCCTGAGCCAGGTCCTCCAGGGCTCTCACCCGCTCCTCGTAGGCAGCCGTGTCGGTCTCGATGGCCTCATGCTTCTTCTTGGCGGCCTCCACAGCTGCCAGGTCATACCCAAAGTTATCCTGCCCCACCGGGAGAAAAACAGGCAGCTCAGTCAGACACCCAGGGGCTCATCCCCAAACTCAGGGACAGGGCAGCTCCCTTCAGAACCAGTGCTAGATGGGAAAGCACATTCCCAAGAAGCAGCTAGTTCTGCCTTACTTTTGCAGCCTGTCTTATCAGACCCAAGTTCCAAAAATTAATGTCTCACAAGAGACTCTAAGAGAAGTTCATGATTTTACTCCCCGTGCCACCCGCGTGGGAGATGCAGCCTGCGTGTTACTAATGGAGCCCCTTGGCAGCCTGCTGGCACTCCCCACATGCCTCGAGTGGACCTGTTGGATTTGGGGCAGGAAGGGGCTGCTTCTCACTCGGAAACCCATGCACCAGCAAACAGATGGTTTATTCACATGCTATCTGGGGTGCGCATACACTCTCCAGTGCTCTCAGAATACTTGTTGCCCCCTTTCTGGACAGAATCTAATTTGATTCCAAGCTTTAAGTGAGAGGGAACAGATGCTCTGATGAAGAATCAGCCCTGGGGTCAATTCTTAGCTAGAATTATGTCACAGCACCAGAGACCAGAGTCCAAAAGGCATGCCTGACACAGACAAGGTGCAGTCTGTGATTTTACCATATCCCCCAAGAACCACAATTTAACATCAACTGAAACCCCAGCTGTAGTTGACACTACAGGCCCACATAAGACAACTTCAGCGGCCAGTTCTAGACTCCAAGGCTCTTTCCTAAAAATGAGATTTAATAAATCCTGGAGAGCTCCTCCCCAGATGCAAATCTTGATCCACTGGATCACGGGGGAGCTGTGCTGCAAGGCACGAGGAGAGGCTGTGAGAAGCCAGCTTGGACTCCAGCCCAGCCAAGAGCTGGGGGCTCTGAAGAATGTCCCCTCTCCTGTCACCCAAAGCATGTCCCTCATTACCTGGGCCACGAGGCGCTGGTTTTCACTGAGCCAGGTCTCTCTCATTGCGGCCTTCCGGTCAAAGCGCCGGGCCAGTTGCTCTAGCTTCTCCTGCCGAATGAGCTCATTTCTCAGGGCCAGCTCCCGCCGATACTCAGCTTCCTCCAGGCTTTCCCAGGCCTGCACAAAGGATGGAATGAGAATTCTTGGGGCACAGGAGAAATGCCTCACTTTGGGGGCTCCACCCCTTTCACCCAACACTGAGTGATTTCTGGAATCAAGGTACAGCCTGATGCTCTTGGGTGACGTGGTAGCAGATTAAAGATCAATAAAAGCCTTTGGCTTTCATGTCTGGGCCCATCAAAGATTCAGAGGGCACTGCTCATGAGTCTCACTTCCCTCTTCCCCTAAACCTGCCTCAGACTCTTGGCCCAAAATAATGTTTTTCACCTCTCTGGATGCTCAGTAAGTTCTTATTGACTAATGGCTACCTCCGTTCAATATGAACTGCCAGGTGGTGGTAAGCCTCCAAGCCTCTGAAATGTCATAGGCATTTCCCTTTGGTTATAAGTAGTTAATATTCCATCTTCAAAGACAAACTCAAGGTTCTACAGAGGATAGGCTACAAAACTGGCTCCAAAAAAATGGACTCGGAGGCTGGGTGTGATGGCTCACACGTGTAATCTCAGCACTTTGGGAGGCCAAGGTGGGAGGATTGTTTGAGCCCAGTACAAAACCAGCCTAGGCAACATTGCCAGACTCTGTCTCTATAAAAAATGTAACATTTAGCCAGGTGTGGTGGTGCATGCCTGTAGTCCCAGCTACTGAGACTGAGGTGGGAGGATCACTTGAGCCCAGGAGGACGAGGCTGCAGTGAGCTGTGATTGTGCCAATGCACTACCACCTGGGTGACAGAGTGAGACCCTGTCTCCAAAAAAAAAAAAAAAAAAAAAAAAAAAAAAAAAAAGGACTCAGGGATGCAGGGCATCTGAACAGGGGGATTGAAGGAGGGTGGGGGAGTAGAGTCTGACCCCTCAGAACCAGGTTCGATAACTCCCCCAAATAGTCAACATGTGGATTAATAACATCAAAGAAAGTGGCTTGGTTTAATCTGGTCCAATGACCATTCACTGTGTCCTTATCGGGAATTCAATCAATCTACTGTCAATGCATAACGGAAAATGCTGTGGTACCCTGTTGATGTCAGACACTAGTTTCCCATCGTGGGGTGTGTACACTTTCTGATTGTTGGCTCTCATCCGGGACTGGATGGTAAAAAGTAGAACTTCCAGATTCCCCTTCTCTTGAAACCTGTCAAGAAAACAGAAGTAGGAAGACTGATGTTAAGATCTCATGGCCAAATTTTTTTGCTAAAGTCAACACGGAACTGTGGCATCTTGAAGCGTAGATAGCAAAGCATATTTCCCTTAAAAACACAGAAAAACTAAAGAGAATCTGTAGGTCTGCTTACCTGTTAAAACATCTATCCTTTTCACCAACTGAGATCTATTAGGGGTTTGGGTCTTTACAATATAAACCAGAGAAAACACAATGGCCACCACAGCATTTATCATTTGCCTCTACATGGGAAGCTGAGGTATTCTGGTAATTCCTGTAAATATCAAGTTGTACGGATCAATACAAAAAAAATTTTAAAAAACCTTCTCTGTGCTGCAAGTGATGAGGGCTTCTTACTAGCTCTCTGGTCAGTTCCTTATTAAGTGAGTCAATAAAACCCCAGAAGCAGCATATTCCGTGGGAGAGCATCCTGCACTGAAAACAGCTTTCACCCAGGTCCTAATGAGCCAGATCTCCTGACAAGTCCTACAGGCCAGATGCTTCCCAGAAGGCAGGAAAGGCTGGGCTCTGAGAGGCTTGTAGGTGTAGGAGACAAGAATTGTCAGCAGGATCGGTGTCTAGCATATGGGGTACAGGCTCCAGGTATCAGGTACTTCCACATTTCTGCATGTACCTAAGTGTCCACCCATTTCTGCATCCTTGACCTGGCAGTCAAGGATCAGCTATATGCAAGGTCCCCACCCTGAGCCCAGCCTAATGGATCTCAGTGCTCACAGGCACTTAAGAGAACTGTGACCGTGAAGCACTGTCTACACAGCCAAGAGATAACACCTCTGTGTGCAGTGACTGGTAGACTCATAGAGGATGCTAACTGTATTGGATTTAGGGCTTCAGAAATGGGTTACTGTCAGACTAGAAACCAGATACTTGTTTATAGTATATCCTAGACTCAGCATTTCACCTTTCCCCATTTGAAAGTCATGAATGCAGAGTGTGGGAGATGGGGGGAAGAGCAGAGCAGAAGGTACCATCAATGAGCTAGAAGCCTATTTCAGAGGATCTGGACAAGCTAATGGCAGATAAGCTGGAATGCCCCGTGTGTATGTGTGTATGTGTGCATGTTTGTGTGTGCATGTGCACATGCATGGTTGTATATATGTATGTGCATTTGTACATGTGGTTGTATGTGCATATATATGTGCATGGGTGCATAGTTATGTGTGCACACATAAATGCATGTATAGTTAGGTGTATGTGTATGAGTGCACGGTTGTGTGTGTATGTTTGTGTGTGCATGCATGTTCATGGGTGCACAGTTGTGTGTATGCATGGTTATGTGTATGCAGGTATGCATGTGTGTGCACGGTTGTTTGCATGCACATGTGTGTAAGCATATGCACACAGGCTCTGCACACACTAGGGTGGGGCAGAGGTCCTGAGAAGCAGGCTAAGTGGTCTGTTGCTGAGCAGTGACAGATGGGAGAGAAAAAGAAGGATGAACTTGACAATCCATAAGGCCCCATGCAGAGAGCTCAGGGGCTGAGAGCACAGAGGTCATCAGAAAACAAGCCCACAGCTCAGTGGCAGACCAGAGAGGAGCTTTCCAGCCTGGGTTCTTCAAAGAGACTCAGAAGCCTATGATTTCCCTCCTGTTCCTCCTCAGGGATATCTGGGAGAAGCCACTGTCTTTGGTCGTGAGTCGAGGTTTCTCATCAATGCTGGTTTCTCTAAGCTGATGGCTTGGGAGAAGAGTGGTGAAGAGGGGCACAAGGCAGGTGACACACATACAGCTCTCTAATCTTGAGGGTGTGCCTTGTGGACACACTTCATAAGGCCCAGAACCTGGCTCTACCTTTTGGTGGTCAGTTTCCCAGCCACTGAGGACCACCCTCCCATGTGCCAGGGCCCTTACTTGGGCGGCTTCTCCACGGTGCGGTAGGTGCTGAAGGCCTGCAGCTGCTGCTGGACGCCCGTCAGCGAGTTGGCAAACTTGCGGCTGTTCAGGACAGTGATGGTCTGCTCGATCCAGGTGAGCAGGTCCGAGGCTAGCCCGCTGTACTTTTCAATCATCTTCTCAGTCTCAATGGCATGGTCAATAACCTAAGGAATCATCTTCTTACTTATTCTCATCAGAAGGGCAATGCCACCACTGAGGATATCAATGAGGACCACAATCAAGGTGCCACGAAATGGGGCTCCCACCTCCTAAGCCCTGGAGTGCTCTAGGCTGGGTTTGTTCCCTGAGCCCAAGTGTGCTGGTAGGGCAGAAGGAGTAGACTGGAATTGGGTGAGGCCCTCCTCTTGCCAATCGGCAGCGAGCTGGCCTGTTAAGGGTTGGGTGCAGTTCCCCTCCCCAGTGCTAGAGAAGATTGGTAAGCTTGCTGTGCCAGGATGCCAGCCACTAGGGGGCCAGGGTTTTGTTTATTTTTAAATGTTCATGAGGAGTCAAAGGCTGCCAGCCATTGTCTTTACTAAACATGAGGCACAGAGATGAATGAGAAATGGTACCTATACTCTAAGAGCTAAGGATCTAGCAGAGGGAAGGAATCTGGCATGAGGGTCTATACCAATGGGTGAGTTTCTGGTACACTGTGGGTGCCTAAGAGGTCTGCAATCACAATAAACAAACCACATAAAAGCCTGGAGGGTTCCTGTGGGGATGTCCATGAGACATGGGTCTCAGGTGGACCAGGTGTTCGCCAGGTACAGAGCAGCCAGCTGTGGTACCTTTCAGGACAGACCATCAACCTGCTTTGGAATTCAGCTCAGGAGCCATCAATGTTGCCAAGGTCAGCTTTAGAGGAAGTTGGGGGGTGGGTGAGCTGTACTCTTCACCCTTTCTTTGGTTGGAAAGAGGGCCACTCTGTCTGGACCTGACAAACAGGGGAAGAGTGACACTTTGGTTCCAAAACAGCTTGTACCTTGCCGACACGCTTGCCCTCCACTGCCAGCACCTTCATCTTGGAGAAGTAGTGGTAAAAGGCCACCACATAGGTGATGATGGATTTCTCATCAGGGTTTTCCGTAAAGACATCTGTTAGGGAAAAGGGTGTACTCTCAGGACCAAACTGGAAGTCGGGAAAGTCAGGCTCAGAGGGTTTATTCCCCATTCCTCCAGCATCAAGTTCAACTACAGGCAGCAAGTGACAACCAACAGAGCAAGAATGGAAGAGTGTGATGAAATCCATTTTAGAACCACACATTACAAAAGAAGAAAAGAAGAAGGATCCAAAGTCCATCTCCAAACAGACCAGGCAGGCATGGGAACCAGCATGGAGCAGAGAAGCAGGCCCAGATCAGAGCCTGGCCTGGCCACTGCCCCTCACTGTGCCCACAGCTTGCCCAGCACCTGGGCCGGCCTCCAGAAGTCCTGGCGGCTGAGCTCCTCTAGCACAGCGAGTGCATCCCCCACTGCTGCAGCAAAGGCTGGCAGGGGTGGGTGTGGCTCACCTTCGGGGTCGAGGAGCGGGATGATGCCCAGCTGGCGCTCAGCCACATTGAATGCGTGCTCCAGGTTGTGCCGGGCATTGGAGTCCTTCAGCTTATCAAAGTCGATCAGGTCGGGCCTGGGGACAAAACTGGACTGTGAAAAGGGAGTAGCCACAGCATCCCCACCAGGAGGGCAGCCCTAGCATGAAGCAGACATTGTACAGAGGCAGGGAGGTGGTCAGGCAGGAGGAGTGAAAGGAGGAGATGGGAGCAGAGGAGAGGGGGCAGGTGTGAGCCTTGGCATATGAGGGAAGTGGGCGGCAGGCATGCTGGGATTTAAGGAAAGTGAAGGTGCTATGGGCTGCTGAAGGGGAGAGGAGAAGGAACAGCAGAGGTCACATTTCTGTGACTCCATGTTAAGTGCAATGTGTCCAAATATTCCCAGGGAGGCTGTCTCAGTCAGTCCCCACGGCTGTCCCCTCCCTCTTACCGGTGCTTGTGTATCAGGGCATTAAAGGCCAAGCCATCCTTCCAGCTGGAGGTAAAGTTGGTGACATTAACATGAGGGTAGCTGCATCCAAGAGAAACAGTAAGAGCTAAGAATTAGATTTTTTGTAGTCCCAAACAAGTGTACAAATTGAGGGCCAATATACCAGGAGAGAAATGGAACTGTCCTTTCTTGAGCCAGGTCACCAAGAGGGGGCAGCAGCTAACCACACACAGAGGCTCCCCCATCAGATGTGAACACCACACAGACCCCCCAGTCTGCCTGCAGGCAACTTTGGAAAAGAATCCTGTATTCCAGGCCTCAAAGAATCAGGTCAGGACAGACTTTGCATCAATTACAGGGAGGCAGCTGTAGTTCTGGGTGATGATGTCTAATGTCCCTCTGGAGATGGCAGTGCTTGTGCGGAGCAAGGGGCTGGTGGTGGATGTGCTAACAGCTGGTTCCCAGGGCATACCCTGCCGTCTTCATCTGACACCACAACAGCAACGCATCCTTGGCTGAGCGTGTTTCACGACCTTCCTGAGTTTGGACCACAATGTCCTGAATCTGAGGGTAGCAGAACAAGAGAGATTTGAAGAGGATGTGCATCTGGATCTGTGCTTTCCTGCCGTCCCTGGGAGGCTCCCTCCCTCATCCCCCCTTCACTTAACACTAATTCATCCTTTAAGAGCCAGTATAAATGGCGCTTGGGTTGGGTCTCCCTTCATGTGCCCTGCTCCCTGCATTTACATTTCCTTCTCTCTCCTAGATGCTCCCTGAGCCCAGGGAAATCTGTCTTGGTCACTTGTCTGTCTCCAGGGCCTGGAGCCTGGTGCACCATCAGTACTCCATAGCTGTATTGTGGCTGTCTGTACAAACATTGATTCTGTTCCTATTATGTGGCAGCGCTGTGCTAGGCCTGAGGACACACAGAGGTAAAACAAATTTCTTGCCCTCAAGGAGTAGCCGCCAGCCCCGCAGCAACACCACATCCTGAGGCCCTGTGCCCCAGCAGCCTGCTTCCCTGCCTCAGTCAGCCAAAATGGCACAGGGATGAGACAGCTGTAATTGGATAACTCTAATAGAATGCAGAGAATCAGTGACAAGATGCCCTGATTCCTCCTCTGGAGGTGCAATGCCCCTTGAGGCTGTGGAACAACATGAATGCTGATGAGTACTATACTTTCATTAGCAGCTCCTCTTGCCTTTCCATTCTCCCCAACTCTGCTGCTATTGTTGTTCAATGTTATGCACCCATGGAGAGTGAGATCGGACATGCGGGGCCACTTGGTTGAGGTCTTTAGTCCGCGAGTTGTATGCTCTCTTCTTTCTCCTGCCCTCACCTCCTTGGGCAAGGTTCTTTCTGTCCCCAAACCAGCAGGTGCAAGACCCTGTTTTCCTCCCCTTCCCCTTTCTAAATTTCCTTACAAATAATCTGGACTTTGAATTTCAGGGTGAGAAGAGAAAAGTTTCTGATTGGAAAATATACACACAGATCTTCTACACAATTTTTGCAATTTTCTGTATCTATTTCAAAAACCAAGAAGTTACATGTATAGGGGGAGGAGGCTAAAAAGCTAATCTTCCAGCCAGATATCAACCCAGCTACCAATTAATTTCTATCTTCTCCCTGAAAAGACCATACTACTGAGTGAGCAGCTCCCCCTGAGCTTCAGTGACTTGGGGTGATACAGAAGATGGTTACTCCTTCCTACAAGCACTGTCCCATGTGGCAGATTTACAGCCTTCCCAGAATGTGCACTAACACCCACACTCTGTTCAGCATTTTATAAGATTCTAAGGCCCTGGGCAGCCTTGAGGGCTCCCTCGACTTCCTCTACCCCCCAGGAACCCACCTGGAAGCGGAGGATGATGGTCCAGATGAGGCCCAGGACCAGGCGGTGGTTGCCATCTACAATGTCGTGGGAGCCCATGTTCTCCAGGTGTACACGCTGCTCCTTGAGGAACTGGAGAGCCTTGTCCACATTCTCCAGGCAGTGGATGCGCATCTTCCCCTTGGTGGGCTTTGGCTGGGGGACAGCAGTGGCCCCCGTGGGCATGGAGGGACTGCACAGTCATCCCAGAGGCTGCAGCGTGGACCAGCTCCTGTCATAAGCACCCACCCTCCACCCTCTTGGCCAAACACCAAGTCCCATGGTCATTCATTGACACTATTCAATGCTTTCCTTTTAGCAAAGCTCAGAGGTTCCCTCCAACAAGCACCCAGAGATCGGTAACCAGGCTGCATCGGTGCCCTTCTGGGGCTGAACAAAGCCCTCTGAGTGGGCAATAAACGGCATTTGCTTACGGTAACATAACATATGGTTAATTGATCCCTTACCATGTGCCAGGCACAGTTCTAAGAACTGTTTACTGCCAGCCAGTGTTAAGAGTAATTTTTAGCTTGGTGATTGATAATGGGTTCATCCCTGCCAATCAACCTTCTCCTCTCCCCCAGTGATAACTGCATCATCTGATGGGTTCCCCATGGGTAACTCTCTCTAGTGGAATTTCAATGCAGGGTGAGAGGCAGAACTTCAGCATGGAGTTGAAAAGGCAATATTTCATTCAAGCCTTTTCATTCAAACTCTGAGGATCTCAGAATAACTTCATCAGGTACAGGTATCATTGCCCTCATTTTACACATGGGGGAAATGGAGGAAAAGAGGGTCCTGCCTGATAGGCCCAAGGACACAAAGCTTACTCTGGGCTGAGCAAAACATAAACCTTCATCTACTTCTTCTTTGGGGTCAACAGTATTGCCGGTGGGTTACAACTGAGACAGCCTCTAATAAATTTCCACTTGCAAGGGTGGTAAAACACACAGTAAAATGGCTTCCACACTTTCCTCTTGGTTCCAAGAGGGATGCATCTTAGCCCGATGGGGAGATGAGGGCCAGGCCATCACAGGCCAGCTACAGATGCCCAGAGCCCAAAGTCAGGAGCTCTGCATGGCTTCTGGGAGAAGCATGAAGGGGTGGGAGTGGTCAGAGGAGGCAAGAAGTTCTGGGAGGAATTCAGAGAGACCAGTCAGCCACACGGATGCTTCCCATTCTAAGTATTAGAGCCTCCCAAAGGAGCAGAGAGAAAACTGGGAAGGCCAGGAGAACTTGAGATGCCCCCAAACCATGCCTTTGCTGAAGAGGGGCCGATGGCAGCAGCCCCGGGGCCCACAGAAGGGACTTTACCAGCATCTCTCCAGAGAGCACCTCCAGCAGCTTGATGAGCATGCGCCCATCCCGCAGGTCCTTGTAGAGATCGGTGATGCGGCAGGACACTCGAGCCAGGTGCGAGTTCACCCATTTCGTGAAGGTCTTTTTCTGAACAACTTCCCGCTCATCTAGGTGGAGAGAAGAACCTTGGTGAGGTGCCTGAGGTTGGCAGGGTCAGTGTGACATGGGGCCAAGGGGTTTTACCTTAAGCCCAGGGTACCCCCATGCTTGGCAGAGGAAGTCGATGTATTCATTCCACTCCCTTCCTTGGAGCATTTGCCATCAAGGTGTAGCAATACCGGTCCACATGCCACCAGAACAGAGGCAATAAGGAGATCACTCGCACTGCCACCATATTCTATGCACAGTATCAGGACACCTCTAATTCAGCATCTGTTTCCCTGTATCAGTCAGACTACTCTGTACTGTTGTGCCATTGAATTCAGATTTCAGTGCCAGGCTTACCCATCAACCCATCAAATATTCGCTCTGCCTAGAATGCTGTCTCTCAACCCCTCCACTCTACCCCACCTCCTTCACTTAACACTAATTCATCCTTTAAGAGCCAGTATAAATGGCGCTTGGGTTGGGTCTCCCTTCATGTGCCCTGCTCCCTGCATTTACGTTTCCTTCTCTCTCCTAGATGCTCCCTGAGCCCAGGGAAATCTGTCTTGGTCACTTCTCTGTCTCCAGGGCCTGGAGCCTGGTGCACCATCAGTACTCCATAGCTGTATTGTGGCTGTCTGTACAAACATTGATTCTGTTCCTATTATGTGGCAGCGCTGTGCTAGGCCTGAGGACACACAGAGGTAAAACAAATTTCCTGCCCTCAAGGAGTTCCTGATAGGGGGAGGAAAATGATGAGCAAGGGAACAGGATATGTAGAATGTATGACTCATGTGGGGGTAAGGATAATGAAGGTTTGGGCTGAGGGCTGTCTGCGGCTTTACGCTATCTTTCTCAGCCCTGGGAAGGTGACATGACACCCCTATCCTAAATCAGCATCAGCCCAGTCCAAGCCCCTGGCCCATGCTGTACCAGTTCAGGTGGGGTACTTCTTACTGCCTCTGTACAAATAATGCTGGTGGTCTGTCCAAGTTAGGCACCAGCATTACCTGGGGAAGCTCAGACAAGATGCTGGAGAGAGGACAGAAGACTGGGATGGCACAAAAAAAAGAGAGAGAAAAGGATAGAGGAGGGGAGAAGGAGAAAAAAAGAAAAGTAGCAGAAAAGAAGAAAAACAAATAAGATAGAATTGAAGGTGAGAAGAGAGGAGTGAGCCCTCTCTGGATTTATGAACAGTTTGGTGGCAATTAGCTTCTGGGCACTTAGGTTTGAAGATTCAGGGAAGGAGGTGACTTGGCAGTGAGGCTGGGCCTGAGGGTTGTGGAGGATCCCTGGGGAGGGTACATGGCAGTGGAGGGGGAGATCACAGCCAGGACATACCTGGAGTGGCCTAGCCAGGAGCGGGGTCTGCCCGGTCGGAGCAGGCTGTGTGCTCGACTGAGCCTCAACCGTGAAAGGGCTGGCTTTTTAAATTATTAAATATCTTGATTCAACAATAACAAAAAGAGGAGCTTAGCCAGTTCTGCCTCAAGGGTAGAATCCTGGCAGTTCCTGAGGCTTGCTGCATCAGATGCCTTCCGGCTTCATGGCTATTTTGGTATTAGGAACTCAGACCCTTGATTCTTCTGTGCACTCATTGAGCAAATATTTACCGTACAACCGTCAGGTGCCAGGCCCTGGGTGGTGGTGGGGAACTCAAGGACAAGACTGATGGTCCCTATCCTTGAGGCAGACAGACTCTATTATAAATATGACGAGGGCTTGAGTCATACATGAAGAATGAAGAATTCTACAGCAGCCATCTAAATAAGACTTCCAAGAAGAGGAAAAGTACTACTACTGACTGTGAATCCTAAATACATGTAAAATTTAAACGGCATTCATTTATTCTGGGCCTCTGTGCAAAGTTTCAGCGAGAAAACTCCCCTTACCCTTTTGTCAACAGCAAATTAAACCACTTTCCTGATTTCAAATGCTGCTTCAGCGAAATGTAACTAAAGGGAGTTTGATGCCATACTGGACGGAAAGCAATTGCACTTATTTTGGGGCATTTTTAGATTCAACAGAGCCAGCCACAGTCCCACAGTTTTTTCCCTAGAAACCAGATCTATTCTTTAAGTAGCTAACCCTTCAGGTCAGGTGTGGAGCCTCTGACTAAGGGGGGTGAAAGTTTTAGCCCCTTTAGAGGTAGGTGTCCCCCAAAGTGAAAGTATTTCTTCCTCCTTTTCCTGTCTTTAAGAATGCAAACATTTCATTACGTGGGTGCTGAGAACTATTTATCTGTGCTTGGCAAAGGGTAAGGGAGTGATTCTAGCTGGGAACATGGATTAATTCTAGGCCACTGGGCTGGTGCATTTATTGGTGCAGAAATATCAGAAAGCACCCTTAGATCTCCCCAGTTTTTACCACATGAATGATGCCCCCTGGACCCTCAAACGTGGGAGCCACAGGTTTTGAGCACAGGCAGGTGGCCTCCTAGCTGCCTTTTATTTGAAGGCTGGAGTGAAATCACCCAGAATCCCCAGAGCCCCAAAACGCTTTGCAATGTTGAGACACAGAAAGATTTCGAGAGGCTAATGATGATTGGAAGGGGAGAAAAGGCCCCAAGGTGAGAGGCATTTCCATGAGCTGGCTGGCTCCAGCCGCCTGGCATTGGCATGCTCAGCACATTCACTCCCGCACAGCCCAGATGCTCATCCCAAGCCTTCCAAGGGCAGGAGAGGCGGTGGCCTGGAGCCAGCTAGGCTGGGAACCCTGGTAGTGTGGACAGGAAGAGAGGTGGCTGTACACTGGGCCTGCTGTCCCCAGGGGACCCAGGCCATCCTACTGGGACCCACCATGGGAAGGAGGCCTCAGCACAGCCCTGCCAGGAGCCAGGCCTTATTTCCAGAGCCCTAACCCTGCCAGTGCAGGAAGGGGGTGAGTCCACCAGCATGGACTGGCTGACAGCCTCTGCTGCCATCAAACCCCGGCATCTCATTCCTCTCTGTTCCTCTTTTCTTTTCAACGGAGTCTCGCTCTGTTGCCAGGCTGGAGTGCAGCGGCGCAATCTTGGCTCACTGCAACCTCCGCCTTCTGGGTTCAAGCAATTCTCTTGCCTCAGCCTCCTGAGTAGCTGGGACTACAGGTGTGTGCCACCACGCCTGGATATTTTTTGTATTTTTTAGTACAGACGGGGTTTCACCATGTTGGTCAGGATGGTCTTGATCTCTTGACCTCATGATCCACCTGTCTTGACCTCTCAAAGTGCTGGGATTATAGGCATGAGCCACCGTGCATGGCCCTCTCTGTTCCTTTCTTTCCCTTTCCTTCCCGGGTTGTGGCCATCCTCATTCCCTGCTATGTGTTAGGTCTTTGCCTAGAAAACTCATCTTCCTCCCTGATCAGCTCTGACCCAGAATTATTGTCTGAATATTGGGACTGGGTGACCTGAAACCCTTCAAAGGTTTAGTTTCAGGTCAAATACACCCATGACACTAAAACCCTCAAATATATCCAGTAATAAGTGAGTTTGTACATGGAACGGGCTGGCACAGAGAAAGCTTGCCATCATGTGAACTCTCATTGTTATCGTCATTACTACTGCTGCTATTACTAGTGGGCCCTGTCCTAGGTGCTGCAGGGGCGTTGGGCAGCTCACTCTCCCCAAGGCCTTAAGATACAGTTAAGGAAACAATACTCAAACCCACCAATTAACTTTTGCAAGCACATAATAAATAAGTGGCAGTTCACTTTAATAACACAAAAGCCATCACAGGGTAATACTGAATTCCATATCAGGTACATGACACATATGGTCAATGCTCGAGGGTTCCAGGAAGAGAGAGGTCATTTCCAATTGGAGTGGTTGAGGGGGCACCTGGTGAAGAAAGCCGCTTTGGATTGTGAAGGGGAGGGGAGCCAGGGAGACAGAATGAGTCCAAGCAGACAGGCATAAAAGGCCAAAGCTAGGCCGGGCATGGTGGCTCACGCCTGTAATCCCAGCACTTTGGGAAGCTGAGGCAGGTGGATTACCTGAGCTCAGAAGTTTGAGACCAGCTTGGCCAACATGGTGAAACCTCATCTCTATTAAAAATACAAAAAATTAGCCAGGCATGGTGGCAAGAACCTGTAATCCCAGCTATTCAGGAGGCTGAGGCAGGAGAATTGTTTGAACTCAGGAGGCAGAGGTTGCAGTGAGCCGAGATCCCACCATTGTACTCCAGCCTGGGCAACAACAGCGAAACTTTGTATCAAAAAAAAAAAAAAAAAAAAAGGCCAAAGCTTATTCAGGGGCTAGGGAATAGCTACAGGTTAGAGAAAAGCAGGTTTTTGGTTTATTTATTTGTTTATTTTGAGATGGAGTCTCGCTCTGTTGCCTAGGCTGGAGTGCAGTGGTGTGATCTCGGCTCACTGCAACCTCCGCCTCCCGAGTTCAAGCGATTCTCTTGCCTCAGCCTCCCAAGTAGCTGGGACTACAGGCGTGCACCACCATACCCAGCTAATTTTTTATATTTTTATTAGAGATGGGGTTTCGCCATATTGGCCAGGCTGGTCTTGAACTCCTGACCTCGTGATCCACCCACCTTGGCCTCCCAAAGTGCTAGGATTACAGGGGAAAGCAGGTTTTAAACAGGATGTGGAAAGCTTTGAATGAGAGGCTAAGAAGTTTAGATTTAATCCTAGAGGCAAAAGGAAGCACTGAAGGTGTGGCAGGGTCATTTCCTGAAATATGAATTTGTAAGGCCCCCAATGTTAATAAAGACACAAAATGTTTCAGATTACATCTCAAAGGAAGTATGCAAAATGCATACGAAGAAAACCTTAAAAGGCTCCTGAGGCAGGCACAAGAAAATCTGGACAAATGGAAAGGCATGCTGAGGTCTTGAATAAAAAACTCAACATCATCAAGATATCAATTTACCCTAAATCAATATATATTTAATAGTGTTTTAAATATATTTAAATTATACAATTTGAATTTGTGGGAAAAAAGACAAATGATTAAAAACTTCATTGAAAAAACATGCAACCACAAATAGGAATATTCCAAAAAATAAGAGTAATAAAGGGCTACCAACCTTTCCAGATGTTTTGTCTATCAAAGAATAGTGTAAACTTATAGTAAAACTGTGTTGTACTAGCATATGAAAAGATGGATATACCAATGGGACAGAAATAGTCCCAGTACATACAGGCATTTAATGGCTGATACAGGTGGCATTTCTAATAGGAAGGGGAAAGATGAATTACTCAATAAGGAGTATTGGCAAAACTGGATGGCCAAGCAGGAAAAGTTAGTTACATTCATACCTCATACTCCAGGATAAATTTCATGTGGGTCAAAAATTGAAATGTAAAAAATGAAACTATAAAAATACCAAAATCAGGCTGGGCGTGGTGGCTCACGCCTGTAATTCCAGCACTTTTGGGATGCTAAAGCAGGTGGATCACTTTGGGTCAGGAGTTCGAGATCAGCCTGGCCAATATGATGAAACGCCGTCTCTACTAAAAATATAAAAATTAGCCGGGCATGGTGTTGCGCGCCTGTAATCCCAGCTACTCAAGAGACTGAGGCATGAGAATCGCTTGAACTTGGGAGTTGAAGGTTGCAGTGAGCCGAGATCCCACCACTGTGCTCCAGCCTGGGTGACAGAATGAGACCCTGTCTCAAAACAACAATAACAACAACAACAACAAATCAATCATGGTAAATGCTTTCTACAATGTTAGTGTAGGGAAGGGCTTTCAAAATATGACACAAAATCCAAAAGCTATAAAATAAAAAATTGAAAGTTCAACTACATTAAAATAATGTTTGTGTTGGACCAGGCATTGTGGCTCACACCTATAATCCCAGAGCTTTGGGAGGCCAAGGTAGGAGGATCACTTGAGGCCAGGAGTTTGAGACTAGCCTGGCAATATAACAAGGTTGCATCTCTACAAAAAAATTTAAAAATTAGAGGGGTGTGGTGGCATGCACCTGTAATCCTAGCTATTCAGGAGGCTGAGGTAGGAGGATCACTTGAGCTCAGTTTGAGGCTGTCGTGAGCTATGATTGTGCCACCGCACTCCAGCCTGGGTGAAAGATTGAGACCCACCTCGAAAAAAAAAAGTTTATATTGGATAAAACACCATAAGCAAAGTCAAACAAATGAGCAAAAATATATCTAACATACATTATAAAGGGCTAATTTACTTAATATACAAAAAGCACCTACATATTAACAAGGAAAAAGACCAGTAATGTGAACAAAGAGTTAACAGAAAAAATTATAAGCATCTCTTAAATGTATAAAAAATTGTACAAGTCACTCATAATAGAAGTCCAAATTAAAAGCCCACGTGCATGCACACACGCACATGCAAACACACAATCTAATAATGGTCCTTAATTTGTTTGAACAAACTAATCATAAAGACATTTTTAAGACAACTTGGAAAATCTGAATATCAAGTGTATATTAGGTTATATTTTTAGGGAATTACTGTTAATTTTATTAGGTGTAATAATGGTATCATGGTTAGGTGGAAAATGTTCATGTTTTTCAGAGATACATACTAGAGTAATTAGGGGGAAAGTATGATGATCTTTAATTTACTTTAACAATGCTTCAACCCCCAACATAGATCAGCAAATATAACAAAATATCAACAATTGTTAAATTTAGGTGATAATGTAATGACCCTATTATACTTTTGTCTCTACTTTTTTACCAGTTTGTAATTTTCCATAATAAAAGCCAAAAAGTAAAATGAAAGTACACAAACATACTATGTTTCACTTATCAGTTGGGCAAAGATCAAGAAGTCTGATAAAATGCTTGTGTTGGCAAGGATGTGGGGAAAAAACATTCATGTATTGCTGGAAAGGGTATAACTGGCTCAACCTCTACGAAAGGCAATTTGGCAAGACCCATCAGAATTACAAATGCACATGCTTTTGGACCCAGTAATTCCACTTCTAGGAATTTATCCTACAGATCTATTCATACACTGGTAAAAAAAAATCATTGCATTTTTAAATTTTAAAATCTTTTGATTATTTTTTAATTAAAAAAAATTTGAGTAGCTGGGATTACAGGCATGTGCCAACACACCCAGCTAATTTTTGTATTTTTAGTAGAGACAGTGTTTCACAATGTTGGCCAGGCTGGTCTCAAACTCCTCACCTCAGGTGATCTGCCTGCCTCGGCCTCCCAAGGTGCTGGGATTACAGGCGTGAGCCAACGCGCCCAGCCTAAAGAAAATATTAACATGTTTTTATTTTCTTCCTTTTTCCAAGATAGCCTAATTCCTTTCATGTGCTTTCCTGCCTTAGGGATTTTTCACCAGGCCAAAATCATAAGCATCTTTAACCACCTGAGCCCATAAGAGAAGTGAAAAGGAGAGAGCAAGGCTGATGGCAGGAGCATTGGCCCCTGGATGCAAAAGGGGAGTGAGGTCTGTAAGGAGCAAGGAACGCTCTACCTCCTCGACACCCACACAGCTACTTCTGAGGTTCTGCCCTCTGAATACTCCCTATGGGGGTTTAAAGCATAAATGCCTCCCCACAGGGTCACGGCGCAGTCTCTTTCTTGTGTTACTCCTTCTCCAGGCTTCTCCGTGGCTCCTCCCTCCTCCCTTCTCGGTGAGCAGCACACCAGCTGCCAGCCCCACCCACTGCAGCACCTGCTTCACCTCCTGACGTCACGGGCATCTGGGAAGTTCACCATCAAAAGTCCCTAGTGGGGCTGTTTTAAAAATAGGAGCTGTCCTTAAACCAAACTGTAAAGTTGAAGTATCTTATCTTTGGAAGCTTCATCTCCCATTTCTGGGTCCACCTATTTATTGCTTCCATGGCTTTCTATTACATTCCTTGAGGGCTTTGTGCCTCTCCCTCCTTTTCTGTTAAAAAAATTTGCTTTCAACAATAGAAAATAGCAACTTAAATAATCAAAAACAAGGGATGATTTAATATTTTGGTATATTAATGAGGATACTATTAAGGTTGTTGAATAAATTTCAATGACAGGAAAGGATATTGTAATGCATTTTGGGGGAAAATTCAGATTTTCAAACCTATATCCTAATGCTGGGTGTTGTTATAGCTGGATGGTAAGATTGTGGGTAATTTTTTCTTCTTTTTTGCTTTTCTCTGTTTTCTAAAATATTTGCAGTGGGCATATATTGGTTTTATAATATGAAACAACAGATGTCATAAAGAAAAATAGGATATGAAGTTCATAAACCCTGGGGACTAATAGATGAAAAGTCAAAAAAGTTTCTTTCTTGAGGAAGTCTGCATTTTCAGTCGCTCACAGCCTTAAGCTACAGGTAAAACTAGGAGGTCAGAAAGATAAGTAGGAGCCAAGGCACCATGGGAGGCCCATGGACCATGAGCCTTCTGAAAACAATCATTTCATGGTGAGCTCTTTGCAGGTTCACAATTTGGGATTTCTCTCCTTCTCATGCCAGGAAGCCAAGAGCTTGGGGAACCAGAGTGAGCCATGCTTTGTTTTGTTGTTGTTGTTTTCTGTTTGTTTGTTTTTCGAGATGGAGTCTCCCTCTGTCGCCCAGACCGGAGTGCAGTGGTGCGATCTTGGCTCACTGCAACCTCTGCCTCCTGGGTTCAAGCAATTCTCCTGCCTCAGCCTCCCCAGGTAGCTGGGACTACAGGCAAGCGCCACCACGCCCAGCTAAATTTTTTTGTATTTTTAGTAGAGATGAGGTTTCACCATGTTGGCCAGGCTGGCCTCAAACTCTTGACCTCAGGTGCTCCACCTGCCTTGGCCTCCAAAAGTGCCTGGATTATAGGCGTGAGCCACCATGCCTGGCCAAGTGAGCCATACTTTAACTGCCATGAACTTGTGATGAACCTCAATGACACAGATGCCAATCCATAATAAAGCCTAGCATGGGGCAGACTCTCAGGGACACATCATAAATGATGATGGCACAAATTCTACGGTTTCTGTTTAACCAGTTAGGGAAGGAATTTTCCTTTCAGCCAACTTTCATCACACTGGTTTTGTGAACAGCGATTTCCCCAACCCTTAAGGATTTGCGATATAGCTAGGGGTGATTCTAAGATGGAACTTTAGGATGCTTACTACATACCTTAAAATGCAAATGCAAGAATAAAACCCATAAGACTGATTTTAAAGTGGTCAGAAGCCGGGCATGGTAGTGCATGCCTATAGTCCCAGCTACTTGGGAGGCTGAGCTTGGGGTATAGTAATTCAAAGGGAGACAATATAGCCATTAAAATAATTTGCATGTTTGCTGACATGAAAAGATATTCATAGCATATTGTTACATGAAAGAGGGTCTAAGATTATATTATAGATAACACTTAATATATACACAGACCTATACAGTCATACATCTATAGACATTAAAGTGTCTATATGAGACTTTAACAAAATCTCTGGTTTCCTTTATCTGTTTTTCTCATATTTTCTATATTAAATATATATTCTTGTTAATAAAATGTTAAAAAGATATCAAAGTAATTATCTTATTGCTTATTTATTTATTTATTTTTGAGGCAGAGTCTCCCACTGTCGCTCAGGCTGGAGTGCAGTTGTGTGATCTCAGCTCACTGTAACCTTTGCCTCCTGGGTTCAAGCAAATCTTGTGCCTCAGCCTCCCGAGTAGCTGGGATCACAGGCATGTGCCACCACACCCAGCTAATTTTTTGTATTTTTAGTAGAGAAAGGGTTTCGCCATGTTGGCCAGGCTGGTCTCGAGCTCCTGGCCTCCCCGCTCAGCCTCCCAAAGTGCTGGGATTACAGGCATGAGCCACTGCGTCCAGCTCCTATTGCATTTTTAGATAAAATAGGATCTTTATATATTATTGCAAAAGAAAACAAGTTATTGTAGACCAGTTTAAATCAAAAAGTTTTTTTTTATTTTTGAAGAAGGCTAGTTTTCATCTGGAGTTTGAAGATGATAATGGTTTTAGAATGGCAGGGAAGAAAAAGGAGGTCATATTCACAGCCCCTCAGGTGGCAACTGGCAAGGTGTGTATGTGTGTGTGTGCATGTAAGCAGGTTTTGGGAGTGGGGGTGAGAAGCAGTGAATTTATCCAGAGCAAGGCAGCTGCAGGACAGTCTAGGGAATGTGAACATTATAGTCCAGGTACAGAACAGCCCGGAGGTTCTTAAGTAAAGCAGCACCTCCCAAAAGTGTGCTGGAAGACAAAGATCCTAAGGGGACAGGGGAGAGGCAGGAGCCAAGAGGCTCAAAGGCTGGTGTTGGAAGAAAAATGGGAAGGGGCATCTCCCATGAAGCGGGCATCTCCCATGAAGCGCGAAGGAGCATGTGAGGTAAGAATGAAGAACATTCAATAGGGGCCCGAGGGCTGCAGCCCAAGCAGCGCTGTGATGACTTTAAAACCCCGGGATCCTAGTCCTGTCTTGGCCACTTCCTGGTATTCTGACCTTCCTCATCTCTAGGGAGATGACAACAGCTATAAGCTGCCCACTTCACAGAGTGGGTGAAGGGTCATGGAGATGATCTGAACAAAAGCACCTAGAACACGAAGCAGCTGCACCAATATCAGGCATTGTTGTCTTGCATGCAGGTGGTGGCTGCATAGAGAGATTACACTCACTGAGAACATGGGGCTGCAAAAGTCAAGATGGTCCAGGACTTGGCCTCAGCCTAGGTGATGCCTTTAGTGAACAGAGAGAGTTTCTGGAGAAGCGCCGATTTGCTGAAAAGGATCAGTTCCCTTCCCCAAGCCAGGAACCAAAGCTACATGGTTCAGGGTAAAGAGGCACATTGTCAACACCACTCCATAGGTGGCTTCTGCTCAAACTGTCAGAGCTAGAAGGGCTTTGGGCGTCATCTAGTTCAAGCCCCTGGTGTTACAGGTGAGGATAAAGAGGCCCCAAGGAGCAGAAGAGTGACTTGATCGAGGTCCCCTAACGATAGCGGCAGGATGACGGAAGAGTGATATTGCCAGGTAGACCATTTTCTCCTCACCTATGGGTAACAAGCTAGCTCAAACAGCGTCTTCTCTTTACCGGACTTCTGCACAGCCTCTCCACAACCTGTTCTCCCTACAGAGGGTGATCCTTAGTAGTCAGAGCGAGCCCTAAAAACCCAAATCTAACCGTGTCATTTCCCTGCTGAAAGTACTTTGATGGGCTGGCAGCAGCTCCTGCCCTCCACCCTCTACTGAAGGCTCAGCTCCTGTCCTGCAGCCCACAGCTAATGCTCCCTCTCTCGGACCCTTCAACCCTGCCACTGTATGGAAAGGCACGCTGAGGTCTTGAATAAAAAACTCAACATCATCAAGATATCAATTTACCCTAAATCAATATATATTCCCTCCTTAAACTCCACAGCCACCCCTTTTGAGTTTTTCTCTGCTTCCTGCCCAGGACCTTGGCAACACCGGTGGCCTATCAGGCCTGTGAAGTGGCCCCTGCCTGCCCTCCTATCACCACCACCAACCCTGCACTCTGACTCAAACATGCTTATCCCCTGAACTGAGAGCTGCAGTTTATGTTACAAACTTTATAGTTCCCAGCAAATCTTCATAGCAAATTTGTCATAATTTGCTATGCACGTGTGTCTATGCACATAGACACGTGTGGGATTATTTGATCTACCTCTGTCTCACTAGACTGTAAGATTCTCTGGTTGATCTACTTTCCCAAGTCTGAAGGCCAAAGGGTTTGGAGGCAAAATGCTCCCAGAGACTCGGCTGCTACTAGCCTCCTTGTCACTCTGTCTCAGTGACATGTTATAAAGGGAAAATGGAAAATTGCTACAGATGCTCTGAAAACACCACCCTTGGCACCTCCTCAGCCAAGAAGCATGTGGGGGACACATGGGGCAGGGAGAATGGGTGCTGGCTTTTCCTGAGAGCCATAAACACAGACAAGGCCTGGGGTCAGAGCTTGCCCTTGGGAACAAATCCCACAGAAATGTCCCAAAGATGGAGGAGGCTATTAACGTGGTTCACTCAGACTGCACTGCCCGGGGAGAGAACAGAGTCTTATTATTAACCTCAGTGTATTAATATTTGATAAAGCATCTTCACAATGATAGATAGCAGTCACCCATAGAAGGGAAGCAGCCTTGGTTCTGTAAAGAGTTCTGAGAGAGGAAGAATAGCTTTTATCAAGAGTGGTAAGGGGACAATGGAAGGCATTATGTCCTGGGCAGGGGAAACCTGCCCCGGGCCACACAGTGCAGGGGCATGCTGACATCTCTTGCAGGTTTATCTGCACAGGTAGCTGGCAGGTTTATCTACACTGTGTCCTGCCTGGGGGCAGGGGGACAATCTCACCATGGCTGACCTCCCAGAGAAAGCTGCTGATCCAATTTTTTTCCCTCTGACATTAAAATGGTTGCTGACAATGATAGATATTTCTGTGGATAGTATATTTTCCCAATATGTAGTCTCTAAATAAAACCCCATTTTATGTTTTGAAATCTGAGAAGCAAAAACATTACAAACCTCCCATTAATGACACCACCATCTTTGTTGGTTACGGGTACCTGGAGACAGACATGGGGGGAACATGGACAACTGGTGCCTTGTTCTCCAGCAGCTGCACCTGAATCTGTCAACTTAACAAAGAAGCTACTGATGCCCGTCCACGGGGGTGAGGCCCTGCTCCCTGAGAAATCACTTGCCCTCTGGACACAAAGCCCTCCTAGGCAACTGGGGCACCTGAGATCAGCATCCTCCTGTACATAAGGGAAAAGGGGCCTGAGGGAGAGGCCAAACATGTCCTGAGGACACTCTCAGGGCCCTTCAGCAGCAGAGTCAGGAAGAGGTCTGTACCACCCTCCCTGGGGAGTTCCTGGCAGCCAAGGAGGTGGGCGGGGAGCAGCAGCATCCGAGGAATGTCTGCCAGCCACAGAACTTAACCTCGGGACCTGCATGCAGTGGGTCCTGAAGACAGTTAAGGCTCAGAGTGGCAGCAACTATGTGCTTCAGAGTGCAGGGACACAGGCTGTAGTGCACCTGCTGTCCCACAGCAGTCTTGGAATTGTCCTCAACCAACCTCACCCCTCAGCCTCATCTCACTTCCAGAAAGAAGGCTACAAAGAGACAATGCAGGAAGGAAGGTCATCTCTAGCTTGCAGCACCACTTGGATTTGAATGCAAAGGCAAAACCTGAGTGGGCAACACAATTCTGTGCACCTGGTTTTAAAATGAGAGGCCCTATTTAGTCTATCCTTTGGTGATTGCTCCACAGGCCAAAGAACAGGAGGAAGACTGAGAAAGAACGTGAAGGCCATCTCTTTCCCACAGGCCCTTCGCAGGAGGCTCCGGACTGCTCCCTGCACTGCGAGATGCCTCTGTGAGCCGAGGAGCTGTAAAACACGCAGCGGGCGGCACATGGGATGCCGGATGCCAAGCTGTGTGCATGGGTAAGGCAGGGGAGTGGAAGGAGGGAGGGGAGGGAAGAGAGAAAGGGGAATGAGGCTCATGCACAGGGCTTCTCTTTTTGGGGCATCTTTCTGTGGGGTTCCTCCACTCCCTGCTCTCCCTTCTGGGCCACATCTACCCTGAGGCAGCATCCTCACTGGAGTCACTGGAGTCTGTACCCAGGTGCAGGGAAGGGGAGGAGTGTGCAGGCAGGCAGATGCCTCCTCTGGGGTGAGGAGAGGGAGACAGAGGATGGGCATTCTGACTGGTAAGTTCCCTGCAGCCTGCAGTGTTTCATTCTTCATCCAGACGGCCACAAATGCTCATCTGGCAGCTCCCAGTATGAAAAGGGGAAGGAGAAGAAATGGGGCTGTGTGACAATTAGGGGGACTCTAGGAGATGGGGGGAGCCTTTCTATTGAAACATGAAGGCTGGAACCTTTTGGAAGGATAGGAACTTGGGCTTTTCAGCTGCTGCTCTTCCTGTAATCCCTGAAAACAGGTCCAGAAAGTAGGAAGGTGCCAGAGGCAGTCATCAAAAGAGAGAAGCATGGTCTCCAGTCCAGGAAGAAGCCTCAGGGCTACCTGCTACTTAACCTCATGACAGGCGGCCAGCTTAGAGACTGATGTTAAAACGCTAAAATCTGCTCAGGGATCTACAGGGCAAATATTCCTGCTGGGATCCCAGCCCTCCCCTTGGCATTGCCAAGGTCAAATCCACCCCCTTACAGGAGCCTTCTGCAACATTTTCCTACCCTTCTTCCTTTTCACTTTAGTTAGGCTGACTCCCAGTTTCATAAAGAAAGTCATTCATTCTGGAGAGAGGTCAGGTTTTTATGTACTAGGACAGATGAGCCAGATGGCTTGTTTCTTTAGGTCCAGGAAGGAAGACCTGGGAGTGGTATGAAAGGCAGAACAGGGAGTATTTCCTTTGGAGTTGAGAGGAATTTTACTTAAGAAGCAGAAAAGATCACATCCAGTCACCCCAATTCAGGTCTTCCAACCATAGGTCATTAAATGGAGATGGACCTAGAGAAACTGTCTCATCTGGAAAAGCATTTGACAAGACCCATCATCCTTACGTTTCTTGGGCCTCCCATGTCACCCAGCCAGATGGCGGAGACACAGCCAGGGTCGTGGACTGGATAGTCTTATGGAGAGAGAGAGACCTGCATGGCATGGGGCTTCATCTCATGGGCATCAGGTCTGGGGGAAGGGGAAAGAGCCCAGAGCTCCAAGCACAAACATTAGCCTGGTTTCCTTGGTCCCTGGCTTTTCCTTCCAACTCAGAACTTCCAAGGCAAAGGAGGGTGGGGGTTAAGAAGGAAGAAACAGGTCCTGGAACAGGCCAAGGTACAACAGGCAAGGAAAAAGACCAAGCTCATGATCTTGAATGTCTGAAGTTGGGAAAAGAGAAAGGACAGAAAACACCGATGGGAAATTTTCTTAGTACTAACATTATCTAACATTCACCTAGCATTTTATTATAAATAAAAACTTCCGTAAACTTTATCTTATTTGCTCTTCACAACAACCTTGAGAAAATACTATCATCCCCATTTTATAAAAATGGAAAAGGAGTCAGTGATCCTCCACTGCGGTGGCATTAGAGGCAGAATCAGGACTTGAATCTGGATCTTGTGACATGTTCCTCCTCACCCCAGGACCTTCAGTTTCAGAAGAAGACGCCAGGCCAGTCTCCCCAACCTTGCCACATATACCTATGAAGTAGATCACTGCTATCTTATAAGCAACTCAGGGCTGAATCCCCTCCTTGCCTTAATATTCCTGTGAGTGGGAGAGTGGCTGAGAGCTCCTTCTCCCTAATGTTTCTTTTGAAAGACACCCCTGCCTAGGCTGCTAAGGTGGCCCCAACAACAGTACTGAAGGGAAAAAAAGTCAAGACGTTGAGACTAGGAAGGCTGACATGCTCCCTTTCTCCATTCTGCCTACCCAGCAGAATGGGCACATCTGGCCACCCTATTTAGACCTTTCCAAAGCTTTAGCTCAAGCCCAGGTCACTTAGAGTGGACTCTCAGGAGAAGGAAGCCAGTAAACCACTTAGGTTGTTTGTTCTTGAAAATCTTGAAAGGACCTCAAACTTGCATATTTACTTGTTGGCCAGATGTTCTGAATAGTTAAGGCCCAGGCATACAATTCTATGCTCTGTGGCTTTTCCTCTCCCTGGGGGGCATTCAGATTCTCTGGTAAGTCAGATGCATGCTCCTGGTGAGGAGGAGGCTCAACTAGGCACAGCCAAGGTCAGCAAAGGCTCTTTCCTGATCAACCTAGGACTGACCACTAAACACAGAGTCTTGCTCTGTCACCCAGGTTGGAGTGCAGTGGCGTGATCTTGGGTCACTGCAACCTCCGCCTCCCGGGTTCAAGCAATTCTCGTGCCTCAGCTTCTTGAGTAGCTGGGATTACAGGCATGCACCACCACGCCCAGCTATTTCTTTTTTTTTTGGATTTTAGTAGAGATGGAGTTTCGCCCTCTTGGCCAGGCTGGTCTTGAACTCCTGGTCTCAAGCCATACACTTACCTCAGGATCCCAAAGTGCTGGGATTATAGGCATGAGCTACCACGCCCGGCTTTGTGCTCGGCTCATTAACCTGTCTCCACCAACTTCCCAAGCAGCTCATCAGACGTGGTGACAACACACACAGGCCAACTGGAGAAACCCGGGGCCCTTCTGCCTGCCAGAATCACACACACCCTTCAATTCCCAGCTCAAAGGCTGCCTCCTCCATGAACTGTTCCCCGATTTTCCTTGCATCTCTTCCTTGGCTCTCTCATTGCTGTTTAATTTATGTGCCCATCCTACAGTTCTTCTCTAATTCCACTCATGCTAATTAATTGTGAACATAGTTCATTTTTCCCTAATAGATTTTGAACTCCTGAGAGACAGACACTATACTGAATTCATCTCTGTGGTTCCCCTCTCCCCTTTCATGGTTGGCCAGGGGTTTAGCTTTAAACATAGTAGGAGTACAACAAGCAACTGTTAAAATAGAATTTACCTTGGTTTCTTAAAAAAGATAAAAGAATCTCTGCACAAAGGCCAGTCCCCACTCTTACCTTGCTTTGGCAAATCTTACGGAATATGGTACCCCTCTCCCTCCACCTGGATCGCCAGGGTCATTGCAGCTAGATCCAGCCAGCACAGAGATATAAGAAGGTAAAACCAGACTGACGACAAAGCCAATGGTTCCAAGTTTGGTTGGCTTAAATTAACATACACAAAAGCAATGGGTCACCGTTATGGTCCGTCCCCAAGGGAAACCAAGGGAGAATTTTGTGGGGTCAAGGAGGGTGAGAAGGAGATAAAGAAAGAAGAAAGAGAGTTTCCTGTAAAGAGCAAGGACACCAGGGGTAATGACTGAGACCCAAGTGGATTCCTTGTCATGACAAGGGAGATGAGACACCGCAGCATTCCTTTCCCGGCATGAGAAGCCCAGACACTCCCAAGATGTGAGGTCATTATGGTCCCAGAGGGGTCCAGGGCCCTGCTCAGGCTTCAAGGTCTGCCAGGGACTGTGGTATCTGGGAGCTGAGTACAGGGAGGGAGTGGGGAAGAGGATTACTACAACCTTCAATTTGGGCCATAAGGTATGGGGGCAGCGGGAGAATCACTCCAGAAAGTGTTTATGGGGAAGGTTGTACTCTTCTTAGGAGGTGGAAGACGGCAACAGTCAATGATAGGGAAACAGGTCCAGTGTGGGCTGCTGACTGGTGGATCAGGTGAAGGAACCCACCTTCCACACATACACACACAACCCCATGTAACTCAAACTTTCTTATTGGCCGAAGACTTAAGGTCGGAATATACTTACCCTGGGTCAAGTTCAGGGAGGCAATAGTCACAGGAGTTGGGGAAAAAAAAAAAATCCCAAGAATCAGATATCAGCCAACAGGGGGAGGAGAAGTCATTTCTACTAGAGATTTAAGATATTCTCCACCCCCACCTTCTCTCTCTCTCTCTCTCTCTCTCACACACACACACACACACACACACACAGAGAGATCTATTATGAACCTGCTAAGCAAAAATCTAATTCCAGTTTAAGGATGAAAGGTTTCATCAAGAAAATCCTTCCTGAGGCAGTGGGGAGGATGTTATCTGTTCTCGATTTCCTATCCAATCACTCCTTTTGGGACTACAGAGAGGACTATGGTAATTCCTCTCTCTAGGCCCAGGCAGGAAATCGGGGTTAACCAGGAGGCCCTGTGAACCTGCGCCCGGCTGTCCAGCCCTCAGACACTGCTTTGCCCAGACTCTCGTACTTCTCACTTGGCCGCAGGTCACTCAGGACAGAGGCAGAGGGCAGGCCCCACCTGGTCCCAGCTCCAGCACCTCCTTGCTTCTCAGAGGCCTTGGGGGCAGAGGCTGCCTGAGCTCCCTCCCAAGGGGACCCCCACCTCCCTGAGCCCGACAAACACGTCTCCATCACTGCCATGCCAGGGCTCACCCAACACACACAGAGGATTCACACTAGGTGGGGAGGGCTGTGAACCTTGTGACTGTGAGAATGCCCTCCAACCCTTGTGGCCCCAAACAGTACCTGCCAAGGCCTTTATCCGGGACCTCTCAAAGAGCCTGGCTGAGCTGTTGTCATTATCCAGCTCGTCGTCTGGGGCGTCCCAGCGGGCATTGATCCTGCTGTAAGGTGGCTGGTTGCCCACATTTTCAAACTCTGTGGCCGATGTCATGTCAGCAGGCTCTTAGCAGCTCCGCCTGCCTCAGTCTTCATGGAAGGATCCCTGGGGGACAGCAACACAGTCAGAGGGTTATCTCTCTACCCCCTCGGACTTTTTCTCCGGGGAAACTTATTCGGAGCATCCAACGTGAGTAGATCCTGACAGAAGCAGAACGCCATGTCATCTGCCTGGGCGTGCTTCCTACCAGGGTCTCTGGGTCGTTTGTTATAAAATATTGCAGCAGCAGCAGCAGCAACAGTACCGGCAGCAGTGGCAGGGATGGAGAGCTGCACGTAGCAAGGGTCAGGACGGCCAGCAGGTGGAGACGTCAGTCGCAGCCAGCTGCTTCCTCCAGACCAGCCGCCCCGCCGCGGGGAGCACCCCGGGAGAGAGGAAGCTCTCCTGGGAGCCAGAGGCAGCAGGGCACAAGCTGGGGAAAGCAACCCTCACCCTGAGGACTAGGCCAGGACCTAACCTGGTGGGGGAGATGGGGACAGGCCAGGGGAAGGGAGAGGCTGGAAACAGGCTGAGTCTGACCCATATGGGAACCATGGGGAGAGATGGATGAGAGAGTTAAGCCGCCACTGACGCCACCAGCCCGGGGCAGCTGCACTGGGGGGACTTCACTCCTCCCGGAGGCTTTCTGAGAGCCCTCTGAGTTCCTTCCCAGCAGTTGGTATTCAGAAAGCTGACCTCGCATTTTAGGGCTTCTTTGGAGCATGACCAGGTGCTCAGATGAGGTCTCCTGTTGAATTCCAGGACAGACTGAGCAACCCAAAGGAGCCTGCTGTCCCATCAAGCACGTGGCAGTCGGGGCATCCCATGGACAATGGAACCGTGCATTGTGAGTCCATGTGATGAACCAGCGCATCAGGAGCACTGGGTCCTCCCTCACCCGTCATCAGTCATTCCTACTCACTCATTCATTCATTTACAGTTAATTCAAATATGTACCAAGCTCCAACTAGGTGGCAGGCACTGTACTAGGCAGGGGCAAGTAAGACAGGAAAGTCATGTCCTCACAGAGCTTGGAATCTGGTGGCAGAGACACACAATTAAACAAGCAACTACAAGAAGGTGTGATGTGTGTCATGGCTGGCTTAGGTGGGGACTCGGCGGGGACTGGTATCAGGGAGGGGAAGTTGAAGCTTATTCCTAAAGGAAGCTTGGAGGTACCCATGAAGGGACAGGTGGGAAAGGACAAGAGTCCAAGCAAAGGGAATAAAGAGTAGGTGTAAAGTCCTGAAGGTAAGAAAGAACACAGAAAGCTTTGAGAACTTTAAGAAGTAACGGGAAGGCAGGGGTGGAGTCAGGGGAGAAAAGTGAGGAGGGGGCCAGGGGAGCCAGGCTTGGTCTTCAATGCCCTGGACCCTAGGAAAACTATTAGCTTTCTTCATCTGTACCTGACATTTGGTCCTCTTTCTAGGGATCTTAAGGGACTCCAAGATCAAGTCTGTAAGAGAATAGGGGACCCAGAGCCTTCACAACCAAGAGAGCAAAGCGGGAGGCAGGGAGGCTGTGAGGCAGACCTGTGATGGGGGTTGACAGCCAGTGAGCTGTGAGGGAGACCACTCCCTCTGTGGGTGTGTGCACCCACGGCACACACACAGGCTCATATCTGACACACTGACACACACCAGCACACACATGCACATCCACCAGGCACATGATCACGGAGGCACTGAAGCACATTCACCAGCCCAAGTGTGAGATGGCAGCAGGGCTACAGCCTTATTTTTCAGATACAGACTCACTTCAGACTGCATTTTCCCCAACCTGATGAATCCATCCCACCACATCCTTGTGAGGTAAGATAGGAGCCAGGATTACCCACCCTAATTGCCTTGGGAGAAAAACCAAGGCCTGCTGCAGGAGGAGGCCTCCCCAGGGTCATCCGGTGGAATGACTGCGGCTGGGACCAAAGGCCAAACTGGAGCGCAGTTTATCCCCCTTGACCAGACGGGTTTCAGGAGGGCAGGTGGGGAAAGGACTGGAGCACAGTTTATCCCCCTTGATCGGACAGGTTTCAGGAGGGCAGCTGGGGAAAGGACTGGAGCACAGTTTGTTCCCCTCAATCAGAAGGGTTTCAGGAGGGCAGGTGGGGAAAGGACATGGTGCATGGGGACAGAGGGCATTTCCCAGCCAGGGCTTAGCAAAAGTGTTTGCCACTCAAGAGAAGGGAAGGTGCAAGGTGGGAAAACCAGTCATCATCCCGAACACAGGATGCCCCATGATGCCAGACCTGTGCCCAAGACCACCCTTGTGCCTTTGAACAGCCTGTCCTCTTCTGCAGATGGACTTGCTGCTTCCAGGACTGAGATTTCGCACCCAACTGGCTGGGCAACGATAGCCGGGAAAGATACCCCCCACCCCCGGCCCCACACCTTTCTCTATTTCCCTTAAGGGAAACTACCACTGACTTGGTCTCTGAGCCAGAGAGGGACTGACAGGCTGACCACCTCCTGCAGGGCCACAAGCCTGTCCAGCAGCCCCTGAGAAGGGCTGAGCTGCCAGACGCAGGAGGTGAGGTGAGATCAGACCCTGAGTGCAGGAAGTAACCGGACCCTGGCTCTCCTGATTCGTCCTGGGCTATTTTTAAGAGTGGCTGAGAGAGGCCTGGGCCGTGGGGCTGGAGAGTGAGATTACCTTTGCCATGGCTCCGTAAATAAGTCTGCCCCAGAAAGATGAGCCTGAGCAGGCCGACCAGCAGGCCCAGCGTTCAAGACAAGATTGATGGCCCCGGGTGCAGAAGAGCAGCGGCTCGACAGCAATTCATCCTGCTTAAAAATGCCATCCCTCCTGTGGCCATGGCTCAGAGAAGGCAGCAGCCGGGCAGCAGCTCTGCCAGGAATGGGAAGAGATGTATATGTGTGTCTAAATATACAGCTGGAGGGTTTTTGTTTTTGTTTTTGTTTTGGAAAGAGTCAGGTCCCTGAAAACAAACACCAAGGAAAGATGATTCAGAAATGAAAGTGAGGCCCCTTTCCTTGTGCCCTCTTCCCCTGCCATGCCCACCCCAGGCCCTGCCCAGATGGCATTCCATCAGAGTCAAGGGGGTCATGGGATGGGCCAGTGCATGCAGGAAGGGAAGCTCTCGGAGAATCAGGTGTAAGAGGCAGGAAGGAAATAAATAAGAGAACAGGAAAGCTACAGATAGTTAACAAAAAGCAAACACGAAGATATGCCTGTCCAAAACCAGATTTAACCCATTCTCGGCGTCACCATGTCTCTTTCCATACTGTTACAACGGCCCTTCAAAGGCCTGGCTATAAAGAGATGACCATGACTGAAAAAAACAGCATATGTTGGGGCTCATGGTGGGGACACCTAATTGAATGGGGAGTCATGGAAATGACATTTAAGTTGCTACCTGGGAGGAACTTAGAGATGAGATGATCTGGTCTCATTTTCAAAGATATAAGTCATCTGCACATCTAGAGTGGCCTTCCATGAGTCACGGAGGACCGCAAATACATGGCTAAAATTAGATCTTAAATTGCACTTCAGGCCCATCAGTAAACCCAGGAAAAAAGGCATAAGTACTTCCTTGTCCATTCATTCCCTGGCTTACCCACAAGTCCCCCAAAATTCCTTCTCTGAACCCACCTGACCCTCGTCAAAGTGTAGGTGGGTCTTCTCTGGTCTCCGTGACTCTGTGCCCAGAGAGGTCCACCTGCCCCATCCATCCATCCACCTGCCCGTCTAGCAGCTCTAAATGCACAGTCCAGAGTCATCCTTACCTGCCTTCTGCCACCACCGACCCCAGGCTATATTTTGAGTAGGATGGGACCTGAGAAGGCTTGCCCACAGCTCAGCACTGAAAACCTCATGGGATCACACAGAGGACTCAGCTCACAGAAGGAACATGTACTTATTAATGCATTTCACAATACCACTGATGCAACCCACAGCTCCAACCTTCACATCCGCCTTTGAGGTCCGATGCTAGGCTCAGAGCCTCAACCTCATGTGCTATGTCCAGTTACTCCCTGGGTTGGTTAAGAACTGAGAAAGCAGTGGTAGCAGCTCCTCTCCCAGCCTGCAGGGTGCTGACGGAGCCCAAGCTAGGACCCATGTCAGCCCTCGCCGAAGCCCCGAGCAGAAGAGGCAGCTGTTCTCTTTTCTCCATCCTCTAGTCCCCCAACAAAGTAAACAGCATCCTCTCCTCTTCCCTGGGTCATACAAAAGTGAGAAGCAACAAAGCACAAAGATCTACTTCCGAAGTGGGAAACCGGGGGAATACAGGGCAACGCAGGGCTGAGGAGCAGGCTGTTGAAATAGCAAGGACACTGTCTTTCTTAAACAGTATTGCTCCTTCCACTGTATTGTTATCTTCTCTCTAGCTGTAAGGTTTGACCCCCTCACCTGTTTTCTAGTTTGTCCTGCCCCTTTATGCTACCTCAAACCTGCTTTTAACAATTTGGTATTGTGGCAACCCGGTCAGGAGATTAAATCCTGAAGTTTCTCTGGTAATTTTTCTGTCAATCCATCACCAAAAAAGGAACATCCTTCCTCTCCCTCTGATCATAATCGCATTGCACATTCACAGGTACCTTAAAGAATAGTCAAATACACAAAAACACATGTGCACACACTCACTAGAATGAGAAGCAATAAGACGTGCAGTGCAGAATACTTACTCTAAATCTATCTGCAGCCCTAACCTCCTCCCTACTCTCAAGCTCTAGTCTGGCACCTCCATCTGCCTACCAGACATTTCCACCTAGAAATTACAGCTCAGTCTCAATATGGCTAAGACTGAGCATGGGGCTACCAGGACAGCAGAACCAGGGAGTTTCAGTACCATGGGGTAACGATGTGGCCCAGATAAGCATGCCACCTATGGGTGACCTTTCCAGTCGATGGACACCACCAGCAGTTCCTGGACAAGCCACTTCCCCTCCCCAGAGCACATTCTGCTTTTTCACACTACAGCTCCCATCCCAACCAAGTCTGGCTATTAGTGCATCACTGATGGACTATGGTTTGGGGTGCTTAAAGTCCCAAGATTACTACCCATGGTTGCTACTTAGGGATCTCCATGCATCTGCAATATCCTGGTCATTCTGGTCGACTGCTGTTTGGTGAGGCCTTTACCAGACACTTCTACTCCAGTTTCTGTCACCCGGCAGGGGCTTTACATGCCGCAACTTGTCCACTCTCATCATGGAAAAATCTCCTACCAAGAACTGGCTCCAGTTATGCTGCAGCTGCTGGAATAGGGGTGGGGGTGGATGGGATCATAGCTCCAATAGTTCTTACAGGATTTGGTTGGGGAACAGGTGCTACTCAGCTCTGATGTAGGGACTGGCCCATCAGCCTTCTATCATAACAACAGTATCTATCAGCACTTCACATCCTGCACAGAGGCAAATGTCCACTGGGAACCATTAAAGGAGAGGGGAGAGATGATACTCATATACATATCAGGTTGGTACAAAAGTAATTGTGGGTTTTGCCATTACTTTTAATGGTAAAAACCACAATTACTTTTGTAGCAACCTAATAGTTTTCAAATATTATCCTCTATTGGGATTCTTGGGCTTAATATCTACATTTACAGAAACTTGTGACCCAGTCCTACCTCCTCTTATCTCTCTCAACTCACTTCTTTCAAGATAGCCACTGGCCTCTCTCAGAATAAGTAACATTTTATGGCAGTTGAGTTGAAAAGCTGGATGCCCAATTTCCCTTATTCCATGAGGACTTTTGTAGAATATCTATAGTAACTTCTCACTTCTTTGATGAAAACTGCAGGAGGTAGGTAGAGGTCTCAACATTGTAGTGAGGTCTCAACATTGAAAATAGTCAAGAATAGACTGGAATAATTTATTTGACATCATCACTGAAGTGATATTTATAATGTAATAACTGATTCAGAAAAGATTTTAAAAACCCATCAGATAATGGGTTGATGGGTGAACTTTACAATGGAGGGATCAAGTTTTCAACAACTGAACTCACTGATCAATCTTAGTATCACCAAGAACAGGACAATTAGACACATGTGTCTCCTGACATGGTGCAACATGAAGGACATCATGACCTATGACGTTCTTGCCAAAAAAGTTGAACCTGAATTTATTAATAATTAAGCTTTAGAGCTAATTTCCCATTTATAGGAATTACAGGAAATCAAGATAAATAACAACTTGAGGAAGCAAAGAAACAAACCCAGAATGTAGGGCATTCTGCAGACAACTGACTCAGCTTCTTCAACAAGTTAGAGGCTTTAAAACAGACAAAAAAGAGGCAGAGAGTGAGGACTGCTGTAAATCAAGAGAGACTCAGGAGATGTAATAATCAAATATAATGCACCTTGTTTGGATCTTGAATTTAAAAAACCACATTTTTGAGGCAATCAGGGGTATCTGAATTACAGACTCAATATTGATTGGTACCTAGGAATTAGTCAATTGTGTTAGATGTGATCATGGCATTATGGTTATGTAAGAAAATGAATTTTTGTTTTGCAATGCTCAAAAAGGTAGTGGGGGACAAGACATGATGTCTGGGATTTGCTTAAATGTGCTTCAGCAAAATAAGAAGCAGCTTATTGACTTGGAGTGATCTACTTATGGGGGTTCTTGATTCTATTCTACTTTTATACACGCTTGAAATTTTGTATAATAAAAACTTTGATAAAATTGGCAATTAATAATAAATTAAACTTGTAAAATACAGTCATATGCCTTAGGCACAACTGGAACCTAGAATAAAAGTCAACCCCTTCCCATGGTCCTAAGGCCCTTCCCATTTTCTCCAAGATCATCTCCCCACACCCCCTATAGGTAACCTGCCAGCCTTCTTTCAGTTCTTCAAACTTGAAATGTCCTCCCCAGCTCAGGGGTCTTGTGCATGCCATGCCCTCTGCCCCAGACACTTCCTGGAGCATCTCTGCATGTCTGGCTCCTTCTCATTCCTCAGATCTCTTCTCAGATGTCGCTTCCTTGTGGAAGTCCTCCCTGGTCACCCTCTCTAAGGTAGCTCCCCGCTCTGTTAGCCTCAGTCTTTTTGACACTCTGCTTAACTCTATAGAACTTATCATAATTGTAATTATTCATGTATCTGTCTGTTTCCTCTTTTTTTTTTCTTTTCCTCTCAGTGCCTAGACCACAGGCTCCTTATAGGCATCAGCCATGTCTGCCTTTTTCATTATTGTACTCCAGTGCCTAGTACTGGGCCTGGGACTTAGTAGGTACTCAATAAATATTATCCTGTTCCTACAGACCTGATCTCAAACTCTGGAGTCTTATTATTATTATTATTATTATTATTATTATTATTATTATTATTATTTTATTTTATTTTTTGAGATGGAATTTCACTCTTGTTGCTCATGCTGGAGTGCAGTGGCACGATCTTGGCTCACTGCAACCTCTGCCTTCTGGAGCCTTTTTAAAGCCCTCTATCCCACCATATTCCCTGACCCACGCACTCAGTTATCCCATGTACATGTATTGAGTGTTTATTCAATATTTATTCATCACCAAGGTCAGTCATTAAGCCTCTGAAAGGGTCTTTTGTTCGTCATTTCTTTATGTTTTAAAGCTCTACTTCACTCAGGCCCTCATCTCTTCCCACTTGGTCCATCTCTGTCCGTGCTCAGCCCCTTCACAGTCCCTCCTGCACGGCCCCTCATGCTGACACACCCCTACCCTGTAAGCTTTCAGCAGTACAGTCCAATTCTAAGCCCTGCACCATTTGGTGCTGAGCTCACACTCTCTTTTATGTGAACTCTGCTCTAGTCAGGAGGGTTCACATGGCCCCTGTCCCCACCATGGTGTCATGTGCCTTGACAACTTTATTTATGTCACATCCCATACCCTGATATTTTAGCTACCTCTCCCATCCCCTTAAAATTTAAAACAAATACAATTTTCAAATATTTAGAAACACATGTATAACATGTTCTCAGAATCTGAGTGAGGTTGCCTTTTCCCTCCTATCCAACCCCATAGATCCCCCACTGCTTCTTTTCCCCCTCAAGTGGAGGGGGCAGGCAAGATGGGCTCAGGGAAAGCTGGTGGTGACCCATGCACCAACTCCCCCTCCTCAGTCTCACTTCCTCTCCACCAACCTCACTGCCACTTCCTCCCCACCAACCTCACTGTCACTGCCAAGGGAGGTCAGATCTTTGCATTCCTTCCTGCTGCCCATTCCTCAAATCCTGGGAGAAACATGAATCTCTAGCTTTTTCTCTTTTCCGCCTTCACTTTAACATGCACAAGTCTTTCCTATCTTCAGCAAAACTCCTTCTTACCATCTTCTCTCTCCTTTCTTTCAGAGCCAAAATTATTGACAAAGTTGCCAAGGACATGAACGGGTAATTCATAGTAGTGAAAACCTAAAAAGCTAAAACCCTAAGAAGAGATACTCAAGCCCATGAGTAACCTGAGAAATGCAGATTAAAACAAGGAGACCCCACAGGCAAACATTAGCAAGCTGGGTCATGCTGAATATAGATGCTGATGTGGAAAGGGGCTGCCCTGTGCACTACTGGTGGGAGTGTGGACTGGCCCAGCCATTCTGGCGGGCTGTCTGCCAGGACTCAGGCAGGCTAAGTGTGGCTCTGCTCACACGGGCCTAGAAGGGGACATATGCAAGAATGTTTACTGAGGCATTGATTGTGGTGGCGGGGAGGTGGAAATAACCTGTGCGTCCACCACTGGGGCAGGGACAGGTAAAATGCAGTGAATGAACACGTGGAGGGCACATGGCAATGCTGGAGGATCATAGAAACAGTGCTGAACAAAATACACAGGAAACAGAATGAGATCTATAACATCATTTACATAATTAAAAAATATATGCATGTAAGCCAATACCCATACAAGGACATATGCAAATTAAAGGAAAACTCTTAAACACATAAAAATGGTTGTTTTTAGGTGGAGTGAAGGGAATAGAAAAGGAAAATGGAAATAAAAGGAAATCAATCCATCAACCAACCACAGAGAAGGGCCTTGGCTGGAAAATGATGATGAACTGAGAAGTATGATGACCTCAGCCCTCCTCTCCAGAGATAAACATAGATACAGTGTACTTATCTATATTCATGGTAGCTTCTAGCTTCTTCATCCCATCCTCAAGTCACTCAACTCACTGAAATCTGGCTTCCGCCCTCACTCCATGAAGCTATTCTTGCCAAAAGTCACTGATACCTCCCTTCCTTGTTACTTAAAGCAGGAGATGCTTTTCAGGTCTTATCTTACTTAGCATCATTAGGCTCTGTTGGCCATTCCAAAATTTTCTGAAATCATTTCCTTTGTCTTCCAAGACACGCTCCTTGTTCCCTTCTTAACTTTGTGGCCCTTCCTCCTTTGCCTGCTCTGTGGGCTACTCTTCCTTGGCCTGTCTCTTAAATAGTGATGCTCCCAAGTTATCTCCTGGGCCCCTCCACTTCTTCCTCTGTCTACACACTGTTCCTAGGCTATTTTCTTCACTCCCATGACTTGAATTACCATCTTATGCTAATGACTTTCAAATCTTCTGAACCCATCGTGTCCAACTGCCTTCAGAACATCCACCTAAGAAGGCCCACAAGCCCCTCATGTTCACCCTAACCCCCAGTGGAATCTATCCTCATCCTTTTCCCATTTTTCCTGCCATGCTTCCTATCTGTCAACATCCCAGCGGCCCAAACCAAAACCTCAGATCATGCTCCATGCCCTTCTTCCCTCTCATCACACCAGCCCCTTTGCTATCTCTCCAATCTCTGTTCTTCTCTATCTCCACCGCTCCCCACACTTCTGGCCACTGCCTTCTCAAGTCTAGTGGTTTCTGCTGGTCTTTGTATCTATATTTGCTCTTTGGCCTACTAAACTAGCCCATTTTCTACACTGAGGCCAGACAGGCCATCCTAGAATACAAAGACGACATCACTTACGTACTTTAACAGCTCTTCTCTATCTCAGAAGGAAGTTTAAAACCCATAATAAATCACAGACAAAGCCCTTTGTGATCTAGTCCCTCCCTGATTACTATTTCCATCCAATCCTTCCCCCCAGCTTCTCCAATACTACATCTAGCCATAGGAACTCCATTCAGGTCCCCGGCTCTCTCTGGACATGTTCTTTGCACATGCTGTTTCCTAAGCCCGAAAAATCCTCGCTCCTTTACAGAATAACTTCTTCTCTGTCAGAACTCAGCCCAGCCTCATTTCCTTCAAGAAACCTCCCACCTCTGCTGGGCGCGGTGGCTCACGCCCATAATCCGAGCACTTTGGGAGTCCGAAGCGGGTGGATCACCTGAGGTTGGCAGTTCGAGACCAGGCTGGCCAACATGGTGAAACAGAGGCTCTACTAAAAATACAAAAATTAGCTGGGCATGGTGGCGCACACCTGTAGTCCCAGCTACTCAGGAAGGCAGAGGTGGGAGAATTACTTGAACCTGGGAGGCAGAGGTTGCAGTGAGCCAAGATTGGGCCTTTGTACCCAGCCTGGGTGACAGAGCAAGAGTCCATCTCAAAAAAAAAAAAAAGAAAAGAAACCTCCCACGTCTACCACCATCCCCTGCAGTAGGTGGAGGTGGGGTGTTTCTTTTGTGTTCCCATCACTCTCATGCTCATCTTCATCAATGCACTTGCCATACTGTAGCATCATAATCTAGTTCTCTGTCTCTCCCAGACTGTAAGCTACCTGAGGTCAGGGACCATCCATATTCATTCTTCTTATCCCAACAGCCCAGCATAATGCCAGGTACATGAAATAAGCTAAAGATCGTTTGTTGAATAAATGGATGAGAACTGAGAAATGCAGAGTGCTGCTCCTTAAGAGGATAAAAGCAGTTCCCACCGAGGACACACCATGTGGAGGCCCATTTGGAGGTCAAGGTGGTGAGAAGGTTGGAAGCATAGCATGTTGCAGTAGCACCGTGAATTCATCATCAATGCCCTGACATTGTCCCTGTCACTCCTTCTGCCTCAACCACACATTGTTTTTTGTTTTTTGTTTCTTTTTTAAAACGGAGTCTCACTCTGTCACCCAGGCTGGAGTGCAGTGGCGCTATCTCGGCTCACTGCAACCTCCGCCTTCCAGGTTCAAGTGATTCTCTTGTCTCAGCCTCCCAAGTAGCTGGGACTACAGGTGGATGCCACCATTCCTGGCTAATTTTTCTATTTTTAGTAGAGATGGGGTTTCACCATATTGGTCAGGCTGGTCTCAAACTCCTGACCTCAGATGATCCACCTGCCTCAGCCTCCCAAAGTGCTGGGATTACAGTTGTGAGCCACCGTGCCACGCTCAACCACACATTGTTAACCACCTCTTCCTCTCCTGCTAGACTGTGTGGCAAAAGGGATGGGCAGTGGCAACAGGGCCCAAACTCCTACCAACTCTACAAATCTTTTTTTTTTTTTTTAGACATCGTTTCAATCCTGTTGTCCGGGCTGGAGTGCAGTGGCATGATCTCTACTCACTGCAATCCCTGCCTCCCAGGCTAAAACAGTTCTCCCACCTCAGCCTCCCAAGCGTCTGGGACTATAGGTACATGCCACTACACTTGGCTAATTTTTGTATGTTTTGTAGAGGCGGTGTTTCACCATGTTGGCCAGGCTGGTCTGGAATTCCTGACTTAAGCAATCCACCCACCTTGGTCTCCCAAAGTGCTGGGATTACAGGCATGAGCCACCGTGCCTGGCCCGAATCTCTACAAATCTTGAAATCCTTTAGAACAGCTTTGACTCAACCCATGCCTCAATTTCCTCACCCAAAAAAATTGATAAAAGCAGCAGCTTCACATGCAGAACTCTTCCAGACAGGGAAGCCCTACCTTACTTAGTTGAGAAGTCTTTTATAGTTTCTTTCTCGTGTCACAGAAATGTCAGTCTTAGAATGGTTTCCATCCATACATATTTGCCTCACAAACAAAAAGAGCTATTTTAAAAGTCTAACCTATAAATAATATATAAGTTATGGGTGCCAATTTATTTATTCATCCATGTTAGAGCTTTCAAAAGAATTAAGTGAAAATTCATCTTTTAAAAGTTGCTTGGGCCCACAAGGACTCCTGAGGGAACAGGTGCTGGCTAGAGGTTTTCTCATCCCTGGCCGGCATGCCTAGCCTGACTCAGTGGGGCTGTCCTCTGGGAACATTTGGGAACGTGCCTGCAAGAGGCAGCTTTGGTATTGAGCAAAATTAAGTCCAGCTTCTTCAGGCCCTGTAGAGTCCATTCTCTTTTTTTGAGACAGAGTCTTGCCCTGTCTTCCAGGCTGGAGTTCAGTGGTGCAATCTCTGCTCACTGAAACCTCCGCCTCTTGGGTTCAAACAATTCTGCCTCAGCCTCCTGAGTAGCTGGGATTACAGGCACTCGCCACCTTGTCCGGCTAGTTTTTGTATTTTTAATAGAGACGGGGTTTCACTATGTTGGTCAGGCTGGTCTCGAACTCCTGACCTCAGATGATCTGCCCACCTCGGCCTCCCAAAGTGCTGGGAATACAGGAGTGAGCCACCTCACCCAGCCCAGAGTCAGTTCTTGGTATGCACAATCTCCCAGGTCTGCAGGGAGAGCAGCACTCTACCACTAGAGTCGATTCAGCCCTGTGCTGGGCTCTGCTGACAGGCAGCCACTAGTTACCAGCTCCTGCTGTCGCTCTGCTGCTCAGGAGGGATATTTGGCTCTTTATAGGATTGTGTGGCAGAGCTCAGAGCTAGAAAGGGAATCTGGAACATACTAAGGCCTTTATGTATATTGTTCCATTGAATACCCACCCACACTCACAAACTGTTAGATATTATTGTTATTACTGCCATTATTATTCCCATTCTATCTAAGCAGAAGACCTAAGTTGAAATCCTGTCCTACTTAGCAGTGATGTGTTCTTCTATAGTTCACTTAATGACTCTGTATCTCAGTTTCCCTACCTGTAAAAGGAGGGGAACATCCCGTGCTACTGTGGGAGAGACTGGTGGGGTCTACCAGTATCAATATTCTGCTTTCTGCACACACAGCTTGGAGACATCTTCCAGTTGCCTTTGTGGTTAGGTGAGGCTGTGAGGTCGAATGAGCAGAAATGATGTGCACCACTTCAAGGCCTTAGCCATAAAATCTTCCCCATAATTCTTACTCTTTGCTCTAAATTCCTAGGACCTAGAGGATGGGGCCATAAGGTGGAAGGAACCAAATGTCCTGGATGACTGTTGGGAGCGTAGCCTCCCCCTCTATTTACACTGATTTACTAACCTATGATTTGGGCAAAAAATAAAATTTCATTTTGGAGTTCTTTACTGGAGCAGTTAGGGTGCCCTAATTAATACACTCGCCACCTAACACATAAAGCTGCTGCACAGATTAAATGAAGTTATATGAAAATAATGTATAAACTGTATAGTACCAGATTGCCCCAGGGTATTATTTACAAATAACATGCAGTGTCTCTCGGTACTGAGTTTGTGGGTCTGCTCAATACGCTGTCAAGGCAAAACAAAAAAAAGGGTACGGTCGGTGGGGTTTATTGTCATTTCCCCATTGCCCCTTCTGTGACCCTCTTTCTCCTTTGTCCCTGCCTCAAGCATCCCTGCACTCCTAACCTCCAAGTTGAATGACCCAAGCAGTGCTCCTTCAGACCTAGCGGCCATCCTACTTCGAAACAAACTTGACTTTGACAACCTAATTTCCTTTCGTTGTAAACTCCTTGAAGGGAAGGATGCCATTCTCACCCTGGAGGTCTTAAAAGTGCCTTGCACATGGTAGGTACTCAATTAGTACATGTTAATTGGATGGAACAGATGTAACTATCCACCTTCCTAAGGAGCCAGAGTATCCCTCTCAGGGAACACATCTGAATAAAGGCCTATGGAAATATAATACATTACTCAAAGGAGGTATGTCTTTTGAGAGAGGAAATTTAGGAGCCAAACCAGGCCAATGGGTGAGAAACGGCTGGTCAGACAGGCTATTCAGCACCTTCAAATCATGCAAGAAAGGCAACTGTCTATTGCAGCTACAGAGATAATGAGCTCTGCCCAGAGAATCCCTGAAAGATGCAAACTTCTCAATGTACAACTTGTGCTAAGAGGCAGACCCTTGGCAGGGAGAAGAAGCTGTCCAAGGTTAAAGAAAGTGGTGGGGAGGGTGTCAGAATGAAGCCCAGATTTCCTGTCTCTTGGAGGCTCAGACCTCTTAGTCTCATTGCTGGCCTCTTCATAACCAAGAGATTTGATAAATTTTCCAACCCTATTCTAGCATCTTGTATTTAATTATGGAATCAAGACAAGTACTCACAAGTAGGTTGACACTTTTATCTATTCATGAATTCAACTATTTACTCAACAACAGCACCCTACAGCCTATTACATCCTTACCTATAAATATAAGACAATATGGGCAAGATCTAAAAACATTAAAGAAAGAAACCAAAGATCTAAATAAATAGGGAAATATACCATGCCTAGGGATTGGAAGAATCAATATTGTTAAGATGTCACTTCTCTCTAAACTGATCTATAAATTCAAAGCAATGCCAGTCAAAATCCCAGGAGAACTTTTTTTGAGAAATCAACAAGCTGATTTATTTTATTTTATTTTTACTTTTTTAAGACAGAGTTTTGCTCTTGTTGCCCAGGCTGGAGTGCAGTGGTGCGATCTCAGCTCACTGCAACCTCTGCCTCCCAGGTTCAAGCGATTCTCCTGCCTCAGGCTCCCAAGTAGCAGAATTACAGGTGTCTGTCACCACGCCCGGCTAATTTTTGTATTTTTAGTAGAGACAGAGTTTCACCATGTTGGCCAGGCAGGTCTCAAACTCCTGACCTCTGGATCACCTCTGGTGATCCACCCACCTTGGCCTCCCAAAGTGCTGGGATTACAGGTGTGAGCCACCGCGCGTGGCCAACAAGCTGATTTTTAAAATTTCTATGGAAAGGCAAAGAAAATAGAATAGACAAAGCCATTTTGAAAGAAGAACAAAACTGGAGGACTTACATTACCTGATTTCAAGACTTACCACAAAGCTACAGTCATCAAGATAGAATAGTATGGCAAGAAGATAGACATATATATCAACGGAATAGAGTCCAGAGATAGATTGACATATATGGCCAATTATTTCCAACAGAGGTACAAAAACAACTTGATGGAGAAAGGATAGTCTTTTTAACAAATTCCGCTGGAACAACTGGACATCCATATGCAAAAAAAGTGAACCTTGACCCATACCACATACCATATACAGAAATTAATTCAAAATGGATTATTGATCTAAATATAAAACCTACAGCCATAAAATTTCCAGAAAAAAAATCAGAAGAAAATCTTTGTGGCATTCGGTTAAGCAAAATATTTTAAACACTAAAAGTATAATCCATAAAAGATCAGGTATCATAAAAGAAAGATTTGATCAATTTGACCATCAAAATTAAAAATGTATGAAAATACAAGCCACGGACTAGCTGGAATGTTTGCAAAACATGTATCTGATAAAGTAGTTGTATTCAGAATATATAAAAAACTCAAAACTCATCAATAAGAAAAATCTCAATTTAAAATGAGCAAAAGATTTGTACAGACGCTTTACCAAAAAAAGAAATATAATAGCAAATAAGCACATGAAAGTGTGCTCAAATTCATTCGTCATTAGGAAAATGTAAATTAAAACCACAATTAGACACCACTCTATACCTATCAGAACGGCTTTAAAAAAAAAACAATTCTGCAGTTTCTTATAAAATTAAACATACCATATTTACCATATGACTCAGCAATTGCATTGACAGGTATTACCTGAGAGAAATGAAAACATGTTCACATAAAAGCCTCTATGCAAACATTTAGGGCTGGGTGTGGTGACTCACATCTGTAATCTCAGCACCTGGGAGGCCGACGCAGGTGGATCACCTGAGGTAAGAAGTTTGAGACCAGCCTGACCAAAATGGTGGAACCCCATCTCTACCAAAAATACAAAAATTAGCCTGGGGTAGTGGCGGGTGCCTGTAATCCTAGCTACTGGGGAGGCTGAGGCGGAGAATTGCTTGAACCCGGGAGGCAGAGGTTGCAGTGAGCCGAGATCGCACCATTGCACTCCAGCCTGGGCGACACGAGTGAAACTCTGTCAAAAAATAAAAGCCTCTATGCAAATATTTATAGTGGCTTTATTTATTCTGACTAAAAATTGGAAACAATAGATAAACCGATTGTGGTACACTTACAAAACGGACTACTACTCAGTGGTAAAAAGGCAAGAATTGATATATGCACAACATGAATGTATCACAGATGCATTCTGCTAAGCAAAAGAAGCTGGACTCAACAGGCTGCTCACTGTCTGATTAAATGCATACGCTGTCCTAGAAAAGGCAAAACTATAGGGACAGGAAATAAATCAGTGGTTGCCAGGGGTTAGGATTGTAGGGTTGGGGAAACGAGTTGACAGAAAGGAGCATGAGGGAATTTTGGAGGCTGATTTTGATGATGGTGATACAAGTATATATATTTGTCAAAACCTATAGAAATTTACACTAAAAATAGTGAATTTTACTGTATGTAAATTATGCTTTGATAGACCTAAAAGCAACATATTAAAACTAAAATTATAAATAAACATAAATGAAAAGATTAAAAGCAAATAATTATGAAGCACCTGGCAGTCCCATTGCCATAAACTGCTCTGATGAGAAAAATGTAGAATTATTATAATTTATTTTTAAGTAATGCAAGAGTTTTCTTGAGCAAGGTTCTATAATGGAATTTTATGAATTCTTTCCTGAGGTAGCCTAACACGTGGTACAAATAATGATACAACAAGATAGAGCTATGCAAGTGTCAAGAGAGAGGCATAAATAAGTGCCATAGAATTTCAGAGGCAGAGAGAATACTTTAAGCTACAGAAATTAAAGAAGCCTTCATGGAAGAGATGGCATCTGAGTTGGGTGCTGATAAAAGGGAATGATGATCTTTATTGTCTATGTAAACAATGTCTATCAGAAAGTTATCTCCTGCAATTTCTCCCTGATCCTCTTATGACCCTGTGAGACAGGTGGGAAAGGTACTATTAATTTCAGTTTCAGTTAAACAAACTAAGACTTAGAGATCAAGTTCCTTTCTTGGCAGAACCAACGCTTGAACTCATGTCTTCTGAGAGTTTGTTATATACTCTGCTCCATGATGTACCCATTCAGAGGAAAAGCTGTGCCTTTTCAGAAGATGGGGAAAGACTGCCAATGGTCCATTTCCACCTTAGGATCCCTCCAAGTGAATCAGCTACTTCTCACCTTTCTCCTGGCCATTGAGAATACTCCACGAGGCTAACATCCTTATTTGAGCCTTTCCTGCTTATGAAAGCAAAAGCCAAGAGAGCAAAGACTTTTTGTGACATTCGTTTAGATTCACGCTTTAAAGGTCTCAAAGCATCTTTTATAAATACTAAAAAAGCAAAAGTCTTGAAAGTTACAAGGACTGCCGCAAATGCATGGTTAAATACGTAATCCAGAAATCATGTAAGATGCAACCTCAGAACTTGTGGAGTGAATTATTAAAGCTGCACTCATTCTTGCAGTGGACCAGTTCCCAGAAAGAACTATGAGGCTATTCTAAGAAGCCTCTTGCTACCTGAAGGAGCGAACCTATTCACACACCTCACCTGGCTGAGCTGTGACCCACAGAGCCCTTTCTTCACCATCCCTTCACCATCCCCACACACTTACTGAGCTCCTTACTTCTGGAGTCTGTCAATGTGATCAACACTGGGCTACACAGAAGGGAGATCAGCAATAGAGCAGAGTCCTCAAGGGAGGAGACCACAGGACAGAGAGGTGGATAGGGCCTGTACGACTTGCTGCTATTGCCATACAAGACAGTACCATTATAAACATCAATTTAATTAACCAAATATTTCCCAAAGGGATGTTATATATGTGTTCCTTAGCCTCAAGGAGCTTATAGTCAGGAAGGTAATTTAAACATTTCTTATCGGCACAGCTGGAAAAACTGCTTTTCTCTGTGCTCCAGTTTCCTCACCCAGTTAAAAGTAAATTTCTCCAGCTATGAAGCTATTGTCATTGTGTATTTATTGAGAGTTTACCTTGTGCCTGGCATTGGATTTTGTAAACCCCATTACATTGACTCCTCAGAACAACGCTGAGTACAAGCCACTCTCCTTATCCCCATTTTATGGGTCAGGAAACTGAGGCTTAGAGGGTTCAGTGACTTGCCCCAGTACATCAGCCTGTAAATGACAGAGCCAGGATTCAAACGCAGGCAGTCTGAGTCAGAGCCCCTGCCCTTACCTCCTGTGATCACTGCCCTGTCAACCCAGCCAGACCCAAGCCCTCTGCAGGAAGGAATGTGGAGATCAAAGGAGTGGGAAGGTTATAAACAGTTTTTAAATCATCTGAGACGAATTCTTCCACATCTAGCTCAACACCAGGCAACAAGAGCATCAAGAAAGGCAACAGGAAAGAAAGATGATCTGCACTGGAGGCCCAGGAGGCTCTTCAGGGTCACAGCTAATCCACGCCCTGAGATTTCAAAACACAGAATGCACTGGGTCTCTAGCCTGCGTCAGATCCACATTTCTTGTGAGGATTGCCAAGCACTTTTTCCCCCAAATCGACACAGACATGGAGAAGATAGGAAAGCATTGTGGGTAACGTTCCCAGGACAGACCAGTGGCAGAGTCAGAGGGAAATGTCTACGTCTAATCTCCCAGCTGCCCTCTGACATCCCATATATATATATATATTTTTTAAGGGTCTTTCTTTAACACAGCACACATTTACCTATTTGCAAAAGAAGGGAAACCCCCGCGTATGGAACCAGAAGAGGGTTTCTTGCAGAAGGTGCCCCAAGGTGTTGCAGTTTGATAACGCTCTCCTCATATCTGTTAAAGAGCGCGGCAAATGTTATCTGGAAGCAGCCGGGACAAGAGCACCCCCAGTTCTGAGCACAGTAACTGGGCTACTCAGAAGTTCCACTGAACGGCATGTCAGTGCCTTACCAATAGTCACACTGAGCTGCTTGCAAAGTAACTGCCACCACATTCCTTTCTTAAAGTGGCCTGATTCCAAAGAGCTTGCCTAGAGCAAGGGGCAGAAGAGCTGCCAAGTGCCTGCCATTTCCAGGAAGGCGCGTGTGCGGGGCCATGGTGGTGGACACATAAGCCAGCATAGGTCATTTGAAAGGTGCAGAGAAGTGAGTGGTCATTGCTAAAATAGTCTGCAAGCAACTCTAAAATGCTCGCCACATCTCGTTTCCTAGTACATGGTAGCAGTACTCCTTCGTTCAGCAAGGGCTGGAGCCAGTTTCCAGAAAGAGCCAGAGGGTAGCAGGCAGGGGATTTCATGGCAGAAATAGTAGACTAAGGTAACTTTGATCCGGGGACGTGAACCAGGCAGTAGGGGGTAGTGGTTAGGTATATCTGGAGTTAGAATGCCTGGGGATGTCTCTGGACTTAGCCACTTAGTAGCTGGGAGCCCTAGGCCATTTACTTATAGTCCGTAAGCCTCTATTTCTTCATCTGTAAGATGAAGTTAGTAATAGTCATCACCTCACAGCACTGCTGTTTGGATCAAATGAGATAATGTATTTAAAGTCCTTAATAGCGTGTCAGACACGGAGTATACAGGCTCTGAATCTGTGTGGTCTACAAACATTGCTCTAAGGTTGCTGCTGTTTCCACAGCTCAGAAGAACAAATTGTTAGCCCCTTTTGTGCCTCAGTTTCTCCAATTATAAAATAGCAACTACACCCCCCTCTACTTGTGGCACTTAAAAATGGGGACATATAGGCTGGATGCAGTGGCTCCCAACACTTTGGGAGGCTAAAGCAGGAGGACCACTTGAACCCAGGAGTTTGAGACCAGCCTGGGAAACAGAGAGACCCTGTCTCTATAAAAAATAAAAAATTAGCCAGGCATGGTGGCACACACCTATAGTCTCAGCTATTTGAGAGGCTGGGGTGGGAGGATCACTTGAGCCTGGGGCTGAGGCTGCAGTGAGCTGTGATCACACCACTGCACTCCAGCCTGGGTGACAGAATGAGACCCTGTCTCAAAAAAAAAGGGGGAGGGAAGACATATAGAAGTAGAAACTTTTTATCATCAGACATAGGCTATCCAGCGTTTACATGGGTACTGGCCATCTTGCCCTTTTTGGGCATCTGTGTAGATTCTGTAAATCCTGGATGACAGGTTTCTGATGAAAACAAATAGCCTATATTTTGTGCTTCTCAAGGCTTTTACAGGGCCAGGAGAAGACACGCAGAGGCAACCACATCTCTTCTGTGATGCCTGAGACACGTCTACAGAAGAGATGCTTGGGGCAGGATGCAGAGCAGTCACGCAGTTACTACTCAAGGTCTGTCATGTTGTTGCCCCCTCATTTCCCTCCATAAAAAGGGGAAAAGATGTTTTTATACTTCACTGGGGAAAAAAAAACCCAAACCAATGTTTGAATGTTTGCCACCATTCTTCACAACAAGCAAAGCAGTAAATTCCTTACTCTCTCATTTTCACTTGGTCACAGCCCCATCGCAGCTCCCTTGTTTCCATCACAACCCTTAGTCTCCGGTAGTAGGAAAAAAGGCATGAGTGTGACATTTTGTCAAGGGTTAGGACAGGCTTTAGTCTTGCTCTGGCGGCTGCTTTCTTTGAATAAAGGCCATCGCTGTCAAGCCAACCTGAGGACCACGACTGGGAGAGAAGAGTGGGTGTGAACAGACGGGAATGCTGCCTGCTCACCTTGGCAACACCCCTTGCCAGGCTTGGAGCATAGCAATAGTCACCGCCTGCTCTAAGCATTAGCCCATGTGCCTTGCCCTGAACCATTCTGTGCTCAATGCAGAATTTACCCATTCTCCTGACTGGACTCTCTAAGCACCATCACCACCACCAGCCTCCCATCCCAGCACAGAGCTGTGCATTAGCCTATGTTCACACAGGACCATTGTTAATTTGGGATATTTCCTTTCAGCCACCCTAATGTGTTTTATCAAATTGTTTTTAATTATAAAAGTGACATATGCCAGGTCTTTAGCAAATCCCAACAAAAAAAGGCTACAGTTGAGATCCAACAAGAGTGGACCTACCCATCCTCAAAATGGTACACCCAGGCTGGGTAGAGAATCTTCACGAAGAATGTGATGGCCATGATCTCCAAGAGTGCTTAGCAGGAGTCATGGAGAAAAAAAAAATGAGAGCTAGAAAGCCCAGCCTGTCTTTATTATTATAGTTACCCTTGACTGCCAGCAAATGCACGTCCTCAGTTGTGAATTATCCACCTATGTGTGAAGGGACCAGGTCCCAACACACAATAGGAATTTATATCCCCAACAACAGACATTTGTAGAATACCATCACCCCCAACAACGAAACAACCATGTTTAGTGAGTACTTAGAACATGTGAGGCACCATGCTAAGTGCCTGACATACATACCTCCTTTCATCATCAGTGCTCTCCTGTGAGTGATTTTCACTTCTCCATTTTATAAATGAAGAAACTGAAGCTCACAGAAGTTAAGCTACTTGCCCAAAGTCACACAACTGTGAGAAGCCTGATGCCGGTCTGACAGCAGAACTTTAGGATGAATTGTCTCTAATGATAAATTTCAGCTTTGTTAATAACAGTCCAGCAATTCACATTAACATTTAGCAGGGCTTTAATTGAAAAGTAACATGAAGAAGAGGCTATGACTTCCCAAAAACACCTACTCTTTGCAAGTCAGATTTACTATTCTCCCCAACTCCCTATCCCATTTCTACTAAAAATAGCCCAACATTTCCAAAATACATCCAAATCACATTCCAGAGATTCCACCTGATCTCAGTGTTTGGAAAGATGTCTGCCTCCCATTCCCTTTGTGATCGCAGCATGCAACTTTGGAGATGGAGAAGAAGATGATCTTCCTAAAACTTCTGAGCATTTCATATTGTTAACCTGACCAGAAATAAGACCCAGAATCTCAAGTCTTTGAGCTCTTGCTCTCACTGCATACAATACTTCCTTGTTAAAGAGAGAGATGGACATGGAAAATAAGCAAAGCACTGAGAAATGAAAGATCCAAAGTAATCCATAACCAAACCAGGCTAGACCGGCTATACAGAATCAGCTCCTCCTATCCTCACTATCTGGGCATGGCAGAACTAGCCTGCTCCCTGTCATTATCTCTTTTATGCCCTACACAGTTTGCTACACCCACTGCATGTGGACATCCTTATCAGAAAATAGCCACTTAGCAAGTTTTTTCCTTTGAACAGAAGTAGCCGCTTAGCCCGCCAAAAGATTGGTAGTTCTGTGTGTGCCCATTGGTACAAACATTATAAACACAGATGTAAAGCTCATGAATACAGAACAGATACTGGCTGTGTGGCACAAGTGGCTGTGTGCCTTTGGAAACTATAAGCCTATTTACAAGTTATAATCTTAGCCCTTTGATGAAAATACCTGCCAGTCTCCTCATCTCCATCAATTAGAAAAAGAGAACCAAACTGGAATATGAGTGATGAATTCATCCCACAAATATCTTCTGAGCACTGCGTTGAACTCTCAAACTTAAAGTTTTACCAGACTATAGGACTGTAGAGATGAAAAGCAAAAGGTTGTGACACCAGTATCAGGAGACAGCAGGATCACCCAACTTACAAAGCTGCCAAGCTATTCCAGCCTTTGACAATAGGAAATTATCATGTTTTAGGGATTAGAAGTTTCCCTGTGTGTTTCCCCAACTTTGTGAAATGAGTTCTGCCATGGGCTCGCCTAGTCTCTTCATTGTTGAGTCAAATTATTTTCGACTCTTTTAAAATGTTATCATTTTAATTTTTAATGTGTGTGTGTGTTATTTATGAAACACATTTCATGGTCAGGCATTTTGGGCCAATATTGACTTTCCAAAAAAAACCCGCTCTACATTTTATGCATAAAGTAGGTAGAGTATGGAGTTCAGATGAAATTTGTAATGACTTCATGGTCCTTAAAAAACTGAAAATCACCAGTGTGAAGCACTGTTGCAACCACAGCCTAATGCACCCAGTGAAACACTAGAAGCTACATTCCTGTATCACCCCTGTGATCAGGATGAAAGCAGAGAACTGCTACTCCCGACTTGCGGTGAGTAACTTGATTATAACGCATCAGGATGACTGGAATTCCCTTCTCCCTACACACAGAAGCCCGATCTCAACAACAGAACAAAGACTACACGGTAATTAAAAACTCTGCCCCAGAAGTAGAGTGGACTCATTCACCTTAAACCCTCTGAAAGGGTCAGAAAACATCAGGAGGGGTAGGAGGGGCAGGGGGGATTGTAAAGACCCCAAAGCTGGGTTATATATTATATAGGCTGCATATACAAGGCTAATAGGGCCTCATACTTTGCAGAATGTGCTCAGCTAAAGGGGCCAAGACAGCACACAGCTGCAGAAAGCCTGCACAGATATAGAGAGAGAGCACCTAGGTGCCTGAAAGGGCAGCAGAACGCATAGGTCGTCAGTATTTGTACCTGGATGACAGCATGAGGCAGATAAATGTACGCACCTGTGTTGTGGCAGCTGATTAATTCAATTAATATTTATTGAGCACCTGCAGGACTCATGGCAGCATACTGTGGGCAAGAAAGACAGTGTCTCCCGCCTTCAAGGAACTCATGATCTCATTACAGTAAGACAATGAGTTACTGTCACTGGGAGATGATATAACTGAGTATATTCAGGTACTGTCTGGATCATATACATTCATGTCTTGTTTAAATTGGGTCTAAATATATGTCAGAAAGGGCCTTTGTCCCACTGATCCTTCACATTCTTGGATGCTAACAGTAGAAGTCAACTGAACTATCAGATTCCAATCTGCTCTACAGTTTAGCTGTTAAGGTGAGAGAGAACATCAGGAGCTCCTTCCACGGCCTCAGAGCAGAGGAGTGGTTCATGTGGGAAGGGAAGGTACCAGCAACACGGCATCAAGCTTGACAGTGGTCCACAGCCAGCCCACTAAGCTATCAGAAGCCAGTCGCCCACCCATACTGCCTCCATCCTCATGTTTCTCAACAGTCATAAAAGCCCCTTGTCTATGTGTAGCTCCACCTCGGGGTGTGATTTCCTCAGTTGTTCACTGGCATAGAAGCCTCAAGCCCAGTCGGCTCTTGGTCCAGGACCTAATCTTCAAAGCTCCAGAAAATTAAAACAGAATTTCACTAGGAAACAGTGACCCCAAAGGCCAGCGAAGACAGCCCAACTTGGCTGTGGTCTTCTTTCCTAAAACACATCAAAGGCCAAAATCCTGGCCATGTGAGAACACGTGCTCCATCCACATGAAAAAGAATGGGCGGAACAAATCAGACAGCCCTCTTCCAAGTGTCGTATCATGTCTCAGGCTAAGAGGACCCCGATGTGGGCATCTAGGGGAGAATTTTCCAACCTGTGTCCAGTGGGAATTGGAGGAGGGGGTAGACGTGTAGGGAAAAGCCTATTTATCTATCCTTCAGGTACCTTCCCAGGTTGGTGCTAGCTCCTTTCAAGCTACATTGGCTTTGGATCAGAACGTCAACTCAGAAGAAGAAATCCAGGGCCTGGGAGCAACCACCACACTCCTAAGCCAGAACAGTGAGCAGGACTCCAGAAAGTCTGAGATGAGAGCACTGACTACCATGAGACACCAGCCAGCTGGTGGGAAGTGCTGACCTGTTATATTCCCTTCCTTTTCCAGCCAGATTCTAAATAAACCACTTGAAACTCATTGCAGAGTTCATGCCTAACACAGCATGCCACCCTTTGCTGTCGTGTCAGCCAGCACAGAGCAGCTCTTGGGAAGCATGCCTTATTTCCTCAATGCTCCATGTGCCCCCCACCGCAAACCCCATCCGGAGTGAGACAAAGGGAGGCACTCCACACCTCCGCTTCCTCCACTGTCCGTGGCCAGGTGATCGCATGCATCCTTCACCTGTGAATGCCTTCATCCCTCTCATCTGTATCCTCATATTTATGCTGATCAATCATACAAAGCTGCTTTTCACTGTCTCCTGAGAATAGGGGAGTCCATGGCCCTCTTTGATTATCTCTTCCAGCGACTCACCATCTTCACATTTAGAAGTTTTATGTTTCACTTTCATTCCTTCCCTGCCATTTAAATCTACTTTTTAAGAAACACCACCACATGATGGCTCCTCCCATTTTACCTTCCACAAAGGTAGAAATCTGTTTAGAGGCATACACTTAGGGAGGACACTCCTACTCTTTTTGCTTTCTGGTGTCATGATCCAAATCTCTTTTGCTTTTTATTGTGGAGACCATTTTAAAAAATCACATTAATTTTCTTTGTTCTCGTTAACACCCACTCCAAATTCTCCTCATTTGTCTCTAATAGGAGCTCCTAAATGAGACTCAAGCCTGTGTAGAGAGCTGGCCAGATGTTCTGAGAGGATGACCTCATCGTTTCTCTCTTGCTGATGGTACCATTTTCAATATTGCTATTACATCACTTAGTCATTTTCAGCTCATGGTTGAAATAAGTAGTTGGTACTGAGGCACAATAAACCTCTGATATTCAATTTTCATCAATATTGTTGATAAGTTAATTATTGTGCATATTACATCGCTGAATTACAAAACTGCAAGATAGCTCCACAAGTTAACTAATTTATCACTCATTCACCCACTAACACACAGAGAGTCCAATAGCTTTTACCTTATTTACTACTTTCCAATTTATGCTCCATCAAGGTAGCTTTTGGTTTAATTATAGCTTATAGGGGAATTCCAACATTTTCAAAAATACTTTATGAAATTAGAAAAATAGAAAGATAAATAAGGGCTAGTTGTTTAATAGCCACATAATACTCTTGACTTATGTAATCATATTTATATTAATAAAAATCAATTGACTTTTAATGAGCACCTATGTGCATGTCCTACACTAAGCATTAAGGAGGATACATCCCCTACACTCACAGAGCTTTGAGTCTAAGTTCAGAGACATCATATGGATCATAATCCCTTATTTGCAACTATTCTCCCCAAAAGCTCTGAAAGAAGATTTTTTTAAATAATTAATTTGGCAGTAAAATATGCCCTGAATAGGTTAAGTAGGTTAAGTTATAGCCTTTATTTATCCTCCTTTGTGTAAATATTCATTAGTTTTGCTGCAAAAATAATAACATGTTTGATTATGGGATGCTGTCCCAAACACCATATAATGTTTCCAAATTTAAAACGTTCTGAATTTGAAAACACATATCCTCAATTGGCTTCAAACAAGAAACCACGGACCTGAAAATGAGATGAAAAGGGAAATGGCACAAGCCAAAGTTTCCCCACTGCCTGAGTGGGGGACTAGACGAGAGGTGGGTTAGCCCTGTTACTCTATTAGTTCTCAACACTATGTCTAAAAAACTACTTTATAGGTAGCAAATGTGTCACAGCAATGTTTATATTAACCTAGTCCCTTCAAGAAAAGATAGGGACAATGGCAAAAATATAATTGGATATTCTGGCCCTGTTTTACTAAACCTTGGACACTTCATCCTAACTCAACTCAGACAAAACAATATTTGTGCATCTCCTCTTTTAGAGCAAAATTTTACATTTTCACCTGCTGAATAGAATCTTCCTCATTTCAGGTCATTTCTCCAACTCCAATGTCAGGGATTCCCATCTCACTCACTGAGATGAGGGCCATTCCTAGTATGAAGTCACCTTCAGAGTAAAGTAAGGACATTTTTTGTTTTAATCCACCAAAAGTCACCTTTGTTGTCACTATAATCAGGAGGCTGTAAGAGGGGCTATGTGGCTACTAACACTCTACTCAACTTAACTACAGCAAGGAGTACCTGAGTGCTCTCATCTGCAGACCCTTGGTCTAGAGTATTAACCCATCTTATGCCGCATGGGCTGTACTCTTCAAAGACAAAGTTCAACATATCCTGGGGCCTTTGGAGCACTCATTCCACCTGTGGCAGAGCTTAAAGCTGCAGGATTATTACTATAGACCAGGAGGGGTCAAAGGATAGCCCCCAGTATGTTTTGCACGGCTACGATCCACATTTTTAAGGACTGTAAAACAAACTAGAATATGTGACAGAGACTATCATATGCAGCCACAAAGCTGAAAATAGAAACTGCCTAGCCCTTTATAGAAAAAGCTTTCTGACTTCTGCTTTTTACCTGTGAAGAGGACAAGAAGGACTGACTGTTCATATGCCTACTAAGCATCGGATGCCTTACTCAGTGCATCACCATTGGGACACAGGACAGGGGACGTCAGGTGGGTGAATGAGTGGCCTCCAAAGGAGTGGTAGGATAAGGGCCTCCCCAGAGGCTGTCCACACACACCTGTGGATGGCTTCTTCAGAATCCCACCATGGGACTCTCCAGAAGGATTTCAGAACCACTGTAGTTGATTCAACCTCAGACTTGATTTTTCAAAAAGCCCACGTTTTCTGATAGTTCCTCCCATTACATCCAGACAGACATATTGGCCAACATCCTCAAGTTTCCAGCCCCTCACAAGGGCCCCCTCACAAACCCTGGCTTCTTTCAGAGCCCAGACCTGTGCTGTCATCATGGCCTGGGCTAAGGCACGAGTCCCCTGCCTCTTGTCCGCCCAACAATGAAGAGTTCAATTCTTGGGAGAAGTGAAATAAGTAGAATGCCAACAATTCCTATTTTCTTCCCATGATTTGGGTTACTTGTCATCGTGAAAATGGTGCAGTAAGTGATGTGATTTATGGTGACTCCAGCCTTCCTTTCTTCGTGATCTCCATTCCCAATGATTCCACAATTCTTCCTCTCTCTTCCCCTTCCTTTTCATTCTGTCAAACTCTGTTCTTCTGAAGTATAGTGACAGCCAGAGTTTGATGTACTCCCATTCTCATTCAACAGGGTGACAACTGAAGGACCAGCTCATTGCATGCAGTCTTTCAGACATTAGAGAAATAGAAGGACTAAGCTGGCCCCAATCCAGGTCTTCTTTCTGTCTATGTACATGTCACATTCTTTATGAACCTGACACAACTTCCCAGGTAACAGCCCAGATTATACAGAAATGTCCAGAGAGACCCACTGCTTGCCCTGTTAGCCACTTTTAGATTCTTTTTACTTTCCAAGGACAGAGAACACTACAGACCCAGTGAGCAACACAAAGAAAAAAACAGATTCATAGTTTTAAAATGTTCAATTATGTTATTTCCGCTAGTGGAAACGCAGTACAAGGATTAAGAGGCAGGGCTATGAGCAGATTTCCTGTGTCATGGGTTCAAATTCCAGCTCTGCCACTTACTGGCTGTGTAATCTTGGACAAAATAGCCTCTCTGTGCCTTTATTTCTTCACCTATAAAACAAGGATACTAACATTATCTACTTTATGGAGTTGTTGTGAATATTAAAGACTTCATATATGGAAAATACCCAGAACAATGCCTAGCACCCAGAAAGAGTTAATATCAGTAGCAGTAGCAGTAGCAGTAGTAGTAGTAGTAGTAGCAGTAGCAGCAGCAGCAGCAGTAGTAGTAGTAGCAGCAGTACGAGTTTGTCCTTCAATCCCATTATTTGGGCTCATTCACTCTTTCCCTTAAAAGGCATGTTGTGTGCCAGGCCCTTTGCTAGGCATGAGGGTTACGAAGATGATATAAACCTGCTGGATAAAGAAAATGTGGTACATATACACCATGGAATACTATGCAGCCATAAAAAGGAATGAGATCATGTCCTTTGCAGGGACATAGATGGAGCTGGAGCCACTATCCTCAGCAAACTAACGCAGGAATAGAAAACCAAACACCGCATGTTAGCACTTGTAAGTGGGAGCTGAACAATGAGAATATATGGACACAAGGAAGGGAACAACACGCACTAGGGCCTGTTGTGGGGGGTGGAGGGGGGAGGGAGAGCTAAAGGAAAAATAGCTAATGCGTGCTGGGTTTAATACCTAGGTGATGGGTTGATTGATATGTGCAGAAAACCACCAGGGCACACACTTACCTATGTAACAAACCTACACATCTGGCACATGTACCCCGGAACTTAAAATAAAAATATTTAAAAAGCCCCCAGTAGCTTGCAGTTGAGTATTTGAAAAGTTGTAAAAACAGGCTAGGTGACAACGAGGAAAGGGAAGTACCTGGGGTTTCATGGGAGCAGAGTAGACACACAGAAGGCCTTCTGCAAGGGTGGACGATGAGTGGGGATCAGAGCTGAGCCTTTGGGAGGAACAGGAGTTATCCAGGCACACTTGGGGGTGATGGAGAAGTGGAGCCAGGCACAACAGGGAAGTAAGAGGAAAGCATATGTGGAGGCATGGAAGGATGGAAGAAACAGCCTGGAGATCCTGGGAAACTGCTACCAGTTCAGAGAGGGGTGAGAGATAAGGCTGGGGGCCAGACAAGGGGAACCTGAGCAGTGGGGAGTCAGTGAAGGGTGCTAAATGGAACAGCATGGCTAGGCTTGCCTTCTAGAAAGATCCCTTTGGCAGGCATATGGAGTGATGGATTCAAAGGGGAAGGGACAAGATTACAGGCAGGGAACTGATTAGGATGTCACTGCAGTAACTGAGACAAGAGACGGTGTGGGCAAGACTCAGGACTTTGGTAGCCAAGATGGTGGGGAGCAATCAGCTTACAAAACTATGTAGGATACTGGTAGGTGAGTGGAAATAGCAAGTGAGAGAAAGGGAAGAGCCAAGAATGATTTCTCAAGTGGATGATGGTCCTATCAACCAAGGTAGTGATTACAAGACAAGGAGGAAGTTTAGCGGGGATAAAGGATGAGTTCAATGGGTCAGAATTTCATAGCAAGCCCTTACCCTGTGCTCACCATAATGTTAGGTGTTGGGATGCAATAATGAAGCAAAATAGACAGGCTTTCTGCTCTCGTGGTACTTTCAGTCCAGCAAGGAAGACAAATAGCCAGTGAATTATTACAAATAATTATAATTTACACATTGCAGAGTGCTGCCGAGGAGACGTATAGGTACTAGGCAAGCATTAACAGGGAGGTTTTCACTAGCTTGGGGGATGTGGGGAGGCTTCCCTGAGGAAGTAGCCTTTAAATGGATACCTATGGGACAAATAAGAGACAGGCAATGGGACAAATAAGAGACAGGCAAAGAATGGGGAAAGAGCATGTGCAAAGCCAACAGTAAAAGTCCTGGACATCCCATGGGATATCTGGGTGGAAATGCTTAACCTGAGGCTGGGTACCCAAGTCCTGAACCTGTGGAAATGAATGGCTGGAGACCAGAGAAATTTAGAGTCATTATCAGTAAATAGGTGGTAGCAGGAACACCAAAAGGGGCCAAGATTGTCCCCAAAGAGGGTTTAGGCTGCCCAGAATAGGAGCTGAGGGTGAACCCTGGAGAACCTCTTCCTCAGGATATGCCCAGGAAGCCATCAAAGAACAAAGCAATTTAGGAGATAACCATATCAGGAAGCCTCAGGGGAGGAAATTTCCAGAAGCAAGGAGCAAACAACACTGTCCCATATCCCAGAGAGCCTTAGTGATTCACAGCTGGTGACCACAGGGAGAACAGTTTCAGTAGGGCACGGGGACAAGAACCCATGGCAGCAGGGAGTGGAATAAATCAGAGTACAACGAAGAATGTAGCCCATTCCTTCAAAATGTTTGATGGGAGAGGGTATGGGGCTTTGAGGGGGAGCAGACAGGCATGCAGGGCCAAGGGACAGTTGTATTCAATGGGAAAGACCTGAACTTATCTATAGGCAAGAGTGAAACAGCAAGAGAGAGGGAAGGATTGAAGATGCAGATGTTCTGTGCAGCCCTGAAGTGTTTGGGAACATTTCTTGTGTCTACTGGCCTAGGATCTCACACATATCAGGAGCTTAGTAAAATTTAACACTTATCATTGGTATGACTCAAGAGACATTTATTAAAAATTTTTTTAGATACTTATCACTGGCCAGCCGCGGTGGCTCACGCCTGTAATCCCAGTACTTTGGGAGACCGAGGCAGGTAGATCACCTGAGGTCAGGAGTTCAAGAACAGCCTGGCCAAAATGGCAAAACCCCGGCTCTATTAAAAATACAAAAATTAGCTGGGCATGGTGGCAGGTGACTGTAATCCCAGCTACTTAGGAGGCTGAGGCAGAAGAATCACTTGAACCCAGGAGGCAGAAGTTGCAGTGAGCCAAGATCGTGCCACTGCACTCCAGCCTGGGCGACAGAGTGAGACTCCGCCTCAAAACAAAACAAAACAAAACAAACAAACAAACAAACAAAAAACCTTATCACCGGGCAAAAACAGTCAATAGTTTTCCAAACTCTTTTTTTTTTTTTTTTTTTTTTGAGATGGAGTCTCACTCTGTTGTCCAGGCTGGAGTGCAGTGGTGCGATCTTGGCTCACTGCAACCTCCGCCTCCCAGGTTCATGCCATTCTCCTGCCTCAGCCTCCCGAGTAGCTGAGACTACAGGCACCCGCCACCACGCCCCACTAATTTTTTGTATTTTTAGTAGAGATGGGGTTTCACCGTGTTAGCCAGGATGGTCTCGATCTCCTGACCTCATGATCCGCCCGCCTCCGCCTCCCAAAGTGCTGGGATTACAGGTGTGAGCCACCGCGCCCGGCCAGTTTTCCGGAATCTTGATTGGAGACAGCTCTGTCTCCACTAGATGGTCCAAATCTGGACTCTCTATATTAGTTCTGCCTCAGCTAGTCGTGTAGGATTTCCATTTGCTGGGCCAAGCTGGGCCCAGAAAACCACATGGGTGAGGGGAAGGCTCCTCGGATTACACCCCATCCCATCCTCCAGGATGCCGGCAGGCCAAGGCCTCCAAGGCCTTGCCCTTCATTGAGGGGAAAACTGAGAAACTTGGTATTATTTCCTGGTGAACAAAGTAGTAGTGCTACCTCACCCCAGAAACTCCCCTACAAATGAGTTCTCTGTGCACAGAGAGGCTGGCTGGGAAGGGCTGCTGATGCCCCTCCAATGGGCCAGGCTCCATGATCACCCCTTTCAGGAAGTGGCGCCTGAATGAGATCATCCTTGGGGCCCTTGCCCTTAATTTACGGCAACTCGCCGGAAAACAAGTGCCTTTCACAACCACTCTGTGGTCAAATGACAGCAGAGACACCTGGAACCACTTGGCTCTCTGGAAGAGAAGGGTGCCCAATGCGCCAGTTACCAGGCAAAGGGCCTCCCAACCAGTGAGGAGTGACAGACAAAATAAAAAAGCAGCAAAGCTAAGAAAAGCAAAAACAGAACGAAAGGGAAGGAAAGACAGTCAACAAGGTGTCCATGTGAAGACAAAATGTCTAGCAAGAACTATTCCTCTCGCAACAGGGTGGATCAACAGAGGACACCAGCCTAGAGATCTATTCCCAGAGTAGAATGCACTCAAAACACCATTCTTTATGAAATAGGAAAATGACACTCTAAGAAGTTATTCTTTATGGCTTGGGGAAATGAAAAAAGAGAAACCGTATTAGATAAAATATTTCCATCACAAGACACCAAATATTCATCATCCCTTGTGTTCTAACATGACTTAATTTTTTTATTATTATTATTATTTTTAAATCTTTTCATATACGTTGACCAGGCTGGTCTCGAACTCCTAGGCTCAAGCAAACCTCCCACCTTGGCCTCCTGAAAAACACAATGTAATTCCTGAGAGAAATGTGGATCTTCTTTTTAAGTGCTTCCGGATTTGGATTTTCCACTCAATTCCTCTTGTTGATATTGGAACCACAAAATTCATGAAAAATAAATATACAGCAGAGAAAGAAACTGGAGGGCTGGGGCCAGAGTGCCTGAGAGCACCAGCAGGGGAGGTGTTCCAGGCATGTGGTCTGCCTCTTCTCCACCAGATTGCCTTAGAGGAGCCTCTCTCGAGCCTCCACCCCTTCCTGTAGGGCTGGAGCAGGAGGCTGGCATCACAGCACCAGGCACTCTGGTAGGACACCTGCTCAGTGCCACTGAGAGGCTCACAGGGCTGGGCTGCAGTGCAGAGCTGCGGAAGCACTGGCTGAAGCCCAGGCTCCGGCCCGAGGAGTGAGGCCTGGCAGATGGCAAGGACACACACAGCCCAGCTGGCCCCAAGCCTCCTTGCCTGGTTCAGGGGAGGGAAGAAATGGGAGGAAAAGAGGTTAAGAAAAAGTGGAGGTTTCAGAAAAGAAAGCAATGTGCTAATGCTGGGTTCTGTAGCTCCTGCTGGCTTAAGCAGACAAAGCACAGTAAGGCCCAGAAGGCTGTCTCTCCAGGAATCTCGCTTCAGTTTTACAAGGCAGCTCACTTCCTGAGAAAGGAGCTTCCCAACGCTCATGTTAAAGGCCAAGAGTCCTTCCCAAACCTCCCTCACCAGGACTCTTCACAGCTGCCACCTGAGAGGGAGGATCCTTCTGTAGGGAGAGAGGAGCTCACTGCTAAGTTCCTCTTCTTCCATGAGACTATCCACATTCTCAGAACAGCTGAGCTGCCCCTGAGCCATCAGCATCATGCCCCTAAGATGCTTAGCCAAGTTCAGCAAGGAAGCAAGAGTTTCAAGGTTTGGAAGGGAAAATTCAGTCCTGCTAACTTTGGGATGCTCTGGGCAAGTCATCTTCCTCACCAAGCCTTCTTCCATTTGAAAAGGAAGAGATGATACTACCCAACTTGCCTGCAAATGGATTAGCCAGGGCAAACTTTGCAAATCAAATGCCTTTGCATTCATTAACGCCTCCCAGGCAGAACGTACCCTCCCTAGGGCAATGAAATGTTCCCAAGGTTTACGGAGCTCAGAAACTCTCAAGGGAGAAGGGCGGGAGTCCTCAAGAATTTGTTTCTTGTTTGGTCTCAGAGGAGGGCAACTAAGCCCCAAGTGTGGGAGAGCTGCTGTTACAGGCCACAAGGAAGGATGGCTCCAGAGAAAACACAAGTGACAGCTGCTGCTGACATGTTTGAGACCTTGGACAAGTTCACTGCCTCTGTGGGAAGGGAACAAAGTTCTTGATTTTCCTCTGAGACTCAAAGAAAATTTGAGTCCATGCTTTAATTTCCTTATCATTTGTTCATATGGTCCTGTGAAACCCTTTGAGGGATTAGCACCAGAAACCAGTAAAGACTGGACTCCAAACCAAGTAACCCCAGAATGCTGCGTATGAAACCCCAAAATGCAGCATGTGACCGCAATACACAAATTTGATAGTGAGGGTACCAGAGAACTATTGCCATATTAATCTATAGCAAACCCTCAAATGAACTGCTGAAGTCTTGGATTAGAAAGCCTTTGGTGCATATTTGTGGCAATAATGAAACCACAAAGAGCATCATCCAGCACAACTGCTGGATCTAGGAGAGAAAAAACAATCCCGGGCCGGACACAGTGGCCCACGCTTATAATCCTGACACTTTGGGAGGCCGAGGCGGGAATATCACTTGAGCCTAGGAGTTTGAGACCAGCCTGGGCAATATGGTGAGACCCCATCTTTATAAACATTTAAAAATTAGCCATGCATGGTGGTATGCATGTATAGTCCCAGCTACTTGGCTGAAGTGGGAGGATCACTTGAGCCCATGAAGTTGAGGCTGCAGTGAGCCATAATCACACCACTGCACTCCAGCCTGGGCGACAGAGCAAGACACTGCCTCAAAAAAAAAAAAAAAAAAAAAAAAAAAATCCTGATTCTGGAAATCATTTGGGGTGAATGGGAACAGCTATTCTCTGAAAAATATAAATTATTTCTAGCACAAGGGACTTCAAGAAAATATCTAAGTTCTTGTTCTAAATTGTTGTTTTATTAATTACTCTATTTACTATTGCTAGAAAGATGGGAACTGCTGGCAAAGATATTTATGTTCAAAATTGTAAATCATTATGGGATCCATTTCTAATAGGACCTTGGATACATCAATTCTTTGATCCCTTATAACACATAATGAGATCTGCTAAAAAGCAACAAATTTGCAAAAGAGAAACTGAGCTATAATGACAACAGTAGCTAGCATTTTTGTTCACCCGTCATGTGCCAGGCATCTGACACACATTTTTATCCACAGCATAGCACAATCCTATCTGCAAGGTGGGTATTATTTATTCTTCCCATTTTACTGAGGAGGAAAATGAAGATCAGAAAGATTAAATTACCTGCTGTGGCCACACAGCTAGCAAGTGTTAGAACCTGGATTTGAAGCCAGGTCAGACCGTAGCCAAAGCATGTAGTCTCTGCCACACCACACAGCAGGAGTTTCTACTACAAATGAAGTCACCTCACGAGGAACGGAAATTTACTACTCACGGTGCAGTAAACAGAGGGTGCAGGTAAGAGCTAGGTAACATGGAGTAAAGAGGCTGCTGCAGCAGCGGTGTTAAACTTGATTCTTATTTAGATCCTTTAAAGGGTAGGGCAAGTACTTGGGAAAGCAGTAGATTTAATACATTTTGCAGAGATGATAGGTGAAGGCAGCAGATACTAAGAAAGGCACCATCTAGAGAAACTAGAAATTCGAGCAGGTATGAAATGAGAACACAGTCAGGAGCAGTAGGAGGCCCTGCTGTGGGGAAGGGAAGCGAGCAGAGCCTGGACAACCACAGGTGACTGGAAGAAGAGAGGAGAGAGACAGCGGAAGCTGCAACTGGACACCAAGTGAGTAGGAGAAAGCAGGGAGAGAAGGAAGGAAAAGAAGACAGGAAAGGAGGGAAGAAGGGGGAAACGCCAAACAAATGACAGTGGCATTTGGTCTAAGTACGCATCCCAGTAAAAGGCTGGTGCCTGGACCCTGCCTGGGAGAAGGGGAAGGTGACGTCCTGGGCTACAGGAAAGGTCTGTCTGCCTGTTAGAAGAGGATGTCAGGAGAGCATCAGGGGAATCTTGGGGCTCAGCCTTCCCTTTCCTCAGTAAAAATGGCCTCATTTTACCAGCTGCCTTAGCTTAAACAGACTATGCACCTCTAGCAGTTTAGAAATAGCTCTGTATTACTGGTTAGAGCAAAAGCCAAATAAAAAAACAGAAACAACCTAATCAGGCATCATTTTAAAATTGGTTAAATAGGCCAGGTGCAATGGCTTACACCTGTAATCCCAGCACTTTGGGAGGTTGAGGCAGGTGGAGCACTTGAGGTCAGGAGTTCAAAACCAGCCTGGTCAACATGGCAAAACCCCATCTCTACACAAAAAAATTAGCCAGACGTGGTGGCACGTGCCTATAGTCCCAGCTACTCCAGAGGCTGAGGCACGAGAATCGCTTGAACCCAGGAGACGGAGGTTGCAGTGAGCCAAGATCGCACCACTACACTCTAGTCTGGGCGACAGAGCGAGACTCCGTCTCAGAAGAAAAAATAAATAAATAAAATAAAACTGGTTAAATAAAGTATGGTTCTTCCCTATCATGAAATATAGTGGAACAATTTTGAATGAGGTAAGTCTATAGGTATGCATATGCGGAAAGATGATCTTTATATATTGCTAAGTTAAACAACGTAAGCTGTTAAATAGTATTAAACTATAGAACATTTTCAGTAAAAATAAATAGCAATTGGCCAGCCGTGGTGGCTCATGCCTGTAATCCCAGCACTTTGGGAGACTGAGGCAGGCAGATTGCTTGAGCTGAGGAGTTTGAGACCAGTCTGGACAACATAAGAAAACCCATCTCTACTAAAAATTCAAAAATTAGCCAGCTGTGGTAGTGCATACCTGTGGTCCTAGTTATTTGGGAGGCTGAGGTGGGTGGATCACTTGAGCCCAGGGAGACTCTGTCTCTCTCTCTCTGTCTCTCTCTCTCTCTCTCTCTCTCTCTATATATATATATATATGCATATAATTAGTATATGTATAAAAGAATATGGAGGAATATGCATCAAATTATGGTCCATGATTATCTGAGGGCTAAGAAAGGTGGATGATGAAGAACTTTCATTTTCTATGGTCTGTATTTCTGTAATATTTTACATTAGTAAAACTTTGTATTACATTTGTGATCAGAAAAAAAAAAATTAAGTGTTTCTGAAAAGACTGTGAATAAAAAGTTAAATCTCCCACCACATCTCAATGAGAAAAGGTAAAATTGCCTAAAACTTGAAGTCAGGTGCTTCCAACTGAATAAAATACTTTTCCCCCCTAGAATCTAAGAGAATTGCAGCAAATATGGCCTGATCCTTGAGCTTCTGACCTTCCCAAAAATAGTTTGGGATGGCAGGAGCTGGACTTCTTAGCAAAGAGTCCTCCTATTCACTGGGCAAGAAGGCAATCCCCCAGTGACATGAACCAAGCAAAGAAAGTATATTCACACCCAGAGAACTTTCAGGAAACAAGATCCTCTTATCACCATCAACCGGGAGTCTCATCTTTCACCCACTCATTGAATGAGCCCTTTTGTTTCCCCTAAAGGATCGTCATATATTCTTTCCCTGCTTCTACAGAACATCCTGGTGCCCCAGAATGGGGCACTGAGAGGCACAGGAGGAGTCCCAGTAAAAACTCAGTTGTCCACATTTCCAAGAGAAACAGGACCTGAGAGGGCAGGGCTCTGAGAAAAGGGAAGGAACACCCAGGTAGGCGCACATGTGTGGAAGCCAGGTCTGTGTTTTTTTTTTTATAACTATGCTTCAAAACTTACATGTGTGTGACTTATATTCTCATCCATATATCATATATCCCACAGTAGGACACTAAAAAAGAAAAAAGGATCGAGCCTGCCTCAGAACATTGTAGGACAGGTGCAATAAGTTCATCAGTCTGTCAACAAACACATCCTCAGTGCCAGGCACTGCTCTATCCACAAATAATAAGCACTGAACAAAAAGTCCCTGCCCTAAAGAAATAGGAATGCTTTTACGATGTTGGTGGGAATGTAAATTAGTTCAACCATTGTGGAAGACAGTGTGGCGATTCCTAAAGGATCTAGAACCAGAAATACCATTTGATCCAGCAATCTCATTACTGGGTATATACCTATAGGAATATAAATCATTCCTCTATAAAGACACATGCACATGTATGTTTATTGCAGCACTATTTACAATACCAAAGACATGGAACCAACCCAAATGCCTGTGAAAATGTGGTACATATACACCATGGAATACTATGCTGCTATAAAAAGGAATGAGATCATGTCTTTTGCAGGGACTTGGATGAAGCTGGAAGCCATTATCCTCAGCAAACTAACACAGGAGCAAAAAACCAAACACCGCATGTTCTCACTCATAAGTAGGAATTGAACATTGAGAACGCATGGACACAGAGAGGGGAACAACACACACCAGGGCCTATCGGGGGTTGGGGGTGAGGGGAGGGAACTTAGAGGACAGGTCAATAGGTGCAGCAAACCACCATGGCACATGTATACCTATGTAACAAACCTGCACGTTCTGTGCATGTATCCCATTTTTTTTAGAAGAAGAAATAAAGGAGAAAATAAAAGTGTCCCTGCCCTTGACAGCATACACTCAAGCCTCATATAAGTGGGGAATGCCACAGGGCCACCTATCATGGTTCTTTGTATGTGACAGGGCTCGGCAAGTGTTCTCGAAATGATACTGTGCATCTACAGCAGGGCACACACGTGGCTGCACTGACCGGCTCCCCCACCCACTTGATGCTTTCCAGCCTCCCAGAGATTTCCAGCATCTACCAACCCTTTCTCCATCCCTAGCTACCTCAGCATCCCCACTTTCTTTCCAAGGAATCTCCATCCTCTTGGCCTAAAAATCATGTTATTCACTGCACAAAACTTCCCTTGACCTCTCTCTCAAACCATCAAGTTCTCAGAAAAGCAATCTGCATTCATTGTCTTCTGCTCCTCGCCACGGCTTTCCTCTGTAGTTCCTGATCATCGAGTTTCATGCCTCCACGAAAATTGCTTTCTTGAGGGTCACTTGAGCCTCTTCCAAGGCTAACAGCCTTCACGTACTCCTTTCCGACGTTAGACACGATTAACCATCCTTTTCTCAAAGCTGAATTTCCACGGCCTTGGATTCTCCTGGCTCTTCATCCTCATTGTGCTGTGATATCACAATCACATTTACTAGATTCTCTTCCTACACCCACCCCTTCAATGTTGGCATTACCCAAAGTTAAGGCCTCTCTTCTCTCATGTGATCCTTTCCCCTTTCTGTGCTGAGAGCTGTCAAATCGACACCCCCAGCCCAGCCCCTCCTGGGCTCAACTTGCTACAGCAGCTCCACAGAACACGCTGCAGCTGCTTCCCACTTAACACAGTTAACACTGAATTCTTTCTTTGTACCTCCTCCCTACTCCCAGGGTGCCTCTTTCTTTTAAGACTTTAATCTCAGTAAATTAGCAACAGCAACCTCCTAGATACCTGAGCTAGAAAACTCCAGCCACTCTCAGCGGCTCTCTCCCTCCCCTCAAGTGCCAGTGGGCACCACACACCTACAAGTTTTTTAAGAACCTGCAAAAATGCTTTAAGACTTGAAAAATACTATAAATACAAAATTAAGATCATATAATCAAAATTAAGAATAATTCTAAAATGCTTTCAAATATTTCCGAGAACAAAAATGTTTTATTAGCCTGGGTAACGCAGTGAGACCCCATCTCTGTAAAAACATTTTTGTTCTTGGAAATATTTGAAAGGATTTTAGAATTATTCTTAATTTTGATTATATGATCTTAATTTTGTGTCCACTGGCACTTAAGGTGGTGGCCTGGGCGCGGTGCCTCACAACTGTAATCCCAGCACTTTGGGAGGCCGAGGTGGGCAGATAACCTGAGGTCAGGAGTTCAAGACCAGCCTGGCCAACATGGTGAAACCCCGTCTCTACTAAAAATACGAAAAATTAGCTGGGCGTGGTGTTGGGCGCCTGTAATCCCAGCTACTAGAGAGGCTGAGGCAGGAGAATCACCTGAATGCAGGAGGCGGAGGTTGCAGTGAGACTCTGTCACAAAACAAACAAAAAGCTAAAACAAATAAACAACAATAACAACAAAAAAAAACCACACCCCATGATATTTAATATGGGATATTGGCAAATTTGAATATCTTTGGTCCTTTATGTGGTAGGGCCTGAAAATACTGACGCTGGATCCTACCTCACATAGAAAGTACAGATACCAGATACTCTGACTTCTCAGAAGCTCTTGAATTCACCACCTCCCTTCCATTCCTACTGCCCTGGTTTAGACCCTCTTGAGTCCTTTGTTATATTTCTGCAGGGTGTCCTAAAACATAGCTGGTTGTATGTCACTCCCCTGTTAGAAAGTTTTGATGGTGCCCCAAGATCTGGGTCCCTGGTCAAAACCAATCTTGGCTTCCTGTAGACCAGGGGTGTCCAATCTTTTGGCTTTCCTGGGCTGGACTGGAATAATTGTCTTGGGCTACACATAAAATACACTAACACTAATGATAGCTGATGAGCGAAAAAAAAAATTGCAAAAGATTCTCATAACGTTTTTTAAAAGTTTATGAATTTATGTTGGGCCACATTCAAAGTTGCCCTGGGCCACATGCAGCCCACAGGCCATGGGTTAAACAAGCTTGTGTAGACCCTGGAGCATTCTGCAGCCAGCCCCACAATGGCACCTACCTGGCTCCACTTTGTGTCATGCTACAAACCTCTCAAGAGCAGAGAACTGTGCCTTAGCCAATGACCTCTTTGTTTTCCACGCAGCCTAGCATATAACAGGCAATAACATGTCCTGAGGAGCAGCTGCTTCTTGTCCCCACCTCCCTGCATCATTTCTGTCTCTGCTCCACCGCTACTTGGTCCTCCATGTCATTGCTGTGCACATAGTAGATTCTAGGTCTTAACTAGCCAAACTTGAAAGCCATTAAAAAATGCTTGGTTTCAATTCACCATAACCATTCTCCCTAGTGTCCTAGATTTCAGACAGTGAGAATAGCATCGGCTTTTGGGTCAAGTAGATCTGGCTATAAATCTGAAGTCAGGCACTTAATTGACTGTGTGAATCAAAGCAAACTTCGCTTGACTAGCCTTAGCCTCCTCATCAGTAAAATGGCAATTACAATATCACACTGAATGGACTATTGTGAGAATTAAATGAGTGAAGGTATTTGAAGCCCTAGCATGGCAGCTGGCATATGACAGGGGCCCATAAGTACATAGCATCAGCAAATAGAAGCAGAGTCTCAGATTTCTCATATTATTACTTTGGCATCATGAATTCAGGACTCAAATTCCATGGTGCTGCTTATAATTCTGAAACTCATCATGAAGAGATAGAAGGAGCATAAGATATTACACAGCTGATAAGAATGAAATAGGTCAGGCCAGGCATGGTAGCTCATGCCTGTAATCCCAACACTTTGGGAGGCCAAGGTGGGAGGATCACTTGAGCCCAGGAGTTCAAGACAAGCCTGGGCAACATAATGAGACTTCATCTCTTAAAAAAAAAGGCCAGGTGTGGTGGTGCATGCCTGTAGTCCTAGCTACATAAGAGGCTGAGGCAGAAAAATCACTTGAGCCCAGGAGTTCAGGGATGCAGTGAGCTATGATTGCATCACTGTGCTTCAGCCTGGGCAACAGAGCAAGACCCCATCTCAAAAACAGAAAAATGAAAGAGGTAAACCTCTATGTCCTAATATGGAAAGACGTCCAAGGTGTTTCATCATTAAGCCAAAAGGACAAGTTACAATGTAGTATGAAAAAATAAATGACCACAGCATACACATAGATACATATATATACCTACACAAACACATATCTGTATCTATGTGTATATGTCTACATGTGCCTGGAAAATCTCTAGAGAATAGACAAGAAATTGTTAATAGTTGTTACCTGTGCCTCTTCGCAGTAATAAGTCTAGGAGTGCCATTTATACTCTTTGGTACTGTCTGAATTATTTTTACCCTGGGTAAAAATAACATGTTCGTGTTATAATTTCTAAAAACTGGTTTTTAAAAAGTTATAGAAGATGAAGAAGGAGAGGGAAGGAGAGATACAGGCAGGAAAGAAGGTCTGGACCATGGATCAGGAGACCAGGGTTTCACTCAAGAGTCCTGCACTGACTATGCAAGCTCATGCCAATAACTCCCCTCTGGATCTCCTTTATTGGTAAAATAAGGGAGCTGAACAAGATGCTCTTCAGGGACAATTTCCATTAGATAATGTTTGCAAGATGCTTGGAGTAGATTTTATCTATATAACATCTCTCTTTGATGAGTCTTGATGCTTTAAGCATCAGGTCTTAGAGAAAGGACAATGTATACACGATTTCATTTTGACCCCCTTCACATTTCAGTGAGAAAGCATTCCCACCGTCTTACAGACAGAGAAACCAAGTATAGACTGTAATGATCACTTGCCAACAAAATACACTGCTCACCAGACTCTGCTGCTCACAAAGAATTACGACTGCCAGGAGTTTTATAGCTCCCAATTCATTCTGTGCCTCTTCTGCAGAGGAGGCACACAGCTTATGCAAAACAAGCAGAAGGCACTCTACGCTGGTAGAAGCAGGGTGAGATGTAAAGTGACTTCCTCTGGGTCAGAGCATAAACAAAGCTCACTCCCAGCATATTTAGAAGTATTGAACCCTTGGGATCAACTCCGCATCCCTCCCCCACCTGGACTGAAAGCTTCACCTTGAAGATGCGTTTCACTGCAGTCATTTTCTGAGCGTTTTCTGGGTCAGATGCGGTGAGAGCAGCTAAACCAAGGCTGCCATTGGAGTTGCTACATTGAGGACACTGTACTGAGTACCAACTCTACCATGCACCCACTGGGCTCACCAGCGACCATGGTAAGAAGGGCCTGGCTAGCCTAGATCCATGGAGTGCTCTTTCAGTCTCCTGGGCAAAGTGACTTCGCACAGCTTTGAAACACAAATGACCCAGTTTGCCCTCACGGGTATAGGTCTCTGCCTTGCAGAGGATACTGGCTTCCTCTCCCAGAGCAGCTGCTTTGATTCTACCATCTTACTTCACTCCCCGTACCTGCAAACACCTTCATTCCTCCCATCACTTCACACCGTAAAGAACCCTCCTGCGTCAAGTTTAGGTTGAACATTTGGGCATCAAGATTTCCCAACAGTTCCAGAAAGCGGTTACAGAATGTAAACACCCACCTTGCAGAGAAAGGCAGAGCCTGCTCTACTGACTCTATAAGCAGCAACCTGGATTTTAAATGAGAAAAACAGAGACCATGGTGTGGCTAAAATACCACAAAGTAAAACATCTATGAAATGAATAAGACTGTTCACTCAAAGAGCATGCAGTGAGGCCACTAACTAGTAGTCAGCCTACTGGTGACCTTCACTATGGCACCTAGTAATCCTCGAGATGGGGTGATGATCACTAGCATTCATGACATTCCAGAGCTTCTAGAAGCTGCTAGTTGTTTATCCTACCCTCACTGTCAGCTCTCCATCGAGTTTGCTGACTGTTGTCTGCTTATCGCTGGCCTCAGGACACCCGTAAGAGCTCAATGGGGTCTTCAGTTGTCTTGGCCAAGCCCGTTCCTCTGTCTCGCTGCCCTCAGGTCCCTCTCACAAGGCCTAACTTTGTCCCCTGCCCTTCTTTATCCCAGGCACATCTTGCCAAGGCCTTTGAGGGCCTTCCGCTTATCAGTTCATCTCAGACCCCACCACATACTCAGAGGCCTCGTAGCTCCACTCACCGCCTCTGGAAGTTAAATACCAGCTCCTATCAGTCACTGGGTGCAGGACGAGGCAGGAGAAGAGAGCGGCTGGATTGCAGTGGGAGTGCATCCATGACAGAGAGTTTTGTTGAAAGGAACAAAACATGCTCAGAGGCCTGAGCAAGCAGAATTCGGGTGAGTCCAGCCGTTGGTGAGGCTCACTTTTTGTCCGGGTAAGGCAGAAATGAGGGCAGAACAAGCCAACCAAAAAATACTGTAATATATTACAAGGTAGTTCCTACTTTGACATGCCTTAAGGACAAACAATAAACAGATTAACTGTACCCAGAAAAATAAAACCTCTATACAGGAATTTTCAGTCTTTTTTTTCTGAAGTGCTTTTCTTAACTCTTTATTGTTATGAAACAAATCTTGTGTCCGTGGATCTGAAACGCCCACTCAAAGAGCCTTTCATAGCTGCATTCTGAGGGTCAGCTTCAAACATTCACTGAAAAATGAGGTGGGAGTGACTGTATTCTGGATGAATAAATTTTTCTAGCAATAGACATATCTGACGATGTAAGTTAAAATCAGCCGTTACTTGTTCCTCCGATAAATGGGAAACGGTGGAGAATATAGAGGTGGAAGACAGCCTCCACTCAAGTCTAAAGCAATCCTCTTCCCTCCTCACCTCCGTCCCATCCATAGTGTCTTCCATTAGCCCCTCTTCATAATCTTCTATAGGTCATTAATTTCTGGATTATTTACAGTGCCTAATATTCTTGAAACCTCCCTCTATCACCCAATTCAACTTGTTTCTTGAGCACTGCACATAAGCCAGGCCCTGAGTTGGGCACGAGTGTCCCCAAGGACATCAGACACTGTCTCTTCCTCAAGGAACTCATAATCTAGAGGTGAGTCAGGTCTGTCCATGACCAGCCAGGCTACAGCGTGGACAGCAAAAGAGGAAGGAATGTGTGTCTTCTGGGGTCACAGAAGAGGGAAAGAAGTTTCAGGAGAGCTTCAAATAGGGGTTATAGCTGATGGGGGTCTTAAGGCATATATGTGTAAGAGTTCATGGCTGTGCTGGGTGCGGAGGCTTATGCCTGTAATCCCAGCACTTTGGGAGACCGAGGCGGGCACATCACCTGAGGTCAGGAGTTCGAGACCAGCCTGGCCAACATGGCGAAACCCCGTCTCTACTAAAAATACAAAAATTACCCGGGCATGGTGGCGGGCACCTGTAATCCCAGCCACTCGGGAGGCTGAGGCAGGAGAATCACTTGAACCCGGAAGGTGGAGGCTGTAGTGAGCCGAGATCATGCCACTGTACTCCAGCCCTCTGGCCTGGGCAACAGGGTGACTCTGTCTCAAAAAAAAAAAAAAAAAAAAAAAAAAAGAGTTCATGGCTGAGGAAAGAGAAGAAAGATTCTAGGCATAGAAAAAGTGGCAGCAAAGTCATGGAGGCAGGAAAATGAGCCTGAAGTTGAGCAAGTCCCAAGCATCCAAGGCAAGATAATGGAGAAGGAATAAAGCTAGGAAGAGAGGTCGGAACAGATTGTGGAGGCCCGTGCCTGCCCCTTTACACTTCATTTTGGGGCAATGGGGAACCATTGAGGGTTTTAAAGCAGTAGAATGACTCAGTCAGACTTAGGTTTTTAAAAATAATTCTGAGGTCAGGGTGTGGGATGGGTTAGAAAGGTAGAGACTGAAGGCCTAAAGGCCAATTATTATTCAAACATAAGAATAGTGACAGTGGAAATTAAAAGAAAGAAACTAATTTGAAAATTTTAGAGGAAAAACAAGCAGCCAAGTAGATGTGGAAGTATGGGGGGGAAAAGAAAGACCAAAAATGGTGTGAGATTCTTACTTGGGGGGATGGTGACAACATGAACCTAGCTATAAAAAAAAACAAGGCAGAAAAGCAGATTTGGAGTGAAGAAGGGAGGCAAGAAGTCCCAGGATGACATGGTGAGCTTGAGACATCTCTACAGAAGCAAATAAGGACAGCAGCAGACTGCTGTGAAGCTGATCTGGGACTGAGGAGGAGGTCAGACTAGAGATAAAGATTCAGACCTATTGGCAATCCCAACAAGTAAAAGCTGGCAGAGAGGAAGGAACAGCAGCAAATGCAGCAGCAGTGGTAAACAAGCTAGGAGGGAAAAAAGGAGGGCCCAGGTCACAGAAGCCCAGAGAGGGCAGAGGTTCAATGGGAGACTGGTCAAATGTTGTGGAGAAGTTGGAAACCTCGGGTATGGAAGGAGGCTATTGCATTTGACAATAATTCCGACCTTTTCTAAAGCGGTTTTGGTACAGCTGCCTTATGAGAGTGGGTATATTGTGCAGTACTAATTAGCATCTCCATCCTTAGATGTCAAATAACTACATTGGAAGTAGGATTCAGAACATTAATTATTTATTAAAAGCTAATAAGGGGATTCAAGTCTATTAGGTTTAGTCATTGCAAATATAAAGCAATATATAAAGGTATGCAACTAATTACCTCTGTAATTTCAAATCATTAAAGATGCAGGATTAAAAAAAAAAAAAAGAAACGCTGAGAATTAAGAGTCATGTAGTGTTGGCTTCCACCCCAATATGAGCAGGCACAGTGGTTCAAAGCAAGCACTCTAGAATAAACACACATGGGTTCAAGTCCAGCTATTACCTTACTTGGTGGGTATTCATGGGTAAGTTAACTTTTCCAAGTCTGATTGTAAATAATAAATACACATGAAAACTCTCAGCATAGTGCTTACCACATAACTTTCTCAATAAATGTTGACTTACTGTTATAATAAACTTATTAGCATAACAATGCCTTGTATCCAAGTTAAAATTATATGAACTTAGTTACGTGTAATTTCAAACATTCATTCTTTAATTTTTTATGAGCTCCACACTCTAACCAACTGAGCTAACTGGCCACATGATTCTTTATTCTTTTTTAAATTTTTAATTAATATATTTATTTTGAGATGGGGTCTCACTTTGTAGTCCAGGCTGGAGTTCAGTGGCATGATCGTAGCTCACTGCAGCCTTGAACTCCTGGGCTCAAGCAATCCTCTGGCCTCAGCCTCCTAAACAGCTGGGACTACAGGTGTGAGCCACTGTGCTTGGTCAGATTTTTTAAATTTTTTTTTTTTTTTTTTGAGACAGGGTCTCAATCTGTCACCCAGGCTGGAATGTAGTGGCACAATCATGGCTCACTGCAGCCTCAACTTTCCTGGGCTCACGTGATTCTCCCACCTTAGCCTCCTGAGTAGCTGGAACTACAGGCACGTGCCACGATGCCCTGCTTTTTTTTTTTTCTTTTTAATTTTTGTAGAGACAGGTCTTGCTATGTTGTCCAGGCTGGTCTCAAACTCCTGGGCTCAAGCGATCTGCCCACCTCAGCCTCCTAAAGTGCTGGGATTATAGGCATGAGCTGATGTTTCCAGCCTAATTTTTTAATCAACAAATATTTCTGAGCCACTCCCCTCCATGTATAAAACATGGCTCTAGGTGCAGAGGTTTTGTTTTGTTTTGTTTTTAAGCATGAGACTCAGTTCCCCATTGCAAGAAGCTTGAACTAACAGTGTAGAAGGCAAGTTGACAATTACAAAACAAGATGATCCACCTGTAAGAAAGGAGTGAAAAGGGTACTGTAAAAATACAAAGGAGGAAGCAATCAGCGCTACCCCAGGACCTGGTAAGGAAGAGGGGCTGTCAGGCAAGGTTACAAAGAGAAGGCAACATGTAAGTTTTACAGAGGAATCCACAAGGAAAATTTTAAGGATAATAATAAATGTTAAGGCACCATCACAATCACACACACAAAAAGCCCTGAAAAAAAAAAAGTCAGAGAAAGAGGAAGTTCTTCACCCAAGGGCAAACAGCAAGAGGAAAGGAGCTGGAAGCAACCCAGACTCTTGTCATCCAGCTCAAGGAGATTTTTTAGCTGAAATAAAACATCGCATAATATTTACACCCTTCCCCACCTGAGCTTGGGCTACATGCTCTACAAAGCAAATTAAACATCACCTGCCTGTCCTCTAAAAGTCTACAATCTAAAAACAGGCACACTAATAAATGAACAAATTCAAGAACTTTGATGACGAACTATCACCCAAAGACAGTGTTCTGAAACAAACACTTCTCAAGTTCAGTTTGGCCCCCAAAATGAGGATAATAAATTTTTGCCCTTCCCTTTGGAGATGTTAAATACCAAGGGGAAATATTAAAATTGCATGGACGGGTTCCTTAAAAGATTATAAATAGAATTACTATGTGATCCAGCAATTTCACATCTAGGTATATGTCCAAAAGAAGTGAAAGCAAGGTCTCAAGGAGATATCTGCCCACCCATGTTCACAGCAGCATTATTCACAATAGGCAAGAGTAGAAGCAACCCAAGTGTCCATAGACAGATGGAGGGAGAGGGAATGGAGAGTTAGTGTTTAGTGGACACAGTGCTTGTGTTTTGGAAGATGAAAAACGTCCATCTTTTTCATGATGATGGGGAGGGATGATGGTGATGGCTGCACAGCAATGTGAATGTGCTTATGCCACTGAACTGTATGTACACTTAAAAATGGTTAAAATGGTAAAATTTATGTCACATATATTTGAGCAAATAATACACATATACAAAGAAAGTTAATAAAAGAATTTGTGATTATGTTCAAATAGGGTGCATGTATCTAGCCCTAATTTAGCAAGTTTGAAGAAGGGAGAGATTACTGTGGAGTGGAGTGTTCCAGGACGAAGACACAGCCTCGAACCCAAGTTCTGATGGAAAACACTCCAAATCTGGGAGAAATGGTCAGGACTCAGTAAGCAGAAGTGGACAAACTTAGTTTAAGTAGAGGGTTTGTGATGGAAAGTGGTAAAAGAGTAGAAAAAAAGAGACTGGTGCCAGAATAGAATGGCTCCTTAAAAGCCAACTTTATGAGTTTGGATTTCTACCTCTACCCAGAGAAGAACCACTGGTGGCTTTTGAGAAGGGGTGTTATATGATGAACACAGTGGTTCAGTGTGGGATGGTTTGGAGAGGGAGATCCTTAGTTGATAGAAAGTGGACTCCAGGTCGCTTAACTTGAGGGCTACCAAGGTGACTACAAAGTCTACTAAATCTGAAACCTAACACGTGGTGCTGCTAGCTTAAAGCTATGACTTTAAAATGTATCAGGCCAAATGCTTGCACATGAATGGAATTCTTCTCAAAGCATACACAGAAACTGTTGACAGTGGTACCTTCTTAGAAATAGGGCTGAAGTTAGGAGAAGACTTTTACTCTTCATTGTATACCCTTGTATAATATGGATATATGTTTTAACCACGTACATGAGTTTATTTTATAATTTAAAAAGTTTTTTAAATATGACAACCAGGAAGCATCAAAAAATATTTGGGCTTTAACCAGCCAATTCAAAACATTTCTAAAAATAAAGTGAAATATATTTCAATCTTGTTTCTCCCATATCTTAATCTCCATCACATAGTATAAACGTTGTGGGACTGATCTAAAAGTAACAGTACAAAGTACACAGCACATCTAAAGCTTCGCTTCAAACAGATGTCATGAATCATCCCAAAATAAAAACATCTCCTTTTTGGTGTATTTAAATGAAAAGTCTGCCAAGACTATTCCAAGTCAACACCTCGACAAAAACAGAAATTAAAAAAAAATAGCCCATGGTACATTTGATAAAATACATCACCATCTCAGTAAACGACCTTTTTGTTCATCCAGTTGTTCAGGCCAAAAACAATGGAATCATCTTATTCTTTTTCTCTCATCCTCTATATCCAAATCTCATAATCTCTATACTCAGAACCCAACTGCATCTCACCAGGACTATCATCCTGATCCATCCTCTCGTCCTGAACCACCGCAGTAGCTTTCATGGGACTCCTTGCCTCCACTCTTGTGCCCCACAATCAATCCTCCTTAGGGCCGCCAGAAAGATCTGCTTGAGACACAAATCCCAACAAGTCACTCCCCTGCCCACAACTTCCAGTGGCTTCCTATGACACTTGGACTAAAACTCAAAGGTCACAAAGCCTGCACCATCAAGACCCGCTTTTCTCTCCAGCACTGTGGTTAGCTCTCCCCATGACACCCTGCACTCAGGCCACACTGGCCTCTTTGCTATTGCTTGGACACAGCAGTGGCCCCACGTTGGGGGCTTCCCATTTGGTATGGTTTGTCTGTGTCCCCACCCAAATCTCATCTTGAATTGCGGCTCCCATAATCCCTGCATGTCGTGGGAGGGACCCGGTGGGAGGTAACTGAATCACGGGGGTGGGTTTTCCTGTGCTGTTCTCGTGATAGTGAAGAAGTCTCATGAGATTTGATGGTTTTATAAAGGGCAGTTCCCCTGAACATGCGCCTGCCACCATGTATGACATGCCTTTGCTCCTCCTTTGCCTTCTGCCATGATTGTGAGTCATCCCCAGCCATGCTGAACTGTGATTCAATTAAACCTCTTTCCTTTATAAATTACTCAGTCTCTGGTATGTCTTTATTAGGAGTGTGAGAACAGACTACCACTCAACCTGAATCTCTTCTCCCAAACATCCCATGCCTCTCTCCCCACTTCATTTGAGTCTCAGCCCAAATGAAGCCCCATCAGATAGTGTTTTCCCAACCACCCTACCTGAAATAGTAGAACCACCCTTCTTTCCCTTCATATTGCTTTATTTTTCTTTTTAGCACTTGAAATTACAATATATATTTTTGTCTGTTGCTTGTCATTTAGTTCCTCTCTCCCCCAACTACAATGTGCACTCTACGACTTCAGACATTTTTGCCACATTCACTGTTACATTCCCTGGGCCTACAGCATGTCTGGCAAATTAAATGAGAACTCAGTAAATATTTGTTGAAGACTGACATACAAATCAAGGCCCTCAAGATCACTGGACAAAAAGAGGCTGCTGAAGTCCAAAATGAAGCATAAGCACAATAATGCCCAGTAAATTTGGGGTAAAGGAATGAAAAACCCAAAACATCAATTAACGGGCAGATGAACCCTTCATTTATCTATGGCATGCTACTGAGAATCCATTAATTCATGCTTTGGAACAGCATCTGTGCATACTCTGGAGGGCCATTCTTGAGGTTCTGTGGCTATGGTAAAGGGTAATACCATTAACAAGTGTCTTCTCTCCAGAACCAATGAACTTATGTGGAATATTCTGCTGAAGAAAAAAAGCAACCGCGGTCTCAACCAGAAGGCCCAGAATATTCAATTACTCCACTGAGAAGACCTGGAAACAGCCCCAGCCTCAGAACTAGGCAACTGGGTCAAAGTCAGGTTTTGGAATAAACTACTAGAGGGACATTGAGTATATAAATGTACATTTCTAATCCTGTTTTGTAACTGGAAACCAGGAATAATCAGATCTTCCCTTCACATGCTCATCATAAGATAAAATAAGATGATGTGTAGACAAAGGCATGCTGAAAATTGAGTGGACTATAGTTATCTGTGATCATCATCTTGTACTGGCTGGGATCTAATTCACTTTCTCTTCACTGCCACTGGTGAGCTTTGTCAACAAAGATTTCATCACACCCCTTTATGACTTAAAAACTTCCAGTGGCTCAAACTTCTTCACAGGCTGAACCCCAACCACCTTTCTGGTCACACTTCTGCCATGTGGAACTACACTTCATCCCCTAACCTAATCATGCTTTATTGTCTGTGCTGGGCAATTTCCTAAAGCCCCACTCGCAGGCCCCCTCATCCTCCCTTCTTCCATTATAGAAATCCTAGGCACTTTCAAAGGTCTTCTCATTCCCCAACCTGAATGAGATGTTTCCTCCTGTACACCCTCTCTCTCAGGCATCCTGTTGAATCACTGCTTGTTTGCAAGGCCATTTTCGCACCAGATCAGTGATTCTCCATCTGATCTCTTTGTGTGTCTTCAGCACATAACAGTGTAAGACACGTGGTAGACACCCAATGTCTGCTCTTTTTGAATACACCTCAATTCTCTCTCGGGCCTTTCTACCTCTAACTCTCTATGACTTATGACTCGAAGTCAGTATTATGAAAGGCCTTTTCTTGCTTTTCCACCCTTCTGGAAATATACTGGAAGATGAAGCTAATTGACCACTCCTAGGGTTCTTCTAGAAACAGGCTGGGACTCAAAAGAGGGACAGAATAAGGTTACAGACTTCTTTCTGGTCCACATAATTTATGCCTTTAAAGTATGCTTTGTTTTATTTGAATTGCTATACATTCTCAAGTGAGACACGCCCATATTTAAGTCTGGTACAAATGGAAAATATTTTCAAAGTATTCATTTTCGGAATTATTCAAGTTTCTTCTCCTTTTCACAATGGTGGAAACTCCTAAATTGACTATAATTCGAAGCAATTATTGTTCTTTAGCTATCAAGGTGCCGTTAGTCTCTTCATAAATATCCTGGATGATCTGAGCCTGGTTCAATGCAAAGCCTATTTTTTTTTCAGCCCTGTGCCTTTTCACTTGCTAAATTTATAACATTCAAATGAAAGAAAGGAAGCCCACTTTTGCCCCCACTGCTCACATGATATATGCTGAGTTTTAATTGCCCTTGTAATTCTACCCTCAGCCAGGTCTGCACAGGTATGATGTGGAAATAAAACATTATGGCAAAGCCTGAGAAGGGCTTGCTGAGGTAGGAAGAAGAGGGCTTTGTAATATTTCCTGCAACCAGGAAAAGGAAAGAGAAAAATGAAAGGTGGTCTGGGAATTTGATAAGCTAGCCAGACAATTCATTAAGGAAGCATTTTCTGTCTATGACCACCTCTAAGACTACGTGAGCTATAAAGGCTAGGGATCCCCTGATGGTTTGATATTCAGCTGAGGCTGGCTGAAAATGGAAGAATGTGGATCACTTGGCTGTGAATTAAGAAATACACGCAGCAACAGAGGGAAACACACTATGGCATTTTCTAAATATTTACCAAGGGGAGTTGGCAATCCGTGAGCAGAGCCAGATCTGACAGTTAATTCTCCTGACTGCCTCCTACGCTCTTCCTCAATCACTATCTCCATCTCCAAAACAGGTGACCTTCCCCTAATGGGGTGAAGAAGGAAGCATCTCTGTGATAAACCCAGCAAATGCCACATGATGATTCTGGCACACAGACCACTGCATCTACTCTTCTTCCTCAGATTTCTTATCTAAAACAGAGGAGTAACCTACGATCTGTCTGTTAAAATCAACTGAGTCAATACAAGCTGCTTCAAAGATAAAATTCTTCTTTCCACAGTCATTTTTGGCTTGTGATATCCATATGGTTTCAGAACCCAGTATCCATGAACTTCCTTGCCAGTCCTCATTATATAATCAAATTTCTCATCAGCCCACATAGCACAGTTATTTTCACTCTTGATCTTCCCAAGTTCATTGATAAATGTTAATCTGTAGGTCTCAGGTTATTTTTTTAAATTCTATAATTTTAAAATTCCATAACAAAGAAACATATTTTAAATCACTTTTTAATTAATTCATGAATTAGAGATGGCACCTCATTCTGTTGTCCAGGCTGGAGTACAGTGGCACAATCATAGTTCAGCCTCTCTAACTCCCTGGCTCAAGCAATCCTCCTCCCTTAGCCTCCGAAGTAACTGGGATTATAGGCATAAGCCACTATACCTGGCTTTTTTATATCAATTTTTTGTTTGTTTGTTTGAGACACAATCTCACTTTATTGTCCAGGCTGGAGTGCAGTGGCGCGATGTCGGTTCACTGCAACCTCTACCGCCCAGGTTCGAGCAATTTTCCTGTCTCAGCCTCCCGAGTAGCTGGGATTACAGGTGCCCACCACCACACCTGGCTAATTTTTGTATTTTTAGTAGAGATAGGTTTGGCCAGGCTGGTCTCGAACTCCTGAGACCAGCCTGACCAGCATGGTGAAACCCCATCTCTACTTTAAATCTCCCACTGGTCATGTTTCCTACCTTTTCAGGTCTTGAGCAGACAGTAAAATTTTGTGTTTGATTTTGAAATTAAAGTGCTGCTCTTCAAGAACAATTTGGTGATTGGGTTTAGGTTAAAACACGTATCTGACGGTCTCAACAGTTCTCTAAAGTCCTTCCCCATGCCCCCCAAAAATGGACATAATTACTTAAGATTTCTTGTCTCTAGATCGTAATGTGTATAACTATTGTTTTAAAATGTATACATGTGTACACCTTACAAGCAATGGGGGAGATTATAGAACAGTTTAGAGTTTAAAGCCTGAGACTGCCTTCTCTCCTGCTTATCCTCAGTACCTTTTCTTTAAGATTGCACTAAAATGAAAGGACTAGATATTAAAAACACATCCTCTCATAATCTCCTCCAAAGGAAATAAAATCTCAGTAGTTTGGTTAGGCAGAACTTCAGGAAGTAAACCATATTGGCCTTGAGAGTGAGACAGGAAAGAAATGAACTCGAGTAATAAGAAGTGTGGGTGCCATAGCTACACATCAATGATCAGGTACATTCAGTTAGGTCTTGCCTTTAAGCCAGTAAGTATGCACATGGAAGGCTGGGTTCAGTGACCTCCAGAATCCCTTCCCTCTCCAATAGTGTTTGCCTCATGAATTTTTTATAGCCATCCTCTGTCCTATCACACTGTCCCTATGTATCATCAAGCCCTCCTGGCCACTTCCAGGACTGAAAGGAAAATCTGTTCTTTAAAAAAAAAAAAAAAAATCCATGCTTTGACTCCTGCCAAAATTATAGTTCTGTCCTTGAAACAATGACCTGAAAATAATGGGTAAGGCTAAGAACCTCTGAGCAAATAAATGCCCAATATTATCTTCAGATAATATTTTTTAAGCTCCTCTGATATAAGCAGAACTATTACCTGAGGTCCTGGGAATGAAGATTATGAAGCTAGAAGACAAACAGTCAAATCTTCCCAACTTGTACTTTATATTCCCTGCTGAGTGTCTAACCTTAAAAAGAAGGTAGAACCAAACAAACTGAGTTTGAATCCTGGACCCATCTCTCATTAGCTGGGTAATATGAGGCAAGTTATTTAATCTTCCTGAACCTGTTTCCTTACTTGTAAAATGTTGATATGAGCTACCTTATAGAGTTACCATGACAATTAAATTGGATAATATAGAGAAAACGCTGAGCATTCATTTGTTGGTTTCCTCATTCATTCAACAAAGGTTAACTGAGGTTCCACTACCATCCAGGTACTGGGTACAACAACATAAAAGACAGAATAAAAGCTATTATTATTTACCAAAAACAGTTTGTTTCCAGAGCTGCAGCAGACCTGTCAAATTTTGACTTTAGTTCAAAACTGTCATTCACACCTAGCTTGCCTAAAATACTCATTTTTATTTTGCCAAATGTGATCCCAGGTAGGAGTCTTGCTCCTGTCATACCTTCACCCCCAAAACTAGTCATCTAGCAGGCGTTCTGCTATAGGACACCTTCAGAACACTTGGAAGAAGCATTGATCAGAGCCAAAGGTGGTATCCCAACTCTCTTCTGGGCAAGCCGCTCAGGAGAACTTGATACGCCTGTGCTACAAGGCCCATCCTGGATGCCTGGGAGTCCTTGGGTGCTTACAATTCCATGAGTGGACTCTGAGTCTTCCCAGAACTCAAGATCAATAGGACTGGCTCATCCCCATCATTGCCACTGGGGCACTGATAAAGCTAAGAGCAACAGCTAAGGGGTCTGAAAGCCACATTTTCATGAGCGTTTATGTCTTTCAATGGTGCTTTACTCTAGAGTTTTTGATAAAATTCTTTATAAATGACCCACCTCTGGAGTTAGTGGGTTTCAAGGCTGGTGGGCTCTTCTTCAATGTAAGTTTAACATTCCCTTTCCTGGCTAGCCTGCAAGCCTCCAGGCAAGCACAGGCCTAGCTGTGTCAGGTGCTGGACATTCAGCATACATTAACAATCATTTTGCACTTAGAAAAAAAAAGGTGTTTTCAATTGCATTTTGGAACCTGGGACTCAGAGCAAAAGAATAAAAGCTGAATCCTAAAATAAGAAATGACCTGCCTTGGGTTATAGTGGGGGAAGGGGTGGGCGAAGAGGGAATTCTAGAATAAAATTCAGAGCCATCTGTGAAGCTAAGGATAGGACAGTGGACAGTTGAGCTGTGCCTAAAAATCTTTGATTTGCAGACTCCTCTCATTAGGGAGCCGCCTGAATCTCTTCCCTTAGAAACTAAAATACGGATCGTGACTACCTCCAGGCAGGGGTTTTGCATGACTGCCTCCTACCTGGAGGTGACAGCCTAGTCTCTCCCCACAGAAATTCTCAGTACAAAAAGGCTGTCACTATATCCCCCCACCCCACCCCCCAATCTGATGCATCTAAAATTTAGATGTACAAAAAACAGTGGCTTCTTTTCATTTTCCTTACTCCTGGCTGGCGCCTCTAATTGCTCACTGAAAACAGTGGTTTGGATATTAATAGGCTGTAACTCAAGGCCCTACCTGAAGCTCGTTGTCAGGGAAACAGCACTCCAGCCCCGCAGCTGCTTCCCCAGCCTGGGAAGTACGGATGAGTTGGTGGGAGTTGGGGATTGTTTTACAGCTTCTGTTATTTCTCCCACTTTCTGCTATTTCTCAAGACCAAGTTAGAGGAAGAGGGGAAACTGGAGAGGAGGGTGAGGGTAGAGTAGCCCGGAGAAGCTTAGAGGAAGAGAGGAACTCTTTGGGAGAGGAAGACTAGGGGTCCTTGAAGTATGGCTTGGGGCACTAGGATCTTTCCTCCCTCGGTCTACACGGGGTCACTCTCTGGGTGGCTCCCAGCACCCGGAGGCCCGGCCCCCTCTGCTGCCCTCACCTGTCCCTCCTGCCTGGGCGCTGGGTGGCCCGAGGAGAGCGCAGCCAAGTTCCCCAGAAGAGGGATATGAGCGGCCACAAGGCTGAGAAGCCGGACAAAAAAAGGCAGAGAGCAGCGCTGCGGTCGGACGGGCTAGAGGCGCAATCCCCTTCGCTCCCAGGCCGGGGTCCTGGAGAAGGCGGACGAGAACACGCACCCCCGTCACCCTCTCCCTGCGCCCCGGGGTGACGGACTCTCCGGGATCCCGCTCTCCAAAGCTAGCACCAAGTGCCTCGGACGCCCGCGCGCGTTCCCGCGTCCCGGGATGATCTTTGCCGCAGCTGCCGGGCTTCCCGGGCCCCGCACCCCTCCCACCCCACGCCCGACAACCGGGGCTGGACTCCCACCCGGTCCTCTGGGCCCTGCGCGTCAGGCGCCCCCTGGGCCCAGCGCTCCTTTGAGCTGGCGCCGCGCGTCCCAGCCTTGCGCACCCGCACCCAGCTCCCTTGGCCGCCGGGCCCTCCTGGGACTCACCTGCCCTGGGACTGAAGCGGGGGCCACCCCGAGCCCGGGGGTGGCGGCGGCGGCGGCGCAGGGGGAGGAGGGCAGCGCGGGGCTCCTGGCACAGCGGCCGCCGGGCGCCTGGTGCTGCCGAGCCGCGGACCCGCCCAGAGATATAAATAACATTATCTGAGGAGGGACATTCCTGCCGGGGGACATCGCTGCTGCCGGGACCAGATAGTCCCGCGGCGGGGGCGGGGAGGCGGGGCCGCAGCCTCCCGCAGCGCCAAGCCCAGCCCCCGCCTTCCCCACCCACTCACGCACCTGCCAATCAGCCTCCGCGCCTGGGGGCACCTGCCGGGCCTCAGCCCGGCTCCTGGAACCCGCCTCTGCCTCCCCGCCCGCCGCTGAGCCTGGGGCGCCTCCATCGTCGTTCATTGCCCCTAACCCCGCGCCACCCCGAGCCCCCTGAGGCGGGAAGGGGGTTGGACTCTAGCTCGGGCCTAATTCGTGCGCCCGGAGAGGCAAGCCTGGTGGCGAAAATGAGCCCTCCAGCCTTTCCCGCCCTGCATCCCCACTGCACACAGTTCAGTTTTTAAAATATATGAAAAGACATTTAGGCCATAGGGTGGGCGCGGCGGGTACCCGGGAGGTGAACCCCCGCCGTGGCGGGTTTGGGAGGGACAGATTGTTCCCGGGGGCTGGTGCATTAGAAAGCGCGCTCCCGGGCGGGCTTCTCTCGGCTGGCGGTGGGAGGGCAGGGGGCGGGCACTGGGCCCGAGGGCCCCACCCCCAGCCCGAGCTCAGTGTCGCTGTTTCTGCCCGAAAACCTAGTGTAATCAGGACGAACCAGGCAAAGCTGGCGGCGCGCAGCCTGCAGTCCCAAGGAGCTCGCACATTGTAGGGACTGTAATCAACAGGCAGGCTGCCACACCTGCCCACTGGCACCTCCTGGCCGGCCCGGGTCTCCGGGCGAGTGGGGGTGCCTCACTACAAGCCTGGATGAGGCGCGGCGCAGCAGGCCAGAGGAAATACTAGAACCGATGGTGCCAAAAAGGCATCTCCGAGTTGCCCCCGGAGAGAAACTCAATAGAACACCGGCAGCTTGCAAGGCAGTACATTTTCTTGACTTTCTAACGATCAAGGTCATTGTTCAGTAAGGTTTACGTGTACGCCTTGAGGTAGCTTTCATCTCTTTTCTCCACCTGCGGTGCCTGGGATGATTTCTCACCAGCTATCAACGCAGGTAATCTCAGGTATTATGGAAATGGCCGTGGAGATTAAAAGCGCATAGATGCAGAAGAAGTTTTAACTTTTACTGATGCTGCCTGGTGTTCTTAACAAGGGAACAGTCTTACTCCTGAGTTATTTGCTTGGGATTATAATTGTGCTGTTTTCCAGAATTCACCCAGGAAAGGGGTGTTTGCCAGATGTTCGAGTTTAGTTTATATATTGAACATATGCAAAGATACTTCACTTCCTGCTGCAGTCCCACTTCTTGAGGGTGGGTATTTAGACACTGAGATGTGCTGAGTGGGACAAACGCCCCAGGTATTACAGAGCCACAGAATTCTTCACTCCACCCTCCTCTTGGCTGGATCCTTATTACAGCTCAATTTTCCAAGAGACACTAGTAATATGGGAAAGAGGATACAAAAACATTCATGGTCATCGATAGATTCGCAGTGATCCCCTCCTCCCCTTTGTTGACAACATTTAAGAATGCATTTTTCTATTACTGAGTTAAAAAGAGAAAGTTCTGTTTTGTGAAAAAAAATGTTTAAAAGTCAAATTCTGGCAAGGAAAGCTCAAGAAAAACAGGCCAACTTCAAAAGCTGAGACTATTATATATCTCAAGAAGAAATCCTTCATCTATTTTTGTTAGAAAAAAATGGAGGGAAATTATGTATTTATGGTTTTTTAAAAGCTTGTATGAATAAACTTATTAGATAAATTCATGGTTCTCTAGAATGGTGGTTCTGCAGCTACGTAATTATATACTATGCAAGCCAGATAATTCCTTAGCTATAGGTCTGTGGCACTGAACTGAATAGTTGCATACATATTTTTCTTTGTAGCCTTAAAATTTATAATTTTCAACCATAAGAAAAAATTAATATGATAAAACTCCAAATCAGCAGACAGATTACCCCAACATTTTACAAACCAGCTCAGCTGCTTTAGTTATCTCCACTTTAGCTGAAAGCTAAATAATTCAATACAACCTCATTTGCTACAGAGCATGTTATCCTGACAGCATCCCCAAATGCTTTACAGCTAATAGAGTTACAGTGAAATGATAAATCAGAACTGAGGAAGAGAGGAAATTTAGGCTTGCAGTGAGGAAAGGGCATTGTCAAATAATAGGGAAAGGGGAACAGATCTCTGTGGCCAGGAATGAGAAATTGGGAGAATAAAAGAAGGGAGAAAGGTTGGGCATGGTGACTCACACCTGTAATCCCAGTACTTTGGGAGGCCGAGGCAGGCGGATCACTTGAGGTCAGGAGTTCAAGACAAGCCTGGCCAACATGGCAAAACCCTATCTCTACTAAAAACACAAAAATTAGCTGGGTGTGGTGGTGCGCACCTGTAATCCCAGCTACTTGGGAAGCTGAGGCAGGAGAATCACTTGAACCTGGGAGGCATAGGCTGCAGTGAGCCAAGATCACGCCACTGCACTCCCACCTGGGTGACAAAGCAAGACTCTGTTTCAAAAAAAAAAAAAAAAAAAGAAGGGAGAAGGAAACACATACATATGTTCGTTATCAAGGTCATCATTGTGGGCAATAGGGATCACGTCTGGAGGGACCTCCTCAGAAGAGTATAGAATACCTCTTGGAATTGTCTATGTGAAGGATAGGAGATTAACCCTCATCCTGGTTGGACAAAGGACTGCCCCCACTGGTCTCCCACCCATGTTGAAAACCTACACTTCCGAGCTACCCAGCAAGCTCCACATAGGCAGTCTGCAGATTTGGAAGAGTTCTGGGGCCAGAAGAGAAGGTGTGCATTTGAGAATAGATGTTGACAGCCAGAGAGTGGGGGGTAAACCTTCACAGAACTGTCTACTCAGGTCTAGCTGAAACCAACAGGTGAGGCCAAGAAGATATAAGTTGAGACTTATGTTAGAATCATCTAACATAAGAGGGAACTTTCACTTTCCATTTCTGTAGTCTTTGAGTTTTTCACAATAAGCTTGTATTGTTTAATAATAAGTAGAGATGATAAATAAATTAAAAAGTAAAGATTGGATGGAGATGGTGGATTGAATACACGCATTTAGCTTCTCTTCTACCCCAAATTTCATTAGAAGATATGTCTGAAACAGGCATCTAAAAGCACAGGAAAATAAGGAAAAGGGGATCAGTGTTCCAACAATGTTCAAGAAATCCAGAGATACAGAAAAGATGCAAGATCTGATTCACAGAGAAACAAAATCAGAGGAAACCAAAACAGATTCAGGAGGAGCAATAGTTTAGGGAAGTTGCAAGCAATAGTTAAAGGATACAAGAGGAGGAGGGGCCCTGAGACAGAATAATTCACTTAGGAGCCTCCTCTGTCCTGCTCACATTAAATATCAGGTGTTTGCCTGCAGGACTTAAAAAAAAAGTTAATGGGGATCCTGGGACCCAAGGGGCAGAGCTCAGGGATCTAGTGACCCCAAGAAATGACAGAAACCATTCACTCTCTTGGGATAGCATGTCCTGACCCTTCTTCACAGCCCCTGAAGATAGGCTATGATAAGCAGAAAGAGGAGACAAGCCCATTCCCACATTAAGGGATGATAGGACAACCACCAAATATCTTATGGGGAGAGGGGAACCAATACCATGAAAGAGAAGCACCAAACCCAACTAATAGAAGGAAATAATATCAGAGGAAACTAAGTTAATAAAAGGAACAAGATAAATGTTAAATAATTTAATTTTAATCAGCAAGTCTTGAAAGGATATTGCATCCACAACAAATAATCAGTGAGAAACCTTAGAAATTTAAAAAGTCATTTCTGATATTGAAAATTCATTAGTTGAGAAGCAGAACAGACCTACTTGAAGGGCAAATTAGTGGAAACAGAAGCCAAAGAAATTTTCCCCAAACACCGGGCAAAAGACAAAGGAGATGGAAAGTATGTGAAAATGGTTGAAAGCCATGTAGGCAAAATCCCCCAAGGTCCAGTATTTGCTTAATGGAAGTTACAAAAGGAAAGAAAAGAGAGTAGAAGAAGGTAATAATGGGAAAGTAGAATAGAAATTCTCAGAGTTGAAGAAAAGCATAAATTTTCAGATTATAAAAACCAACTGAGTTGCCAGCCAGATGATTTTTAAATATAGTTCACAGTTTTATGAACAGTTTTAAAGTTTATGATTTTATTTATAAAACCCAAGACATTGAATAAAAATAAGTCATAAACCAAAAACTATAATAAGCTACACCAACTTGCTTGGCCTTGAATTAAATTGATCCTAAAAATATTTTGAGCTGGATGCGATGGCTCATGCCTGTAATCCCAGCACTTTGGGAGGCTGAGGTGGGAGGATCACCTGAGCCTAGGAGTTCGAAGCAGCAGTGAGCTATGATCACGCCACTGTACTCCAGCTTGGGTGACAGAGCAAGACCCTATCTAAAACAAAAATAAAAACAAAAACAAAAAACTGAATCACATAACCAAAGTTATTTGTGTGAAATAAATGAACCACTTGAATTCAGAAATGAATATATATGTAGGAAAGCTACGGAAAAACGTAAATACCAAACCAAACAAACCTGAAGTTCCACTCAACTCAAACTCAAATCCCCGCCAACAACAATGGAGGTATCAAGAACTCATGATAATGTTCAGAAATCATCAGAATACTGCCCATAGCTCAAAAATCATTATTTCCCTTCTTTACCCTTTTGCAAAGACATGCATTTCATAAAATTAAGGTGAAATTTCCATTTCATTTTTGGAAACATCTAGAGGCATCACATTCTCCACAACTTTCAAAGACAAAGCAGCAGCAGGACCAATTGGAAAAGCCTGCCATTTACAATATGGAGGAATCAAGGATTAGGGACCAAACTTGCCCTTCAGATGCCTCAAACAGAATGGTTGTGGAAGGAACTTGAAAGCCTGCAGCAAGTTTGCAAATACCAGATGAACCATCTTCTGAAGGGGCAGATGACACCAATTTCAAATTTCCCTCCACCAATAACAGGAAAAAGCAAAACAAGATTTGTATCCTGTCATCTGCTAGTCCATGGAAGCATTAACCAGGCTTGGAAATTAATGAGCATCTTTTCTTTTCTTTTTTTTTTTTTTGAGGTGGAGTCTTGCTCTGTTGCCCAGGCTGGAATGCAGTGGCTCACTGCAACCTCCACCTCCTGGGTTCAAGTGATTTTCCCACCTCAGCCTCCTGAGTAGCTGGGATTACAGGCATGCGCCACCATGCCCAGCTAATTTTTGTATTTTTAGTAGAGACGGGGTTTCACCATGTTGGTCAGGCTAGTCTCGAACTCCTGACCTCGTGATCCACCTGCCTTGGCCTCTCAAAGTGCTAGGATTACAGGTGTGAGCCACCATGCCTGGCTGCATCTTTTCTTATATTGCAGTTCCTGATCTTTCCTTGCCACACAGGATTAGGTTTTTTGTCACCTCACATGAGCTTGAGTAGATGTAATGGCAGACTTACACTGGGGTATCTGATGAACTGGGACCTGTAGGTGCTAATTCACCTTGTTCCCAAGGCTGTATTAATTTGCTAGGGCTCCCATGACAAAGTACCATATGCTGGGTGACTCAAACACAAAAATTAATTTTCTTACAGTACTAGGGTCTAGAAGTCCAAGATCAAGGTTTCGGCAGGGTTGATTTCTTCTGAAGCCTCTCTCCTTGGCTTGTAGAGGGCTATCTTTTCCCTCTGTCTTCACATAGTCTCCACTTTGTGTGCACCTATGTCCTACTCTCTTTTTTTTTTTTATGGACATGAGTTATATTTGGTTAGGGCCCATCCATATGACCTCAGTTTTACTTTCACTACCTCTGTAAAGCCTTATCTCCAAATACAGTCACTTTCTGAGGCATTGAGATCTAAGACTTCAACATGTGAATTTAGGGGGATACAATTAAGTCCATCACACAGCCTCATCTTTTCTCACAATGAATTGCTTCTGGAGCCTCTTACCTGTTCATCCGTTCTCCAGTTTCCCTCTCCTTCAATTCTGCTTCCACATAGTAGCCAAAGTACACTTTCTAAAAAGGAAGGTTGGTCTTGTCACTCTGCTTCTTTAAATCAGCCAGTGGCTCCCCATTGCTTTCAGGATATAGTTTTAAGATTCCTGGCACTTAGCATAGTATCTGACACAAAAGATATACTTAATAAAGGCCTAATGAGCAAATGAGTAAATAAATGAATGAACACATTATGGAAATTAAAGGAGGTTGCAATCTTGGAGATCAACCAAAGAACAGGTAATTCAAAAAGTCATTTCTATTTGGCTTAAAAATGCATATTTGTGATTTTTTTCAGGAGATTAACTTTCCTATCTATGTTCGAATAAGGTTATTTAAATGAATTCACATTCCCTGAAACATAGCTGGCAATATTTGTGCCTGAATTTCACCAGGTCCTCAGCTACCCTGATGCATCCATACCTAACTTATTGTCAATGGGTGAGAAATGGAGTGAATCGAGTAGGTTTTATGCTCACAGTTACCACTGAGCTCATCTATGGAGGCAGGGGTCTGCCATCTTCCAACGTCTTTATAACAAGGGATAGCAAACACAATAATGATGATTCGGTTAGCTTTTGTCTCTGTCTGCTCCACCCTCTCAGTGTCATTTTCAGTCCTCATCCTTGGGCAATGGCCCTGCTCCAACTCCCATACTCCAATATGCCAAAGCCTTGAGTACACAGGATTAAGAACATAGGAAGATGAATCCAAACGCATTATAAGGAGTGAGTTAATGTTGTTTTGATATTAACACTCTACCTTGAGTACTCCAGACAGTGGGTAGTCTGCAAGTAGACAACTGAGAGTAACTAACCATGAAAACTTTGTTCTCTTCCTTTATTAATATTTATCAAGCCAGAAACTCAAATCAAGGGTAGAAAATATAATTTTAAAAAATCAAATTTGTTAATATGGAATGACAGCTGGAGTTCTAACAGTTTAACCAATAAAACAATTTTGTGTTTATATGATAATTACTGCCAGCATAAATGGTCTTGTTAATTGCTTTTATTTGTTAGTGAGCAGTTTCCAAATTCACAAATATTTGTTCTTAATATTAACCAAGACCTTTGGGAAATTTTCAATAAAGTTTGGAAAGACATTGCAATAAAAGACTCCATTACTTCTGCAAATTCATCTCATTTTCTTTTCTATTGGATATTTCTACAGCTGCTCAATTTCTGTTTGGATATTTCTTCAATGATTTAAGGTCTGGTCTACAAGAAACTATGATTCAATTCAAACATATGTTTTATAGAATTCATACAGAATATAACTGGGTCTTCTCAGAAATATCATTTTCCTCATTTTTTTGGTATGAAAAATTCTATTTTTAAAAGTGCATTTATCATTTTCTCTCTTCCAAATGCCTTATGTCATTTTTATTCAATTTCATGAAGTAAATTGCTATCATTATCCTTACTGCTATATTAAGAAATTAAGAAAGAGTTTAAGTAGTTTTACAAAGATCACATAGAAATCCAAATCTCTGCTTATTAAAGCATCATTTATTCAAGGAGCAGTATCTCATGATTTTTAAATTAACAAATCCCATGATATGTAATGTAGATGATTCATACTATAACCTAATATTTTAAGTCATTAATTAAGTCAAGAATTTAGCCCCACATTATGCTAAGCATGTAGAGTAACAACTCTGTGCTGCTTGTTCTATTCCATCTCCATCTTAGTAATCAAAATGCACTTACGCACCCAGCTCTTGACCTTCCATAGCAGAAACTGAACCAAAGGAAAGCTGTAGACCCTTCTTTTGGGAGGAGTTCCAAACTGTGAGTGGGCATTTGTTTTCCATCACTGACCCCAACTGCTGCCTAACTCTATTTCTCCACCCTTACCCTTCTCCTCAAATAAATACTGCCAGGCATAAACAGGTATATGTTTATGCCTGTTTATGGCATAAACAGCCCCATATAACACCAGCCCCATATATTTCAAATACTCAGCATATCCCTATCCTGCCTTCATTCCAAAGAATGTACTGGAATCTGCTAACTTATTTCATAACTAAAAACAAATCTTTTGTTTGTTTGTTTGTTTTTGAGACAGAGTTTTGCTCTTGTCATCCAGGCTGGAGTGCAATGGTGAGATCTTGGCTCACTGCAACCTCCGCCTCCCAGATTCAAGTGATTCTCCTGCTTCAGCCTCCCAAGTAGCTGGGATTACAGGTGCCTGCCACCACGCCAGGCTAATTTTGTTGTATTTTTAGTAGAGTCGGGGTTTCACCATGTTGGCCAAGCTGGTCTCGAACTCCTGACCTCAGGTAATCCACCTGCCTAGGCCTCCCAAAGTGCTGGGATTACAGGTGTGAGCCACCACGTCCAGCCTTAAAAGCAAATCTTAAAATGCAATGACCCCGGGAGGAGTTAGCTTTTAAGGTAGGATCTTTTGGCTATTGGCATAAGAAAAAAAAGTCAGTTCCACTTAGTGACATTTTAAGAGCCAAGAATTTTTTTTTTAAGATAGTAGCAGGGTAAACCAGAAAGATCACTAGATGTAAAGGCAAAATACCTGGATTCTACTTCCTCTTAACCTCTCTATATCTCAGCTTCTCTTCTGCGAAATGATGGCATTGAACTAGCTAGTCTCTAAGGATTCTTTTAGCTTTAGCTTTCTATGTTTTACACTTATGCTAAGAACATAGTAGATGTTCATTATAATAATGAAAAATTGGAAATCACTTCAATGTTCATCAAAATGGGATTGGTTAAACCAATTATGGTGTGAACGCATGCACACACACACACACACATAAATTCTATGTAGTCATTTAAGTGATGTGGTTTTATGCTTACTGATAGGGAAAGATGTCATGGCATACTGTTGATTTTTTTTAAGTAGGCTCTAAATAATTTCTATTTGATTAAGAAATAAGACATTTCATATCAGGAAAGATACTCCAAAAAATCTAAGTGATTTCTAGATGGTGAGATTTAGAGTAATTCTTACTTCCTTCTCTATTTTGCTATAAGGTTTGGGTATTTCATAAGCATAGAATATTTTATAATAAATAATAAAGTTGTTTTCAATGTGGGGGAAAATATAGTTAAATATAAATAGCAGATATGAGATCCTTACCTGCGAACAAGCTTTGATAGAGAGGATGGTGAGAACAAGAACAAAACAGCAGTGAACTAAAGGAAAACAAGGTCTGAATATTCTCATCAATAACTCAGATAATGAAATAACCGTGCCCCAAAGGTTAGAAAAAAAAAACTATTCTTTTTATACAAAACCGGCACAGCTGATCTGTTTTGCTCATTCAGGGATCTAATCAAAACCAGCACAGCTGATCTGTTTTGCTCATTCAGGGATCCCATCGCCAGTGTGGAAGATGGAGTTGCCTGACTCATGCTCAGCCCCTTACCAGTCCACCCCATGAGCAATGGGAAGACCTGTCGAGTCATCACACTGGCCATTAGACCAACCTGAGGCTATGGAAAGAAACAATCCTTACTTCGTTTTATGCTGCTATAACAGAATACTATGGATTGGGTAATTTATAATAAACAGAATTTATTTGGCTCATGGTTCTGGAGGCTGGGAAGTCCAAGATTATGGCACCAACATGTGGCGAAGGCCTTCTTGCTGCATCATCTCGTGGTGGAAAGGTGGAAGGGCAAGAGAGCGAACAAACGTGAGGGCAAAAGGTGCTGTTCTTATCAAACCCACTCTCCTGATAATGAATGCCCTCCTAAGATAATAACATGAATGCATTTATGGGGGCAGAGCCCTCATGACCTAATAACTCCCTCAAGATCCCACCTGTCTGGACGGATTGTTTGAGCTCAGGAATTCAAAACCAGCCTTGAGAACATGGCAAAACCCAGTCTCTACAAAAAAAAATTAAAAATTAGCTGGGCATGGTTGTACATGCCTGTAGTCCCAGCTACTCAGGAGGCTGGGGTGGGAGGATCACCTGAGCCTGGGAGGCCGAGGCTGCAGCAAGCCGAGATCACACCACTGCACTCCCACCTGGGCAACAGAGTAAGACTCTGTCTCGAAAAAAAAAAAAAAAAAAACCACCTGTCAACACTGCTGCATTGGGGATTAAGTCTCCAACACATGAACTTTGGGGAACACATTCAAACCATAGCAAACCCTAACCATTTTATGACAGGATTGATCTTATAACTTTGTTTTCTTTACTATTGTGCTTTAATTATTTGAGTTTCCTAAGGTTGCCTAATTAACCTTGATAACTATATTTATTACTCAAATAAACATCAAAAAATGCAGAACAAATTATAAGATAGGTTAACTATCAAGTGGGAATTCATACAAGATAAGTCAGCAAAAGAAGAAGAATAAGCTTTTTTTTTTCTTTTCTTTTCTTGAGAGACAGAGTCTTGTTATGTTACCCAGGCTGGTTTCAAACTCTTGAGCTCAAGGAATCCTGCCATCTCAACCTCCCAAGCAGCTAGGACTACAGGTGTGAGGCACTGCACACAGCTGAGAATAAGCTTCTTACATGCAAAATGGTGGCCTGGGTGCAGTGGCTCACACCTGTAATCCTAGCACTTCAGGAAGCCAAGGTGGTAGATCACTTGAGGTCAGGAGTTCAAGACCAGCCTGGCCAACATGGTGAAACCCTGTCTCTACATCTCTACTAAAAATACAAAATAAAATACGTGGTGGTGTGTGCCTATAATCCTGGCTGAGGTGGGAGAATCACTTGAACCCAGGATGCAGAGGTTGCAGTAAGCCGAGATCGTGCCACTGCACTCCAGCCTGGGCGAAGGAGTGAGACTCTAGCTCAAAAAAAAAAAAAAAAGCAAAATAGTGAATAAGTTTTGAAGTTGAAAATTGGTAGAAAAAAAAAATCTTGTGGGAAATCATAAAGACAGGTCACTACTGTGGTTGTTATCAGTCAAAAAGTGTGTGGCGTAGTTGCAACACCCAGTATGGGGATCTGGATCTCTATGTGGGATGGGCGATCTGAGTGTCCAAACGGGATCTAAACTTCTCTACTTGAGGAATCTTCCTGTTGCTGACTTAAATGATTGTTAGTAGTATATTATTTGCTTTTTGCCATTTGTATCATACCTTTCATACTCAAATTCCTTGACTCAATTTGGGAATCAATGGCTATAGAGGTTAACTAAGGAGTTAGCGAGTGCATAGAGAAGCTATGAAAATAGAGAATAGAGAAGCTATGAGAATAGAGAAGCTATGCTCACAAGGAAGAGAATTTCTGAGGTTTAGACTCAGAGCAGCTCAGGAAGTCAACTGGTCTCTGCCTACTGGAAGTGCTGGAGGCATGCAAGGACCATGACCAGAAACTCTAAGTGGAGCCACAACAAGTCAAGAACAGCATGCACATAATTTACAGTTTATCTCTCACTAACTCATTATTTATTTTACTTGTTATATTCTGCTTACTGAAGGGATTTTTGAAGGTGTTCTTGTGATTTATTTACCAGAACAAAGTTCTGTATCAGTCTTCTCTTCCCAACTAAATTGTATAATGCTTGATACTTTAAAAAGTTTCTCTTCTATTGCCCAAGATCCCTAGTATGATACTAAACAATGATAGGTGGATAGGGCATACGCAAAAATAATGCTGAAGATTTTAATACGCATAAGTACACAGCATAAGTACATAGTTTCTACTAGTTGCTTTAATGAATAAAGCTATGTTACAGATTCTAGCTCATCTCCTGGATCCCACATAAGACATGGTGACCATATGTTCCAGTTTGCGCAAAACAGGTTTGCACCTGTTATCCTGGCATAATCGTTAATAGTGCTCCCTTGGCACTCTCAAAAATGTACTGGTTTGGACAATAAATTATACAATGACCTTATTGATCAGCTGCCCCCCAGGGGCTTCCCAGTAATTTCCAATGTACAAAAAGTAATTTTGCCTTAACAGTGAAGGAAAGCTTTATGGCAAAAGACAACCACAAAGTACAAAGTTAAAATTACATTAACTACTTACTATTTCCTATGTAAGATGGTTTATCTCTATGTAAATGTGAGCCAACTCTGCCCTCTGCTGTCTTATGACAGTATTATGACACTGTTTCAGCTTCATTGATTGAAGCTGATTGTGTTAGTCGTGCTGACTACCTTAGATTGTGGATTCTCATCTTTGCCTACTGCTATATTAGCTTTTAAAAATCCCCACTGTCTATGCTGCATCCTACACCAGTAAATCAGAATCTCTCAGGATGGGACCCAATCATGAATTTTTGTAAGCTCCCCAGTTGATTTCAATGTGCAACTAAGGTTAAGAACGGTTGCTTAGAACATCAGATTGAATAGTCTGTTGTGGTTCACTTAGCTATTTGATTTCACAGTCCAGATTAGACTATACTCCTAATTATGTCTGGGAATCCTTGGAGATTGGAAGAAAAAGATGAGTATATCAGAACAAATCTCAGCCAGGCATGGTGGCTCGCCCCTGTAATCCAAGCACTTTGGGAGGCCAAGGTGGGCAGATCACCTAAGGTCAGGAGTTTGAGACCAGCCTAGCCAACATGGTGAAACCCCGTCTCTACTAAAACTACAAAAATTGGCTGGGCGTGGTGGTGCATGTCTGTCATCCCAGCTACTCAGGAGGCTGAGGCAGGATAATCACTTGAACCCAGGAGGTGGAGGTTGCAGTGAGCTGACATTGCACCACTGCACTCCAGCCTGGGCGACAGAGTGAAACTCCATCTCAAAACAAAAACAAAACAAAACAAAACAAAACAAACAAAACAGCATTTTAAAAAGCTGTTCTAGCTGGGCGCAGTGGCTCACATCTGTAATCCCAGCACTTTGGGAAGCCAAGGCAGGTGGATCATCTCAGGTCAGGAGTTCGAGACCAGCCTGGCCAACATGGTGAAACCCTGTCTCTACTAAAAGTACAAAAAAAATCAGCCAGGTGTGGTGGCACGTGCCTGTGGTCCCAGCTACTTGGGATGCTGAGGCAGGAGAATCGCCTGAACCCGGGAGGTGGAGGTTACAGTGAGCCAAGATCAAAAGCCACTGCACTCCAGCCTGAGCAAGAGAGCTACACTCCATCTCAAAAAAAAAAAAAAAAAAAAAAAAAGCCATTCTAAGGGATGGTGTTTTCCTTGTGTATAAAAATATTTTTTTACTTATAGTGATGATAGGGACAGTACGTACTGAAAAAGCTCAGCCCTATTTCTTTGATGATGGAATTATCTGCTGATGAAGCTCCAGAACAGCCAAGAAAGTTGGATGAGAAGACAGGGGCAAATGAGGTAGAGACTATTGCATTAAACAACTGCTTCCTTTTTCTTGAATGTTCAGAGACTTGTTAATGGAGTTTATCATATGGAAAAGCACTGATGTGAAAGCTCAAGGAATCTCCTGGGTGGAAGTTGCACTAATTAGAACATTAACTAAATTAAATCACTGGGGAAGAGTGAATCCCAAAGGGAATACGATAGAAAGGAGAAAGATACAGAAAAATTATTAATAATCCATGAGAGAGAGGAAGAAGGAGAGACAGCTTTTGCAGAAAACTGACCAAGAAGCAGGTTTTTAATAGTAAGCCAGAAGTTTACTTCCCATTCCCTTTTTCTAAAGTTTATCAGGAAAAGCTAATGGATCTAGCACTTCAAATTGGCACTGTTATAAGAGATTTTATTCCTCTTAAAATAAATTCTTATCTAAAACTGTAGGATTGGCCAGAAATGTTGGCATGAGAAAGAAGGGTTCATTAAAGAATTTTCTTTTTTTTTTTTTTTTTTTTTTTTTTGATGAGCAAACTGCATTTATTTACTCTCCGATTGTTATTACTTACATAAACTCATTCTCATTGTTCAATGGATACATTTTTCTATCTGTGAGGATTATTTGAGTGTCTTGAGTTGGAAGGGAGAGCATCATAATTTATTCCCTAAAAATGTTTAAAAAAGATATGTTTTCATTTAACAGCTTTTCACTTGGGCTCGTGAAAAGTCCACAGCTCAGCAAGCATATGGCAGGCTTTCATTTTCAGGAAGAATGAAAGTTGTTAAGTGAGGGAGAGGTGCACAGGATAAAGCCATGTGCCACCTCCTCCTCTGGTTCTGAGACTCCTCTGCTATCACCAGGCAGAGCAATCTCTCCTTGTCCAGAGTTGTTACTTCCTTTGATAATCCAAGTAGGGCAAGGCCAGCTTCTTCTCACTTCGTGCTCTTTTTTTTTTTTTTTTTTTTTTTATTTTTTATTTTTATTGATCATTCTTGGGTGTTTCTCGCAGAGGGGGATTTGGCAGGGTCATAGGACAATAGTGGAGGGAAGGTCAGCAGATAAACAAGTGAACAAAGGTCTCTGGTTTTCCTAGGCAGAGGACCCTGCGGCCTTCCGCAGTGTTTGTGTCCCTGGGTACTTAAGATTAGGGAGTGGTGATGACTCTTAACGAGCATGCTGCCTTCAAGCATCTGTTTAACAAAGCACATCTTGCACCGCCCTTAATCCATTTAACCCTGAGTGGACACAGCACATGTTTCAGAGAGCACAGGGTTGGGGATAAGGTCACAGATCAACAGGATCCCAAGGCAGAAGAATTTTTCTTAGTACAGAACAAAATGAAAAGTCTCCCATGTCTACTTCTATCCACACAGACCCGGCAACCATCCGATTTCTCAATTTTTTCCCCACCCTTCCCGCCTTTCTATTCCACAAAACCGCCATTGTCATCATGGCCCATCCCCAATGAGCCGCTGGGCACACCTCCCAGACGGGGTCGTGGCCGGGCAGAGGGGCTCCTCACTTCCCAGTAGGGGCGGCCCGGCAGAAGTGCCCCTCACCTCCCAGATGGGGCGGCTGGCCGGGAGGGGGGCTGACCCCCCCACCGCCCTCCCGGACGGGGCGGCTGGCCAGGCAGAGGGGCTCCTCACTTCCCAGTAGGGGCGGCCGGGCAGAGGCGCCCCTCACCTCCTGGATAGGGCGGCTGGCCGGGCGGGGGGCTGTTCCCCCCACCTCCCTCCCGGACGGGGCGGCTGGCCGGGCAGAGGGGTCCTCACTTCCCAGTAGGGGCGGCCGGGCAGAGGCGCCCCTCACCTCCCGGACGGGGCGGCTGGCCAGGCAGGGGGCTGATCCCCCCACCTCCCTCCCGGACGGGGCGGCTGGCCGGGCGGGGGGCTGACCCCCCCCACCTCCCTCCCGGACGGGGCGGCTGGCCGGGCAGAGGGGTCCTCACTTCCCAGTAGGGGCGGCCGGGCAGAGGCGCCCCTCACCTCCCGGACGGGGCGGCTGGCCAGGCAGGGGGCTGATCCCCCCACCTCCCTCCCGGACGGGGCGGCTGGCCGGGCGGGGGGCTGACCCCCCCCACCTCCCTCCCGGACGGGGCGGCTGGCCGGGCAGGGGGCTGACCCCCCCTCCCCCCTCCCGGACGGGGCGGCTGGCCGGGCGGGGGGCTGACCCCCCCACCTCCCTCCCGGATGGGGCGGCTGGCCAGGCGGGGGGCTGACCCCCCCACCTCCCTCCTGGGCGGGGCGGCTGGCCGGGCAGAGGGGCTCCTCACTTCCCAGTAGGGGCGGCCGGGCAGAGGCGCCCCTCACCTCCCGGACGGGGCGGCTGGCCAGGCGGGGGGCTGACCCCCCACCTCCCTCCCGGACTGGGCGGCTGGCCGGGCGGGGGGTTGACCCCCCCACCTCCCTCCTGGACGGGGCGACTGGCCGGGCAGAGGGGCTCCTCACTTCCCAGTAGGGGCGGCCGGGCAGAGGAGCCCCTCACCTCCCGGCCGGGGCGGCTGGCCGACCCCCCCCCCCCGCCTCCCTCCCGGACGGGGCGGCTGGCCGGGCAGAGGGGCTCCTCACTTCCCAGTAGGGGCCGCCGGGCAGAGGAGCCCCTCACCTCCCGGACGGGGCGGCTGGCCGGGCGGGGGGCTGACCCCCCCCACCTCCCTCCCGGACGGGGTGGCTGCCGGGCGGAGACGCTCCTCACTTCCCAGACGGGGTGGTTGCCAGACGGAGGGGCTCCTCACTTCTCAGACGGGGCGGTTGCCAGGCAGAGGGTTTCCTCACTTCTCAGACGGAGCGGCCGGGCAGAGACACTCCTCACCTCCCAGACAGGGTTGCGGCCCAGCAGAGGCGCTCCTCACATCCCAGACAGGGCGGTGGGGCAGAGGTGCTCCCCACATCTCAGACGATGGGCGGCCGGGCAGAGACGCTCCTCACTTCCTAGATGGGATGGCGGCGGGGAAGAGGCGCTTCTCGCTTCCTAGATGGGATGGCGGCCGGGCAGAGACGCTCCTCACTTTCCACACTGGGCAGCCAGGCAGAGGGGCTCCTCATATCCCAGACGATGGGTGGCCAAGCAGAGACGCTCCTCACTTCCCAGATGGGGTGGCGGCCGGGCAGAGGCTGCAATCTCGGCTCTTTGGGAGGCCAAGGCAGGCGGCTGGGAGGTGGTTGTAGCGAGCCGAGATCACGCCACTGCACTCCAGCCTGGGCACCATTGAGCACTGAGTGAACGAGACTCCATCTGCAATCCCAGCACCTCGGGAGGCCGAGGCTGGCGGATCACTCGCGGTTAGGAGCTGGAGACCAGCCCGGCCAACACAGCGAAACCCCATCTCCACCAAAAAAAAACGAAAACCAGTCAGGCGTGGCGGCGCGCGCCTGCAATCGCAGGCACTCGGCAGGCTGAGGCAGGAGAATCAGGCAGGGAGGTTGCAGTGAGCCGAGATGGCAGCAGTACCGTCCAGCTTTGGCTCGGCATGAGAGGGAGAGGGAGACGGGAGAGGGAGAGGGAGACGGGAGAGGGAGAGGGAGACGGGAGAGGGAGAGGGAGACGGGAGAGGGAGAGGGAGACGGGAGAGGGAGAGGGAGACGGGAGAGGGAGAGGGAGACGGGAGAGGGAGAGGGAGACGGGAGAGGGAGAGGGACAAGAATTTTCATAGTGGGAATCTGGATAAAAATCTCCTGTGAAAATAGCAGAGGCCTCCAAAAGAAGGCGTGAAAAGGAAGATGTATGTGGCAGATGGTGAGGTCTTTGTACATCATGTGTGTGATCTCATTATTTTGTTCTTCAATTAAGCTGAAGGCAAGACTGGTAGCAAAGTGGGGACAAGGTAGAGGTTTGGAAGTAGCATCAGGAACTATCCTAAATGATTCTTTGACTGGTTCTGTTGTCTATGAAACAACTACTGGTACTTTAAAAAATTCCTTTGCAAGTAATGAGTTAGGACAAAGTAAAAACATTGCTGTAGAAGTAGTGATTCATAAGAATGGTTCTTACTCTTTCTGGGTAACAAACTCCTGTATGTAATGAAAGCTATGCACCCTCTCTACAGAGAAAAATATACATTTATACACAAATACTTAATTTTATATATAGTTCCATCCTGGTTTAAGAACACTTGATTTATAAAATAATCTTCTGTAAGTAGAGTTATGATTAAAATTATTATTTTAAAAGATTTAGTAAGAGTTTATATTTGTAAATCTTTCAATTGAGCATTCCATAAACTAGATTAAACAGTAAAAACTGCCTGTCTTCTAGCTACCTAAAATGCAACAAATAATGTTTGTATAGCCATATAAGGACATACATGTGTTACATCAAAGAAAAAAAAAAGCATGTGTCTTGATAGGAAAGGATAAGAACATCTTGAGAAATGGTAAGCAATGGCAGAGTTATTTAAGGGCAACCCACAACCTCTTTTCAATATAGTCAGGAAATTTTAGAAAAATTATTGAATGCCCCATGTGCAAGGCGGAGATCGGAGATGAGGACCATATGGTCTTTGTCCTCAGGCTGCATTCACTCTAGTGGGGTGGAGATAGGAGAAGGAAACAAATGATTCTAATATAAGGCAGCATTTGTTAAATGCCATATAAAAATTACAAAGCAAATTCTGGGGAGAGGGTTCAGACAGCAAGATCACACTTAACAGGAAATGAAAAATGAAGGCCAGGCATGGCGGCTTATGCCTGTAATCCCACTACTTTGGGAGGCTGAGGCAGAAGGATTGCTTGAGTCCAGAAGTTTGAGGCAACATATTGAAACCCTGTCTCTAAGAAACAGCAACAACAAAAAATTAGCCAGGCATGGTGGTGCATGCCTGTAGTCCCGGCTACTCAGGGGGCTGAGGTGGGAGGATCACTTAAGGCTGGAAGGTTGAGGCTGCAGTGAGCCAGGTTCATGCTACTGCATTGCAGCCTGAGTGACTGTCTCAAAAAAAAGAGACCCTGTCTCAAAAAACAAGCAAAAATGACCCTCACACCTTCTTTTTCCCGCTTTTGTGTGTAAATTACTTGTTGTTTTTTAATAGGAAAATGTCATATGGCCACTCCAAATAGAAGGACTAGGTGACACATTTTTATGCCTGTAAATCAGTTTATATATATGGAAAGTATAGAAATTAAGACAGAAGAGGTGAACCACGGCCACATTGTGGCTGGCTTTAACAGTCAGGTAGAGGAACCTGTGCCTAATTCAGTTGACAATGGTAATTCGTTGAAGGCTTTTATCAAGGCACAGATAGGATCAGTACTGTGCTTTAGGAAAATTAAGCTAGCAGCAGTATGTAGGATGGCTAGAGTGAAGAGAGATAGGAGACAGACTATTATAGTCATCAAGGGGAGAAGTAACCGGGGCCTGAACGATGGTGGCTGGGAAAGTGGAAAGCATGAGGATGTCAGGCTGGGGAATCTGTAGGCCACTGAAGGTTTTTAAACTGGGGAGTGCACTGGGGGCTTTAGAAAACTCTCGAAAAAAAACAAACAGGCTGGGTGCAGTGGCTTATCATGTCTGTAATCCCAGCACTTTGGGAGGCTAAGCCAGGAGGATTGTTTAATCCCGGAGTTTGAGGCTGCAGTGAGCTATGATGACACCACTGCACTCCAGACTGGGTGATAGAGCAAGACCCTGTCTCTAAAAACAAGCAAACAAAAAACAAGCAAGCAAAAAATCTTCTTCAGTATTTTAGAGATATCCTCTTCTAACCTAAATTTCTGCCTGAATAGAAAAGGGCCCCAGCTACATGAAGGAGATTAAGTCCATTTTAATCTTTTGATAAGTAACTATTGAATCCTTTATCAGATCTTGTCCTATCTGTATTTTCTTCTTCCCTTGATGTAGTAAACTTCTTGCATAGAATTCAGAGGAAAAAGGTACTGCGAGCAATTTGAAAAATCAGAATTTATTCTAAGCAAATAAAGGGCTATCTATAGTCCAACATGTAACATAAACTCCTTATCATATATATTTTTAAAAATCCTTCCTTGGCCAAGAGTAGTGGCTCACACTTGTAATCCCAGCACTTTGGAAGGCTGAGGCAGGAGGATCACTTGAACCCAGGAGTTTAAGACCAGCCTGAGCAACATGGCAAGACTGTCTCTAAAAAAATTTTTTTTAATTAGCTGGGCATGGTGGCACACACCTGTAGTCCCAGCTACATGGGAGGCTGAGGTTAGAGGATCGCTGGGGCCCAGGAGGTTGAGGCTGCAGTGAGCCTTGGTGGTGCCACTGCACTCCAGCCTGGGTGACAGAGCAAGACCCAGTCTCAGGAAAAGGAAAAAAAATTCTTTCTTAGTAGTGGCTATTCCTTGAACTTTCATCCCATTTTTCTCTTCTTTTACTGCCAAATTTCTCACAAAATCAGCCTTCATTCATTATCTACCTTGACTTGCCACCTACTCATCCCTCACCCTTAAAACATGGAGCACATCTATAAAACCACAATAAAATCATACCCTCTAAAGTCCACAGCGTCATCCTCACCACCAAAAACTATTAATTTTCTCAATTTTCATCTTCTTTGACCTCCTTCCGGCATTTGGCCCTGTAGACCAACCTCTCCAGCTTGAAATGTTCTTTTCCTTTTGCCGTCTTGACGTACCACACTGTCTTTTTACTTCCACCTCTGGGATCTCTTCTGCTATGTTTCCAACCTATATTCCTATCTACTCTACCAATAAAATTGCAACCCAAGTGATAATCTTGGGCTGTCTGCCACTTATGATCTTGAAGGAAAACACTTTTTCATTCAATTATTCAATGCTCCACAGAATTCCTAAATCCACATCTCTAGTCATGATCTCCTGTCTCAGCTGCAACTTAATATTTCCTACTGGATATTTCCAAATGGATGTCTGAAACTCATCTTGTCTAGAACAGAGCTTATCTTTCCCCTCAAAGTTAAGTCCTCCCTCCTCTCAACTTCTCCACATTCATCAATGATACCATCATTTTCTCAGTGACTCAGGTTTGAAATCTTGAGTCCTTCTTGACTGTTCCCTCTTCTTGCATTGTTGGCCAGTTACCAAACTCTTATCAATCCTGCCTTTGCAAATTCTCTCAAGTCTCTTTTCCTTTCCCTTTCCCACTGCCACTACTGTAGCTCAGACTCATCATTTCTCTCCTATGCATTCCCAATAGTTTTGAAACTAGTTCTTCTCCTTCGTCTTCCTTTTCCTTTTAATACATTCAACAGTTTCATTGGGAATATTATTCTTTTAAAAATATATTGTTGTAGGTATCATTTCCTTATTCAAAACTCTTCAGTTAGATTCCTATCACCTATAGGATGAAAGTTACATATCTTAACCTGGCATTTAATATCCTCCACTATCTGCTTCTTACTTCTTTTTATTCTTTAAAAAAATTTTTTTAATTGAGATGGGGACTTGCTCTGTCACCCAGGCTGGAATGCAGTAGCGTGATCTTAGCTCACTGCAGCCTCAACCTCTTGGGGTCAAGTGATCCTTCTGCCTCAGCCTCCCAAGTAGCTGGGACTACAGGCATGCACCACCACAACCAGCTAATACTTATTTCTATTCTTACCTCACACAAATCCTTTACACAAATTCTCTTCTCCAGCTAATTTTCCAATTGCTCCCAAATATGACATACCCTTAGAGCTGACACTTGCACATTCCAGAGGACACTATTCACAGAGAATATAATGTGAACAGTGTCCCCTGGAGTAGTGCAGTGACTGTACTTTATTCCCATGTTCCTTTTGGTGCCTTTGTTCTTTTTTTTTTTTTTTTTTTTTTTGAGATGGTGTCTCACTCTGTTGCCCAGGCTGGAGTGCAGTGGCGCGATCTCAGCTCACCGCAACCTCTGCCTCCTGGGTTCAAGTGATTCTCCTGCCTCAGCCTCCTGAGTAGCTGGCTAATTTTTTTTTTTTTTTTTTTTTTTTTTGGTAGAGATGGGATTTCACTATGTTGGCTAGGCTGGTCTTAAACTCCTCACCTCAGGTGATCTGCCCGCCTCAGCCTCCCAAAGTGCTGAGATTACAAGCATAAGCCACCACGCCTGGCTGGTGCTTTTGTTCTTGGTCTTCTTCGTATAGACTACTTGCCCCTTGCCTCTGCCCTAACTCTTCCTTCAAGGCCCAGCTCAAGTTCTACGAGTTCCATGAACTCACCACCCACTGCCCCAGCCATTGATAATCACCCCCTCCTCTTGATTCCTAGATTAGTGGTCTGTACGTATGGTGACCATATAATTTATCATCCAGATTGTATATTTGCTTGTTAAAAGGGTCACAATTACTCTGAAACCACAGGTATGAACTGGGACTGTCCAGGACAAGCTGGGCCATATGGTCAACCTACTTATATATTACCCTTTGGCACTTGGTATGTGTTATCTGGTAGTTTTTATTTGTTTGTTAAAATGTATGTATGTATTTAAATGCATATATCTAATCTCCTCAAGATAGTAAATCATCCGAGTATAAATTATGTATTCTCTCTGTGTGTTCTCCTGGTGCCTGGCCAGCGTCTTACACATAATATACACTAAAAGTTGTTTGTTCATCATGATGATGTCTTTACTCTGTTGTTTAGGAATGAAACATGGGTTAGGAATAAACCTTCAAATCAGAAAATTCACTACCCAATTTTCCTTCTGGCAAAAAGACAAAAACCTCTATGTCCCCAGAAACAGATAGTGACATCAAAAAATGTCCTCAAGATTTTGCTGAGGACTGGATTGAGGCCTCTGGCACAAGGCTCTGCCCTGTTGCCTTGTTGCTGAATAATGTCATTCGTCTGTATCTTGACGCATCCTCTTTGCATTGCTTTGTCACACAGCAGAAAGATAACAGCCCCAACCAGAGGACTTACAGAAATCAAATCAAAATAAAATTATTTCTAAGGAAATGCTGTGGTGGTTAACTTACCTGAAACCAAATGCTTGGAAGTCTTGACTTGCTTGACTTATTTTGCTTAATTAACACCTGGCCCCAGTTCAGCATTATCCCTGCTCAACCACCAGGAACTAAAGAAAGAGAAGGAAGAAGATCTAAAAACCAAAAGAAAGACAGCAGTCATGAGAGCGAACGCTCTGAAAATGAACTAGAACACAAACTAAAAAACGAAAGACATGTGGGTAAGAGATAATTAGGACAGAATCATCTCTCAGGAGTAAACACTTAACAAAATAATGCAACAAAAGAGTAGCAGGTCAGAATCACATGGGCGTGTGAGTCGATGTTGAAAAGCCCCAGAAGGGAACACCATTTTGTTCAAACTACTGACAGCTTGGGCCTTTTTAAAATTCCTCCTACCAAATAGGTGATGATAGTAGCATTCATTGATTTGTACATGGATGATATAAGGATGTTTCCCTTTGACTACTCCTCTAAAATTTGGTTCTCAGAGAGAGATTTCACCTGTAAATGTCTGGTCTAGCATTTTTGCTTGTATCTGCGAGAGTCTCCGAGCCCCTCATAACATCAGTAGTCTTAATACGCACAATAATCTGTCTAGAGATTCTCTAAATATTCTCAAGTTTGATAAAGAGCTTCTTAGAGTCTGAGCAACGTAATGAGAACTTGTCTCTACTAAAAACAACAACAACAACAACAACAACAACAATTAGCCAGGCAAAGTGGTGTGCACCTGTAATCCTAGCTACTCAGGAGGCTAAGGCTGGAGGATGGCTTGAGCCCGGGAGGCAGAAGTTGCAGTGTGCCGAGATCACGCCACTGCACTCCAGTTTGGGCAACAGTGAGGGAACATCACACACACACACACACACACACACACACACACACACACATACGGCTCATTAGAAAAGATAAAAGATGGCCAGGTGCGGTGGCTCACATCTGTAATCCTAGCACTTTAGGAGACTGAGGCGGGCGAATCACCTGAGGTCAGGAGTTCGAGACCAGCCTGGCCAACATGGCAAAACCCTGTCTCTACTAAAAATACAAAAATTAGCTGGGCGTGGTGGCCCACATCTATAATCCCAGCTACTTGGGAGGCTGAGGCAGGAGAATTGCTTGAACCTGGGAGGCAGAGGTTGCAATAAGCCGAGATCATGCCACTGCACTCCAGCCTGAGCAAAAGAGTGAAACTCCATCTCAAAAAAAAAAAAAAAAAAAAAAAGATAAAAGATGACTCTTAACACTTCCTTCTACTTATGATCTTTTAATACCTGGACTTCTCTGGAATTATTGGATATATTGACCTCTTGGAGTTCCCAGTTCTTCCTTTGGTTCTTTTTAACTTGAATGAAGTCATCACTTGCCTTGGAAGATTGAAGTCAGGAATAGGCAACTTAAATAGTAGATGTGCCACGAAAGTGTATTTTCTATCTCATTTGTCCTATCATTCCGCTTCCTTTTCCCTTTATCTCTCATTCCCTTCTTTCTACTTGTGATTTTCTTTCACCCTTTCCCTCTACTCCCAATCTTTCCTTGAGTATAGTTAGAGCCCTTGGTGGCAGGTAGGGTCGAACAGTGTTGATTTAAGCATTGATCTTAGATGCAAAGGAGTATATTAAGTGACTTCTTAAGACTTTTCTTAACTCTGGGATTCGGTTGCAGTTAATTACCATCCCTTGATTACTAGCCACTTGTTCTTACATCTTTATTAGGTCCATTGGAATCATCTTCATCATAGCTAACATTTATGGAATACTTAATACATATGTCAGACCGTGTGTAATGTGGATTCTCTCCTTTAATTCTCACAGCAACTCCATGAAGAAGGTGCATTCCCATTTTGCAAATGAGGGAAAGGGAACAGAGAAGTTAGTACCTTTCCCACAGTGTTTCATCACGGCTAATAAGTCACAGAGCCGGGCTGCGAGTCCACATTTGTATGTCTCCATACCACCACTTTGGTAGAAAATGTGATCCTGGTATATGGTAGGAAGAAGCTTGAGCAATTTAAAATCCATTATACAACCTTCATAAGCGCTGGGCCGAGGCATAACTATGAAGCCAATATCCCCTGACTAAAGGGTCAAAACTTTATCCTCTTCATGAAAGGATGTGACATTACTTAGATCAATGCAACCTCCCCTATGTACCACCCCTTACAAACTTGTTTCTCAGCATTTCTGCACTTTTGCACATGTTGGTCCTTGTGTCGGGGGAACACCCTGCCCAACATTCCCTAATGTCTAAGCTTAAAGAGTCTGCGGAGGGATCAACACTTCTGGAAAATCATTGCTGAGACTGTGTCCTCTCCTCTCTCTGACCTCTCCCAGGCTGCCCTTTATCTGGGCCCCAGGAGCATCCCGAAGAGCAGTTATTACACTGTATTGTGATCACTGGTTTTTCTTGCCTTGCCCCCTGACTGTGAAAGGTGGGCATGAGGCAGATACCCCAAACATTATATGAGTGAAATTGAATTCCTGAGCTTTAATATCATCATATTACTTCTTCCAGGTATATTTACATTTTGAGCACCATTCTGAATTTTGAAATGAAATGCTCTCTGATGTAGACACCTTGCCTGTGAAGGGTCACTACCTTCCTTCAGCCCAAGTTGACAAAAACCAGTATGTATGTATGTATGTATGTATGTATGTATGTATGTATGTATGTATTTAGAGGCAAGGTCTCTGTTTTCCAGGCTGGAGTGCAATGGTGCAATCAAAGCTCGCTGCAGTATCGACCTCCAAGGCTCAAGTGATCCTCCCACCTCAGCCTCCCAAGTAGCTGGGATTACAGGCACACGCCCCCACACCCACCGCCCAGTTAATTTTTGTATTTTTTGTAAAGACGGAGTCTTGCCATGTTGCCCAGGCTAGTCCTGAACTTCTGAGCTCAAGTGATCCTCCTGCCTTGGCCTCCCAAAATGCTGGGATTACAGGCATGAGCCATCACACCCAGCTGGATCCAATTATTTATAAAAGAGATACATAAAATAGTGTATAGAACCAATTGAAGGCCGGGTGTGATGGCTCACACCTGTAATCCCAACACTTTGGGAGGCTGAGGCAGGTGGATCACCTGAGGTCAGGAGTTCAAGACCAGCCTGACCACCATGGTGAAACCCCATCTCTACTAAATGTAAAAAATTAGACCGGTGTGGTGGCACATGCCTGTAATCCTAGCTACTTGGGAGGCTGAGGCAGGAGAATCGCTTGAACCTGGGAAGCAGAGGTTGCAGTGAGCCGAGATTGCGCCATTGGACTCCAGCCTGAGCAACAAGAGTGAAACTCCGTCTCAAAAAAAAAAAAAAAAAAGAACCAATTGAAGTCAGGAGGCTGTTGCTAAACTTCCAGGAATGAAGTAACAAACTGCTAAGTTTATAGGTCATTTCCTAGAGAACAAGGAGGTGTTAAATTGGATGATATTAGGGCATGTCCTTCTTGTTGAGTCATCCATGTCTTAGGCAGAATCTTTCCTCTGGTGGGCACAGAATGAAGACATGATTTAGCAATTAATTTATTGGTAATTTATTAGAACAAAAGGTATTATTCTCTAACCAAAACTCTCCTAATTTTTGTTTGTTTGTTTTCTTTCTCAAATTTCAAAACCATTGAAAGCAAAGACCTGGAGTGAACAGAGCAAAATCCAGATGAGACAGGTGGAATGGTAACTGCCTTTGGCTATGGAATTTGGAGTAAGGTGGTGGGAAGGGTGAAACTGTGTGTTCAGCTTTTGTAATCAATCAAAAAACACTTACTGAGCACTTATGTGTCAGGTATAATGCTAAATCCTGGGAAACAAGCATGATTCTCAAGTTTGCAGTCAAGAGCTGACTGCGCATACTATAATAGGGGAATTAATAAACTGTTATTGTAGGTACTTGGAAAGGGATACTAATAGGCAATCTTTATGGAGGAGGTGATGTTTGAGCCATGTCTGAGAACCTGAATATGAATTCAATAAGGAGACAAAGGGCTATTCTGGGCAGAAGGAGCAGCACACAAAAAGCTAGAAAGAGGACTTTGGTGTGGTGAGGGCCATGAGGAATTGGTGAGGTTAGAAACAGGAAATGTGGGATGACAGCAGGAAGGGAGGTAGGGAGCAGCAGGACACGGGGCTACAGAAGTAGACTGGGCCAACTTTTAAAAAGTCGTGGGTGCTGTAGGAAGGAATTTGGTCTTTATCCTGAGGGCAATAGGGAATCATGGAGCTTTTAAAGCAGTGACATACTGAGATTTATGATAATTGTTACGTTCTTGGCGCTGTCTACTGTAGTTGCTTAATAATATACCTCAGTTCTCTCAAACCTTGCTATGCACTTTCTTATTAGTTCTTTTTTTTTTGAGACGGAGCCTCGCTGTCTCGCCCAGGCTGGAGCAATGGCACAATGTCGGCTCACTGCAACTTCCACCTACCAGGTTCAAGTGATTCTCCTGCCTCAGCCTCCTGAGTAGCTGGGATTACAGGCACACGCCACCATGCCCTGCTAATTTTTTGTATTTTTAGTAGAGATAGGGTTTCACCATATTGGCCAGGCTGGTCTCGATCTCCTGACCTCAAGTGATCTGTTAGCCTTGGCCTCTCAAAGCGCTGGGATTACAGGCATGAGCCACCACTCCCAGCCCTCTCATTAGTTCTCAAAGAGGATATTGTAAAGAGAAAAAAGTACAAAGAACTAGAAGGGTTGGGAATCTGTGATTAGGTAGAAACCAAAGTAGCACTTACAAGGAAGGCTCCCTTTCTCTTTGTGCCTTGAGGTAACTTTCCAAATCCACTTCCTGGAGGAGCCTGGCCTTTCTCCTTCTCCATCTCCCGTGGTTTCCCTCCCTAACACGACCCTTTTACCACGGCATCCTCTCCAACACAACATGCTCACTCAGTTTTTCCAGTTACACACAAATCACCTTGTACAAATTTGTTAAAGTACACAGTCTCATATTATCCACTTCAGCAGACACACATTCACACATCGGGCAGTTTGAGTTATTGCCAGTCCTCTTCCTTAATTTATTATCCTCCCTTCTACCACCTCAGGCTTAAGGCCAGAGTTACTTTTCTTAAAACCCTTAAGTCATATGTAGAAACACATATACCGAAAACATTTGTGTATCATTTTATAAAGCAAGCCAATGAGGTAGGTATATTTATTATTGTCATTATTTTACAGATGAGAAAATTGAAGACCAGCCAATAAGCAACTTGTTTAGGGTCCTTGAATTATTAAGTTACAATGAGGACTAAAATCTAATGTTTTAACTGTAAATCACCATGTTATTTTCCAAATATTCCTTGCAGCTTCTATATACCCCTTCTCTATTCCAAGTCAAAACTACTCTTTTCAACACTACCCAAGTTTTTTGATTTCTATGGATTTTGTGCCTGGGTTACCTTGAAGTAAACCCTCCATCTGCTAGCCATTCTCCAGGACAAAACAGAAGTCTCTTGACTTCCCTTTCCTCACTTCCCCGGTTTCTCTAAAAATTCCAAACTCCTTTACCTCTCAGAGTCCATATAGGTGAAAGAGAATAAAAGTCTGCTCTAAGTCTTACTATGTCCTTGAGGCACACATTGCGGGGGAAAAAACCCACAATAAAATATCTGAAACCCAATTGCATTTTGATTATTAAATTCCTTCTGGCTAGTTGTGGTGACTCATGCCTGTAATCCCAACACTGTGGGAGGCTGAGGCAGGAGGGTTGCTTGAGCCCAGGAGTTCGAGACCAGCCTGGACAACACAGTGAGACTCATCTCTATATACATACATACATACATAAAATATTAAAAAATCCACCCCAATCCATGCAAGATTTGAGAGAGAATATTTCCCCAGAAGCTACCATTTAAGAGATTTCGACATACCTGGTGAAAACTTTATATGGAAATGATAATCTGTATTTGAAAAAAAGTGAGGAGAGCAAAAAAAACAGAATCAGAGGGAAATAATGGCTATTCCCTTGCTTTTAAGTGTTATATGTTTGAAAAAATGGATATGTTATTTGTAAATTTATGTTTAGTAACTAGCGGTAAACTTGAAATACTAGAATACATTATAAGTCTTAATCCTAGGTAGTCTTAAGAAAATGAATCTCTTTTAACTATCATCTTTTGAACCTATATTCACATTGGTTTTTAAGATTTTTATTTATTTATTTATTTATTTATTTTGAGACCGAAGTCTCGCACTGTCGCCCAGGCTGGAGTGCAGTGGCGTGATCTCCGCTCACTCCAGGGTCGGCCTCCCGGGTTCACGCCATTCTCCTGCCTCAGCCTCTTGAGTAGCTGGGACTACAGGCGCTCGCCACCACGCCCGGCTAAGTTTTTTTTTTTTTTTTTTTTTTAGTAGAGATGGGGTTTCACCGTGTTAGCCAGGATGGTCTCAATCTCATGACCTCGTGATCCACCCACCTTGGCGCTTCCCAAAGTGCTGGGATTACAGGCGTGAGCCACTGCACCCTGCTGGTTTTTAAGATATTTTAAGTTACATTTTTTCCTCTTTGTTTTTCAGAGCTACTTCTTATTTGGGGGCTACTTTTTAATACTGAGGTGTAATTCACAAGGGGCTGCATTTTTTGATAAGGCTTCTTATAAATATTGCTGAATGTTTTGCTCTAATCTTCTAAGCAGGGCCATTTTATTTTTTGGAGTCACTTCTAAAGTCATGTGTTCATTAACTTTGGAGACTGCTTTGGATATGAGTGCTGATACAAATTAAAACCCAAGTAGACCTCATTGTTTGTCACTCTACGAATGTTGACAACGGAAGGAACACCTTGCCCATAGTATACTGACTTCTGGACTGAAAAGCAAACGAAACAATTCCATTTTCTTTTTTGCATACATCAGAAAAACAACTACTGTGTCCAGTTCCCTGATTGACCTCAGCAGATGAAGTGAACAGATAGTGTTAATTCAGATTGGAGAAATTATATGAATCTTGGTGTGTGTAGATTTATAATCTACAGGCAATATTACCTAAATCAGATATTTACAGTTTCACATGTGTATATAGGCTCCTTCACACCCATTTCCATATCCATTGGTAACTGAACTTTCTAAATTGGCATTGAAGCATTACAATTTTTTTTTGCACCAATTTTATAAACTTAAGCAGTGCAATGCCTGTTTTTTTTCTAAGACAAACCAAAGGTAATTTTCTCAAGTTTCTGCTGCCTTCTTTAGCAGAATTTGATGGAGGGTCTTTTATACATTTGTAATAGATAAAAAATAAACCAGACTGCAAATCATTTTTAAAATCCTAAACCACGTACCAAGTTTCTTATTCAAATTGTACAGGGTAAGTTTAAACTTAAATTGCATTCTATTAGCCAATATGACTGTACTTCTGTAAGCATAGTTATGTTGAAATAAAGTTTTAAAAAGCAAAAAATAAATAAATGTGCTTGAAAGGCTTGAGTTTATCATCTGAATAGGGGAAGTAGCCTGAAGTTGGGCAGGAGAACCCTAAAGGGAAGAAAGTCTAACTCTCCCATTGAGCTAAGAAAAAAACCTGCTGACCCTGAACTTCTAGGAGTGCTTTTGTACCTGTCCTCAGCCAGGCTCACCTGTATTCACTGGGTTAACCCAGAAATGCTGCTAATTCATTCATATCAGGCAGGTGACATCAGGTGATGACAACCACAGACTCTTATTTCACACTTTCCCTGAAACAATGGAAAGAATGACCTATACCTTCACCAAGCAGATGAGCTTCCTCTACTCCATCTGTGAAATGGGTCTGAGGATACTACCATAAAGGCTGGGGCACTTATTTGCTCCTTTCAACAAAAGATGAAAATAATAGATATGATCAGCATTGTGTCATCACTTCAGACTCTTGGCTTAAGACAGCATAAGACAAAAGAAAAAATAGAAAGAAGGTGTTAAAAGGAGAGTCAAACTGCACTCTTTAGGGAAAATTTTCATCTTACCACAGGGATGTAGTTTAGCACATGTAACTGAGCCAGCAATTAGGGCCATTTTAACATTTAGATTTTCTTTAATCAATTCCTTTTACAAGAGGTGATCTCATACGTAAACTGCAACATGGTTTGTTTGATATATCTCATGGACATCACATATTTATTAGAGACCCATAGGGGCAGGGTATTTCCCCAGAGAAAATTCTATTAGAAGATAAAATTGATTTTGCAAATTTTATTTTATATAGTTACCTATAAGAGAAAATATTTTTCTGTTTATTGTTTTTCTTATGTTACATCACTACTTGTTCATTTCATTCAGGTGCTAATCTTCTGCTTTGTAGCCTCTATTTTCCTTTCTCCCATCTGTCAACCTCAGATACTTTTATATTCCCATTACCACAGTCACACTTTAATTTCTGGTCCTGGCTACCTCTTCCCCCAAGTCTCATTTCCTGCCTCTCTTCTCTGAATGTGGCTAGATTTAAATGGAGGACTTCATTGGATAGATAGCCCTGAGCTCTTGAGCTTTTGTGACCATAAATATGACAACTTTTTTTTTTTTTTTTTGAGATGGAGTCTAGCTCTGTCGCCCAGGCTGGAGTGCAATGGCACGATCTCGGCTCACTGCAACCTCTGACTCCCAGGTTCAAGCGTTGCTCCTGCCTCAGCCTCCTGAGTAGCTGGGATTACAGGCATGCGCCACCATGCCCAGCTAATTTTTGTATTTTTAGTGGAGACAGGGTTTCACCATGTTAGCCAGGAGGGTCTCGATCTCCTGACATCATGATCCACCCGCCTCAGCCTCCCAAAGTGCTGGGATTACAAGCATGAGCCACCATACCCGGCCGACCTTTTTTTTTTTTTATCTTGCTCATTTTAATAACAAGTTATGATATAACTCTGGGAAGGTAAAAAAATTTCATAAATATGTAGATTGTCTTTCATGCCTTAGAATATGAAATCAATTCATGCTAATGGGTGTACTCTTTAAGATCTATGACTTTAGTGTAATTTTTAATTAATTTATTTTTGTTGTGTATATTCTCAGTGATGAGGCAGAAAGCTATACATCTCCCCCTTGTGGTTCCTGCTAACGTCTGCCTTTGGCATGTCCATTTTTTTCCCAGTTCCAGTAAGTCCCAATAAAATGCAGCTAAAATAATCTTTTTTATTTATTTATTTTTTAGGGACAGAGTCTCACTCTGTTGCCCAGGCGGGGGTGCAAGCAGCATGATCATAGCTCATTACAGCCTCAAACTCCTAGGCTCAAGAGATCTTCCCATCTCAGCCTCCTGAGTAGCTAGGACTGCAGGTGCACACCACCACACTAGGCTAATTTAAAAATTTTTTGAGGTCATCACTATGTTGCCCAAGCTGGTCTTGAACTCCTGGCTTCAAGCTACCCTCCTGCCTTGGCGTCCCAAAAGTGCTGGGATTACAGGTGTGAGCCACCACACCCAGCCTAAAATAATTTTAAACCACAACTCTGGCAACACTCTCCTGCTCAAACCTTCAGTTGCTCCCTACCACATGCAGAATAAAATCCAAACTCCTTGGCATGGTTCACCTGAAATTTCTATACAAAACAAAACAAAACTCTGCTTTTTGAAATTCTAAACATGCTTTAAGGCCCAAATTCCTCTTTCCTAATCCTCCCCCTGGGTGTAGTCTCATCATTTTGTGTTCTTATACCCCAATCTGCCAGTAATTATTAGTATTTGTGCTCATTTTATCTCTCAGACTAAATTGTAGCTGGGGAGTAGCAAAGGATTAAAAGTCAGTATTAGGCTTTAAAAACAGAGAAACCATTTAAAAATGGATGAAGAGAAAGAATTGGGCCAGGTGCAGTGGCTCACACCTGTAATCCCAGCACTTTGGAAGGCCGAGGCAGGTGGATCACTTGAGACCAGGAGTTCGAGACCACCCTGGCCAACATGGTGAAACCTCATCTCTACTAAAACTACAAAAAATTAGCCGGTTGTGGTGGTGTGCCCCGGTAGTCCCAGCTACTTGGGAGGCTGAGGCATGAGAATCGCTTGAACCTGGGAGGCAGAGGTTGCAGTGAGCCGAGACTATGCCAGTGCACTCCAGCCGAGGTGACACAGTGAGACTGCCTTAAAAGAGAGAGAGAGAAGAAAAAAAGACTAGCCCTGTCCAATAGGAATATGAGAGCTACATGTGTAATTTTTAATTTTCTAGTAGTCACATTAAAAAAGCAGGTGAAATTAATTTAATAATACATTTTTATTTAACCCAGTACGTCAAAAATTATTTCAACGTAATCATATAAATTTATTAATGAGATTCTTATATATTTTAATACTAAATCTTCCAAATCTGGTGTGCAGAATGTACTCACAGCACAATCTCAGTTCAACTTGCCATATTTAAAGTGCTTTATAGCCATAAGTGGCTAGTGCTACTGTATTAGAAAGAAATTGAGATAAGGATAGCAACAGAGTCCTAGCCCTGGCTGACTACTGAGTAGCTTTGTTACCATAGACAAGACCTTTAACCACTCACTTCTGTGGTTTCCTTATCTGAAAAGAGGAGACATATTTTTCTTACCAACCACATAGGATTGTAATAGCATAAAATTAGAAACTGAAATGAGGACACTTTTGAAAGGTTGAAAATGTCATACAAATGGGAGGTATTATAATTATTCTAAGAATAAGGTAAACTCTGATGGCTCTAGTTCTTGCAGTGTTTCTTAGCACACCTATGATTTTTAATAACAGTTGCAGATACTTACTAGAAGTTGAAATACTAAAGGTTACAACTTCAGTGCTTCCGTGGAAAAATAATTCCCATATTAGCAAACCCATTTAAACTGGTGTGCTTTGAAATGGTTATTAATCTCTTCTTTAAGGAATCTGGATCCCAGAGTCTCCCAGGCTCCCCAATCTTTCTTCCCTGACATGACAGCAATAAAGCAGGGCTGAGGGAGGATGTTGATGTTCCCATTGGGGTAGAGGAGTGTGATAAAGACGCATTGTTCAGAAACAGAGACAAACTTCGGAGATTCGTCTGCAAGTTAATTAGGTCGTTGCGAATAAATAAGATGCTTTCAATACAGAGAGAAAGGATGAGGCGGGGCAACAAGCACAAGCATTTTGAGACCCACAGGATTGGGAAATGATGCAGGAACAACTGACCTGGCCATTTTTCTTTCTTTCTTTCTTTTCTTGGAAGCACATATGTTTATTGGTTTTTTAATCTGTGAACCAATAGGTCATTTATAAATGGATGTGCAAATCTGAAATCAAAATATCTGCAGTCAATTCAATTAGATAATTTTTGAAATCTATTTATTTTTAATATACTTTAAGTTCTAGGGTACATGTGCACAACGTGCAGATTTGTTACCTATGTATAGATATGCCATGTTGGTGTGCTGCACACATTAACTCGTCATTTACATTAAGTATATCTCCTAATGCTATCCCTCCCCCCTCCCCCCACCCCACGACAGGCCCCGGTGTGTGGTGTTCCCCACCCTGTGTCCAAGTGTTCTCATTGTTCAATTCCCACCTATGAGTGAGAACATGCGGTGTTTGGTTTTCTGTCCTTGCGATAGTTTGCTCAGAATGACGGTTTCCAGCTTCATCCGTGTCCCTACAAAGGACATGAACTCATCCTTTTTTATGGCTGCATAGTATTCCATGGTATATATGTGCCACATTTTCTTAATCCAGTCTATCATTGATGGACATTTGCATTGGTTCCAAGTCTTTGGTATTCTGAATAGTGCCACAATAAACATACATGTGCATGTGTCTTTATAGCAGCATGATTTATAATCCTTTGGGTATATACCCAGTAATGGGATGGCTGATGACCTGGCCATTTTTCTATTTACATAGTGCTTGCCCGCCACTGAGGTGCTTCTGTGACACCTGAGAGAGATAGAAATACGTTCCTCGTTGCTATGTCCTCCAGAGGACTCTGGAATGACCAATTATTACTAATATTTTAAGTGTTTTTTTAGGAGATTTTCTGCAGCACTCTGAGTGTCTCTTCCCAAACACTTCGGTTACTGTTTATTCACCTGCTGAGATCTGGTCTCTTATTCACTCTCATTGCCTTAAGAAATGGTACAGAAATGTATTCATTAACATTTCAGATTTGTATATGCGGTAGCGAGAAATAATTCCCTTTCTTGTGTGTCGTGATTTGCCTTTCTTGTCAGCCTAAGCTCAGGAAGGTGTCTGTGAGAACTTCGCTCAGCCCAAGATCCCTTTCCCTTCCCGTCACATCTGTTAGCGCACAAGATTTCTTCGTCTGTCTCCAAAGGTTTCTGAAGCCCCACCCTTTGCCCACGCACGGTGCCAAGGAGACTGTGCCCTGCCTTGACAACAGTTGCTAAGGGGCGGAGACTTCGGCTCGGTTCCCGAGACGGAATACCCAGGAGTCGAGTACTTGGGCGCATGCGGCAACCGTATCTCAGTTCTCGCGAGGTTTCGTCTTCCCGGAAGCGTTGGAGGACATTCCCTGTTGACTGCGTCGCGATGTGTGGCGACTGTGTGGAGAAGGAATATCCCAACCGGGTGAGCGACTGGGCGCTCCCTTGGCCCGCGGGCGGCCCCCGAGGTGTCTCATATCCAAGGCTGGCCTTCCCAGAGAGGCCGTACGTGGGGCGGACTCGGCCGCACTGCCGGTCCCGGTGACCCAGTAGCGGTATTTAGGCACACCAGGGATGGCCTGTGGCGGTCTGCACCTCTGGTACCCGCCCTGGCGGCTGACCTCAGTTGTAGTGGCCGTTCTCTTGAGCTCCAAGGAGCAACAGAGGAACCCCACCACCACCACAACCCCCGTCGACAACCGAGGGACTCCCCCACCCCCACTTCCGGTCTCATCCTCAAGCTCGATTTGATGAAGTACAATTTTCTTACCGAATTCTAGCGCTGGAGGGGACCTCTGTGGTCATCTGTTCTAACACTTTTGCAGATGAAGAAACCGATGCCCAGAGAGGGGAAATCACTTGCCCAAGTTCACATTCTAGTTGCATGGATGAGAGCCAGGACTAGAATTTAGGTTTCCTGCCTGTTACCGCCTTCTGAATCTCAGTTACTTTCAGGTTCAGGAGTTTGCAAAGCTTGTCTATTCTCATTCATTCAAGGCATCCTTGTTGAACATTTATATATGTGTAGTTAGATTACTTTGCTAGGCCAGAAAGGGATTATTTCTCCTCTCTTTGAGACAGGGTGCTGCTGTTGCCCAGGCTGGTCTCAAATTCCTGGGATCAAGTGATCCTCCCGCCTTGGCCTCCGAAAGTGCTGGGATTACTGGCATGAGCCACCACGTCCAGCTGGATTATTTGTTTCAGAGAAGAAATTAAAAGGCACCTTTGGTGCTGCCTAACAGCTTACAGTTTTGGGGAGTATGTGACTAACAAAAAATGAGTAGCTCAGTTCAGAAATGCTATTCAAGTTTAGGGAAAGGGGAGGGCAATAGGGGATAGTGCTGTTCTCCCCTGAGAAAAGGTGGACATCATCTAAGACTTGAAGGACAGTTGTAATTAGGGTAGAAAAGAAGGTGAGGAGCTGGAGGATGGGGGAAAATTACAGAAATGGAATTTGTGCATTGGTTGGGAAGGAGGGAGAAAGTCTCTGTAGTTCCTTATGTCTTAGTATCTTATGGGTAATACTTAGGCTTTTGAGTAGCATGTATAACAGTATGAATTCTCCTGTAGTACAACTACTTTGAAAAAGCGGGTGAGCCTTATAAAATACAGACATGACCCAGTGATTCCCATTCTAGAAAAATGCATGTGTATATGCTTCTGAAGACTTTTATAAATAAGTGTTCATAACAGCATTATTTTTGTAGTAGATTGGAAAAGTAACTGATACATTCATTAGAATGGAACACCATTAATGAATGAGGAATGGAAGTGAATGAATTAGAGCAGTAGTTCTCTACCAGGAGTGATTTTTGGCTCTTAGGAGACATTTGGCAATATCCAGAGACATTTTTTGGGTGTCAAAAGGGGAAGTACTACTGACTGCTAATGGGTGATGCAAGGGATGCCGCTAAACATCCAGCAATACATGGGACAGCCACCACAACAAAGTATCACTCCCAATGTCAATAGTGTGGAGGTAGAGAAACCCTGAATTATAGCCGTGAAACCAAACTAGAATTACACAGCAGCCTGAAAAGTCTTACAAATAGTGTTGATGAAAGAACACATAAAGTATAATTCAAAAAGAGGCAAACCAAAATATATTATTCAAGGATGTACCTGGGTGGTAAAACTGTAAGGAACGTATACAATTACTGTTAAGTCGAGATAGTGGTTACTCCTAAGGGATTAGGGTGTGATCAAGAAGGGTCACATGAGAAAAAGTCTTCCCGGGTGCAAGCAGTGTTTTATTTCTTGATTTGGGTGGTGGTTCTACAGATGTACACTTTATAATCATTTCTTGTTCGCTACATTTATGTTTCATGTACTTTACTATGTACTATTTCATTTTTTTAAAGTTTAAAAAGATTTTTATGAAACCAGTAATAAACATGAGCTATTATGAGACCATGAGGGAGGAGTTTGCAGTAGAGAATATTAAAGAGATTAGGTTGGATTCTTTTTTGTTGTTGTTTTTGTTTTTGAGATGGAGTCTTGCTCTGTCGCCCAGGTTGGAGTGCAGTGGCATGATCTCGGCTCACTGCAAGCTCCGCCTCACTGGTTCATGCCATTCTCCTGCCTCAGCCTCCCGAGTAGCTCGGACTGCAGGTGCCCACCACCATGCCCAGCTAATTTTTTTGTATTTTTAGTAGAGACAGGGTTTCGCCTTGTTAGCCAGGATGGTCTCGATCTCCTGACCTCGTGATCCACCTGCCTCGGCCTCCCAAAGTGCTAGGATTACAGGCGTGAGCCACCGCGCCGGGCCTTAGGTTGGATTCTTAAGAGTGGAGTTATTGTAAAACTTAAAAGTCATATTGAGAAGTTTAGAGTTTACATTTTAGGCATTGGGCCACCATCAAAATTTTAATAGAGAAATGATTCTGAAATCTGTTATTTAGGAAAATGAATCTTATGGCTGAATGTTGAAATGGTGGGGTAGAGGGTGTGTAAAGACAGAACTCCACAGGGCATTTGAGGAGCCATGGCAACAGTGGTGTAGGCATGAGATAATGAAGACCTTATTTCAAAGAAAGAATTAGGTTGGGCACGGTTCTCACACCTGTAATCCCAGCACTTTGGGAGGCCAAGGCAGGTGGATCACTTGAGCCCAGGAGTTTGAGACCAGTCTCAAACATGGCAAAACCCTGTCTCTACAAAAAATACAAATAGTCTGGGCACGGTGGCTCACGCCTATAATCCCAGCACTTTGGGAGGCCAAGGCTGGCAGATCACCTGAGGTCAGGAGTTCGAGACCAGCTTGGCCAACATGGCGAAACCCCGTCTCTACTAAAAATACAAAAATTAGCTGGGTGTGGTGGGAGGCGCCTGTAATCCCAGCTACTTGGGAGGCTGAGGCGGTAGAATCGCTTGAACCTGGGAGGCAGAGGTTGCAGTGAGCCGAGATCACACCACTGCTCTCCACCATGGGTGACAAGAGCAAAACTCCGTCTCAAAACAAATAAACAAACAAAAAAAAACCACCACAAATATTAGCCAAGCGTGGTGGCATGCACCTGTAGTCCTAGCTACTTGGAGGTTGAGGTGGGAGGTTGCAGTGAGCCATGATCGTGCCATTGCACTCCAGCCTGGGCAACAGAGCGAGACCCTGTTGAAAAAAAAAAGAATTAACAAGATTCAACCTGTTTAATGTAGAAGTGAATAAGGGGAGACCTATACATGATCACATGATCTCAGGATTTTCAATCTAGGCAACTGGGATGTTGGAAGTATCATTACAGAAATTGGAGGCATATGGGAAGAAAAAACAAAATTGGGGACAAATGGTCAAATTGTTATTAATATCATGCTTCACCTGAGGTTGAGAATATCCGAAGGGTCAAGTGAAGATATAAGACTGCAGTTTGGGTACAACTATGTAGATAGATGAGTCAGTCAAATACAAGTGTCAAAATAGGATTTGTTCTCTGAGGAAAAAAATGTAGAGAATCAAGGACTGAGCTCCAAAGACTAAATTAACTTCAGAAATGAAAATAAAGTATAAGGAAGAATAGTAGAAAAAGGGATCGAGGTGATTGGAAAACCAGGAGAGTGCCTTTCAAAGGCACTTTTCTCTGATTTTATTCTGTTCTAAAATAATTAAAAGACTGTCATGAAGAAGAATTAAACTTTTCTTTGGAATTTTAGAAGGCAGATTTAGAAATAATTAGTGGGTGGATGTTACGGGTCTTAGACTTTGAATCAGAATAAAGAACATTCTGACATTTCAAAATGGAATGAGTAACTCTTAAAGGAATTAAGCTCTCTTCCTATTGTTCAGTAGAGACTAACTGACCATTTGGAATGTCAAGGATCCTTCCAACTCTGGGGTTCTTTGAAGTCATGACCTATTTTTAAGTGCAGTAAGAGCAGAAGCCCACTGCTTTGCTCAGCTTTGCAGAAGCTTAGCAAAGGGAAGGGTAATAAGAAGATGGTGGGCCGGGCCTAGTGGCTCACACGTGTAATCCTAACACTTTGGGAAGCCGAGGCACAAGGATGGCTTGAACCCAGGAGTTTGAGACCAGCCTGGGCTACATAGTGAGACCCCATCCTTATTAAAAATTAAAAAACATTAGCCAGGCGTGGTGGTGTGTGCCTATAGTTCCACCTACTTGGGAAGAGGCTAAGGCAGGAGGATTCCCTCAACCCAGGAGTTCGAGGCTCCAGTGAGCTAAGATCACACCACTGCACTCCAGCCTGAGCAACAGAGCAAAACCCTGTCTACTTAAAAAAACAAACAAACAAAAAATCATTTGTTGGGAAGCTCTAAGTGTAGAATGAGTAAGTAATAGTTAATTATTTATCTTCGATTACATAAAGTTGTTTGGAGTTTTGTCATTTATTTTTACAGACTAGAAATATATAGTACTGAATTCTTAATGGGGCTCTGGCCTACTTGCTTATACTGTTAACACTGAGAATTTGAATTCAAACATGAGTCAAGTTGGAATGAACCATACTAATTTTCTGAACCCAAATGTTTTTTAACTCAATGGTGAACCACATTTTTTTTTTCCTTCAGAAAAGCATTTAGCAAACCAGTCAGAACTAGAACTCTACTACATTTTCTAAAATTACTGAACAGGCACAAAATTGTAATCAAATATTTTTCATATCAAACTGGAAATGAAACATTTCATATATTTTAATTTCAGCTTGAAATTTTGTTAGTAATGCAACAGGAATACAGAAATACATTATGAATCAGTGGGAAAAAATCAATGTTAGTGATATGTTTAAAATTACTTGTTTTGTATTTGTCATTTAAAGCTAAGCTACCAAACTTCATATATTCAAGTTGTTGCTTAGTAGATAACATTGAACCAGATTTAATTAAATGCTGAGTAATATATAATTAGCAAAACAGTTGTATGTAAGAGTGCCTTAAAATGATACTCTGCATCTTAAAATTTATAGTTATAAGTGCCTATATTTAAAAAGTATACTTTTCAATCAATTACCTAACCTTCCACTTAAGACAATGGAAAAATGGGCCAGGTATGGTGGCTCACGCCTGTAATCCCAGGACCTTCGGAGGCCGAGGCTAGCAGATCACTGGAGGTCAGGAGTTTGAGACCAGCCTGGCCAACATGGTGAAACCCTGTTTCTACCAAACAATGCAAAAATTAGCCTGGCATGGTTTTGTGTGCCTGTAGTCCCACCTACTTGGGAGGCTGAAGTGAGACAATCACTTGAACCCAGGAGGCGGAGGTTGCAGTGAGCCAAGATTGCGCCACAGCATTCCAGCCTGGGTGACAGAGTGAGACCATGTCTCAAAAAGAAAAAAAAAGAAAAAGACAATGGAAAAAAAAGAGCAAACTAAACCCAGAGCAAGCAGAAGGAAGGAAATAATAAGGATCAGAGTAGAAAATACTGAGAGAATACAGTAGAGAAAATCAATGAAACAAAAAATTGGTTCTTTAAGAAAAACCGTATTTTCCATTTTTAAACATTCCCTGGCAAAATATATACATTAGCTATTAACTTGTATCATCTGAAATAATTTGCTGGAAAAAAAATTGATCCAGTCTTTATCAGAATAATTACAGCTTTCTCGTAAGATTTTATAACATACTCTCATATTAATTATTCTTACAGTTTTCAGCCATTTCTTCTTGCACACTTGTATACCTTTACAAATCCTTAACCAGGATTTATCTGAATCAGATTTTCTAAGGGTACTAAACATGTCGACTTTTTTCCTTCTTTAAGCTGTTATGGTCTACTGTTATTATTGTGGAATTGATTTGAATTGCATTCTTTTCCACCTATTATGGGAGCCTGAAAACCTTCCCTGAATAATGTGTGCTTTAGTTTACTTTCCCAAATTTGGATGTTAATAGTCTTGCCTCATCTAATAAAAGAACTGTGCCTCACTGATGAAGGTTACTCTTGCTGCTTTCAAATGACCAGGGCTCTTAAAGAAAGTCCCATCCGCTTCTTATATACTGTACTTGTATTTTGCCATTTGAAGCATTTACTTACCAGACAACAGATACATAGATACTTCTCTTCCTTCAGTGTTTTCTTAGACTCACATTCAGCCTACTTTCATGGTCAGATTACAGAGGCTAGGCCACGTTGTGCAAGGAACCTGTGTCTGTGGATGCAGTCCAGTTCAGAGTTATATTTATTTGAAATTGGCATTTAGATCTTTTTAAAAACTGTTTTGTTTTCCTTAATTTTTTGGAGTCCTTGGCAGTCAGATTTTATAGATTCCAGGCAGTCCCAATTCAAACTCCAGTAGACTTTTTTGTAAAGTGTGTAAGCTCATGTTAAAATTTACATGAAACTGAAAAGAACCAAGAATAGCCAGATTATAGGACATAAACTACCTGATTTAAAGACTAACTATAAAAACTATAGTAATCAAGAGAGTTTGATATTAGTGGGAAGGTAGATATATGTATCAAGGGAACAGAATAGTCAAAGCAGACCCACATATATATGGTCATTGACTTTTTTCTACAAAAGCACCATTGTAATTCAGTGGGGGGAAAGACAGTTCTTCAACAAATCTTGCCAAAACAACTGGAAATCCATACGCAACTAAATAAACCTTGATCCTTACCTCATATATAAAATTATTTCAAAATGGATTATAAACCTAAATCTACAAACTAAAAGCTATAAAACTTCTAGAAAAAAATGTAAGAAACTTTGTGCAACCCTGGGGTAGGCAGAGATGTCTTAGGAGAAAAAAAGTATAAATTATAAAAGAAAAAATGTTAAATTGGACTTTATGAAAATCAAAACTTGTTTGCTCATTAGAAGAAACCATCAAAAAAGGCAAATCAATGACGGAGAAAATATATTTGGGAAAAAACTTGTATCTAAGATATATAAAGAACTCTTACAACTCAAAATAAACAACCTAACTTTTTGAAAATGGGCAAAAGACTTGAATGGACATTTCATAAAAGAAGATACATGAATAAGCACCATGAAAAGATGCTCAACATCATTAGTCATCAAGGAAACAAAAGTTAAAACTACAATGAGATACCACTTTACGTCACTGAATGGCAAAAATAAAAAGCAGTACCTAGTATTGATGTAGCTATAGAGCAACTGGAACTCACACATTGCTGGCAGGAATGTAAATTGGAAAACCATTTGGCAGTTTCTTGTAAAGTTAAATATACCATATTTTTACCATATTAGCAATTCCACTTCTACATATTTACCCAAGGGAAAGGAAGACATGTATCCATCCAAGACTTGCACATGAATCTCTATAGCTGCTTTATTCATAATAGCCCCAAATGGAAACAACCCAAATATCTACCAACAGCTGAATCCTACAGGGAATACTATTTGGCAATGAAAAGCAACAAACTACCAGTACCTAGAACAACAGTGATGATGAACATAGGCATTATATCGAGCAAGGAAAATTGGATGCGGGAGTATACTGATTCTGTTTATATAAAATTCTAGAACGTGCAAGACTGGAGATGGAAATCAGATCAGTGGGTGTCTGGGGTGGGATGGAGGTTAGAGATAGACTGAAAAGCATGAAGGAACTTTTTGGGGTGGATAGAAATGTTTTATACCTTCACTAGGGTAGTGGTTACATGGGTATATACATTGGTTAAAAGTCATTCACCTATGTATACCCTTACAGTGTGTGAATTTTATTGTATGTAAATTGTACCTCAGTAGATTTTATTAAAAAAAAAATCAAAGGCTGGGCACAGTGGCTCATTCCTGTAATCCCAGCACTTTGGGAGGCCGAGACGGGCAGATCACGAGGTCAGGAGATCGAGACCATCCTGGCTAGCATAGTGAAACCCCATCTCTACTAAAAATACGAAAAATTAGCAGGGCGTGGTGGCGGGCACCTGTAGTCCCAGCTACTTGGGAAGCTGAAGCAGGAGAATGGCATGAACCTGGGAGGTGGAGCTTGCAGTGAGCCGAGAGTGTGCCACTGCACTTCAGCCTGGGTGACAGAGCGAGACTCCGTCTCAAAAAAAAAAAAAAAAAAAAAAAATCAAAGCAAAGCATTTGTTCTTAATAACTGGAAATGTATACTTTAATCCTAAGGCCCTTTTCCCTTTTAGTAGTTAAGGCAGTACACCTATGATTTAATAACTATGTAGTAATGTCTTGATTTCTCCCACTAGAATTAATGTCTTCCTCAATACATAGAAGGGAGAGATTCCTCAATATATAGAAGGGAGAGATTAATTCTCCCACCAGAATTAATCTCTTCCTCAATACATAGAAGGGAGAGATTAATTCTGGTGCTTGGAATCCAGAAAGACTTCCTAGTGGCATTATTTATGGTGGATCTTAATTTCGCTGATGCTTCTTAAAACTCCTTGAAGGTAGCAACATGTTTGGCTCATCTTTGAATCCTCTGTTGTGCTTTGCACAATATCAGACACAGATGCACTGGAGAAACGTTGATTTGAGTGATTTTTAATCACATTATTTAAAAATACTCTTTAAGTGTGTTGCTGAGAAATGGGATTGGACTAGATTATTTATAAAGTGACTTTTAATTATTAATTATTAGCCTTTAGCAAAGACTTCCTTTGGGTCGGGGACGGTGGCTCACAACTGTAATCCCAATACTTGGGAGGCTGAGGTGGGAAGATCATTTGAGCCCAGGAGTTTGAGACCAGCCTGGGCAACATAGCAAGACCCCATCTCAATTACCAAAAAAAAAAAAAAGGCTTCCTTTGAGCCAGGAGCATAAGTTATTTAGAATTTCTTTTTTAAAAACTTTTTTTGAAAATTTGTATAGTTTCTTAGTAAAGATGTAAAACCCATTCTCTCTTAAATGCCATTGTGTCAGTCTTACGAAATGAAGAACTTAAGCTTCTCTGCCTCAATCATGTGTATCCTTAAGGACTGACATCTATAGAGCTGAGAGTTTACTTTTGTTTATTTTGTATTATGATCAAGGATCAAAACTATTTGAACAAACAACTAAACATCTATGTAAGATCATCTTTATCATTGACTCAGTTTCTATTTTGATTGAATTTAATTTTAGTTGGTAAGCCTCGTTTAATATTGTTGGTTATTAAATTTTTCTAATTTTCTATTTTCATATTTTATATTAAGGTTTCCTTAAGTTGTTTCTAAATATCTATTTTCAGTTTATCCTCCCTTTTCAACATAGTGGCAGTCCTTACAGACTTAAGGATCTAACACTGCACTTTAGTTGCTTTTTTTTTTTTTTTTTTTTTAACATGAGTAACACTTCTTTAGGAAAGCTAGTAATTTCAAAAATTATTTGGTATATGACCTAGAAGTAAATGCTGGCCATTTTTTAGTTTTGTTTTGCCTTTAGACATTTTAAGTCTGTTAATCATCTTCACTAAAGATTTTGAAATGTAAAGAAATTAAATTCCTGTTTCTGATATTTTAGGGTAATACCTGCCTGGAGAATGGATCTTTCTTACTGAACTTTACAGGCTGTGCAGTGTGCAGTAAGCGGGATTTTATGCTGATCACAAACAAATCCTTGAAAGAAGAAGATGGAGAAGAAATAGTTACCTATGATCGTAAGTAGACTTTATTTTTTAACCTGAGTGTGTTAGCAGGTGTCAGCTTTTGGAAGTCGATATGTTACACAAAATATTCTGAGGCCTATTTCAATATTGTATTGCGCACATAATTACTAGTTAGGTCTTTAAGAGGAAAATGTCATTAACACCTCATTTATCTGGGATATCAAATAGTCTATGTAAATGACTTTTGCAGATAACTAAAGCTTACGATTCAGGAACTGAATTTTTTTTGTTTATCAAATTATTTTTCACGGACATATTTTTAAAAGCTTTATGCTGCCTTAACAAGATATACTTTTTATTATTGTTATTATTGTGACCTTAGGGTCATCCATGTGAGTTTTCACTTTTCTGCTACAGTATAATACCATGATATCCTCCAACAGCTATTAAAGTGTTTAGGGCTGCTTGTCCCTATACTAAATGACTTCAGGAATGCAGTGTTTTTTTCAGTCTTGTTTCTGCTCAGAATGTCTAGCTTTTTTTTTCTTCTCCAATCTCACTGTCAGTCTGTTGTTCCTTACTTTTGCTGCTAAATAATAAGCTGCCTTCCTATCCTTCTTCTCGTCCTCAATACTGGGAAACCAAATAAACTATGTATAAAAAAATCAATTCTGAGGTTAGCACTAAGGATTTCTGTAAGTTAAGTATATGTATACTTCAGTGCCCAATATTGTGAGAAGTATTTAACTGTTCACATTCCCTTTTTGCTTGTCTCCTGGTTCTTGGGTACCTTCTAAACACATGAGGAATAAATGTACAGGTAATGGTATTTTGTCAGAGGAGTTTGAAAGACAGCAGGCCTTTAGAATGGAGTCAGATAATAATAAATGTTCTAAGCTAGAAGAATCTTTTTCTTTCTTTTTAGCATATGTTTTCTTTAAGCTGTATTTCATTCCAGGCAGTAGGGCATAGTGGTTTAAGAGCAAGGGCCCTGGAGCTAGGCTGTTTGGGTTTGAATTCTGGTTCCAATACATCCTGGCTCAGTCGTCTTGCTAGTTACTTAACTGAAGTATGCCATTGTTTCCTTATCTCTAAAAAGGTGGTGATGATACTATCTACCTCATTGGGTTTTTTAGAAGATTAAATATTTAAAATAGTAAGCACTCAATAAATCATCGTTTTTACTAGATTATTTTGTTACCATTAAATTCACTTTAATGCCCAGCTTTGGTTTTTATTTATGATTGGATATAGTAGCACAGTTTATATTATTCATGATAATGAAAGCTTTTACATAGTTAAATAGGTCCAGCTGGGATGGGTGCGGTGGCTCACGCCTATAATCCTAGGACTTTAGGAGGCCCAGGAGGGTGGATCACTTGAGCCCAGGGGTTCAAGACCAGCCTGCTCAACATAGTGAGACCTCACCTCTACAAAAATTCAAAAAAATTAGCTGAGTGTGTTGGCACATGTCTTGAGCCTCTCCTGGGCTCAAGTTATCCTCCCAGCTACTCAGGAGGCTGATTTGGGAGGATAACTTGAGACTGGGAGGTTGAAGCTGCAGTGAGGCATGTTTGTGTCACTGCACTCCAGCCTGGGCAACAGAGTAAGACCCGGCCTCAAAAAAAAAAAAAAAAAAAAAGAAATTGATCTAGCTAGTTTAAAAATACACTTAAATATGTTTTAACTGCTTCTCTTAAAGAACTTTTGGTGGCAATTAATAAAAGCTCAGACTCAGAATTATGTAACGTTGTTATGTGGCAGATTCTGAATCTTTTAAAAATCAAGGTAGATACTATAATGGGTTTCCTCCTATGTTAAATATGACAGACTTAAGATTCTCTTTAAATAATATGCTGAGAATAGAAATTTTAATAGAAGTTTTAAGAAACTCTCTAAGACTTAATTACGTAAGTCTCTCTTTGTTTTAGCAGATTTGTGTAAGAATTGTCATCATGTAATAGCCAGACATGAGTATACATTCAGTATCATGGATGAATTTCAGGTAAATATAAATATGGGTATAAATATAAATATGGGGAGGTTAGGGGAATAATAAAAGTGCTCTTGAGAATCTAAATACGGTTTTCATAAGTGAAGTGCAAAGCGTTAGCATATATTAAAGGAGACTATGCCTTTTTTTTTTTTTTTTTTTGAGATGGTGTCTTGCTATGTTGCCCAGGCTGGTATTGAACTCCTGGGCTCAAGCAGTCCTCCCACCTCGGCCTCCAAAGTGTTGGAATTACAGGCATGAGCCACTGTGCCCAGCCCCATGCCTTTCTTATATCTGTGCAAGTTGAGAGACAGACTTTAGATGTGGGTGGATTTGTGTAAACCTGTCTTCACGAGAATCACAAATCAAAATGTGTAGTTTACAAATGATATCTCAGCCCTGTCATTTTTGTTTATAAAGAATAGTAGCACATTCTAGCTTCTTATGAGATTACCATTGTGCTGCTTTTTTTCTGCCCAGTTACGTGATTGCACAGTTGTGGGCTTTTAAGTGGTGTCCTGTCAACTGCCACCATACTTGCCCAGCATGGAAACTGTGATAAGGAGGTTTTCTTTGTTTTCCCAAGTTGACATGTAGAGTTGAACAACTCTGCAGTCTCATTTGTGGTAAGACATTATAGTATTGTTAAGTAAAATTACAAGCTGTGTGTACCATGGTTGGAGGAGAAACACAGAACCACTGTGAAGCTGGAGATTAAGAGATTTATCATAAGGATTAATCCTTACACAATTGTGAGAGTATGTGAAGAATTCTCTGGAAGGTTGATATAGGCCTGTAGTTGCTGAAGATACACAGGTCTGACGGTCAGAAAGAAAAGCTGGGCAGTCGGGGAGAGCCAGGGACAAACTGAAACCTATCTCTGTCCCTCACTGCCTGTTTTCAAGCCTTCAGGTTGAGTTACTTATTTTGTGTGAACTACATATTTGTCCATAGGATATAAATATCAGGCTAGAGCTTTTAACAGCCGAGAGAATTTTTTCAATTCCCTTCACATTTGGATAGTACTTAATTAGGAAAATAATAATAATCTTCCATAGCAGAATCATAAGATAGTAAAACCCCTCTTATTCCTTATTTTAGCATGGAAGAAAGTGCTTAGTCACCTGTCAGAGTCTGGTCTGATATGTTGTGGTTAATCTAAAATAACATCTTGACTATATTTTATATTTCTTCAGCATCCAAAAATTATGCCTCAAGAAATATTTATATGATATGCGTAACTTAGGGCAAAATTGACATCTTAGTGAATGAGTAGTGGCCGCATAGGGAGATGAGCATCTCCTGGGCTTAAAGAAACAGTCCTATTCTTTTATGGGAGGAAAGGAGTGCTTATAGCTATTTTCAAGACACTCCTGAATTTCACGTGAGTTATGTACAGCTCCTGAACGGATATTGAGGTTGCCTGTTTATGTCCTAACCAAGCCATTGTAAATTAGCTAGACCAAAGTCTAGCTGATTTTTCCTTTTTGACTGAATGCAGCCGTTTTCAAAGCTGCCCTGGAAATTACTCTGGGACAGGAAGAAGGTAAAGGAAGGTGGCTTGTAGTCACGATGCAAGAAACTATGAAATGGTGGTGAAAATGATTCTTAAACTAGACTCTCTACTCCCAGTCTACTTCTCCCCCCACCCCCCCCCCCGCCGTCAATTCATACTCCATACTCTACCATCATATTAATTTTCTTAAAATAATGTTTTCAAAGCTGGGCACAGTGGTGTGTGCCTATAGTTCGAGCTACTCAGGAGACTGAGGCAGGAGAATCTCTTGAGTCCAAGTGTTTGAGTACAGTCTGGGCAACATAGTGAGACCCTGTCTCTACTAAAAAGTAAAAATAAATACTTTTGGGTGACCTCATTGGCCTTCCCATAGTGCACCTTTAGCTACAGTACAATATCCAAGCTCCTCATTTCAAGGTTCTCACTGGACTGGCCCAGCTTCCCTTCTTTTATTTCCTGCTACTCTTTCATATGTACACCATACTTAGCATTGTCCCAACTTTACTCTTCCTTCTCTCCTGTTAGAGAGAAAGATTTTTATTTACCCCTCTCTAATGCTACCCCTACTGCATTTCCTCAGGAATCTCATGTTATCGTCTTTCTTTCCAGTGTACTTTGATTCATCCTGTAATCATTTCTTCTTCCTCTTGCTTCTTTAGTTGAACAGGTTGTTTGTTTGTTGCAACAAGGTCTTACTCTGCCGCCCAAGATGGAGTGCAGTGGCCTGATCACAGCTCCCTGCAGCCTTGACCTCCCGTGCTCAGGCGATCCTTCTGCCTCAACCCCTCGAGTAGCTGAGACTACAGGCACTAGCCTCTGTGCATGGCTATTTAAAAAATTTTTTTTGTAGAGATGAGATCTCACTTGGTTGCCCAGGCTGGTCTTGAACCCCTGGGCTCAAACAGTCCTCCTGCCTCAGCCTCCCAAAGTGCTGGGATTACAGGTGTGAGCCATTACCTGGCCACTTGAATGGGTCTTTACCCTATTTTCCTTATTTTCCTATACTCCTCTTAAGTACCTACAAAGTGATTTTCATTTTCTCTGTGCTAAAACTATTCTCTCATACGTTTCCTATAATCTAACCACATCCTGTGACTGCCTTAGTTCTTTTCTCTCTTACATGGCTTCTGCATCTAGTTTTATTAACTATTGTTGTCTTTTTGAAGCATTTCTGCCCTTGAGGTCCAAAGTGCTTGACTTCTTTCCTTTTTAAATCATTTTAACTGCTCCTTTGTGTTTTCTCTTAGTTTTCTTTCCTGTTTTCTCGAAGTGATACTCCTCAGCTTTTGTTCTGTGGTCTGGAACCTTCTTTATGCTCTCTCTTGTAGTGAACACACATGTACTCAGTCTCAGTAGAGACCTATTAGATACCTTTCTCATTTCCTTCTCTAGCCTTCGTGCCTACACCCCTCATCCCCTCTTTTTTTTCTTTGTTTTGCTTGCCTTTTCTCTGACTCTGGCACCACACCTCATGTCAAGGACCATAACCATTGAAGGCTGAATTACTGCAGCATTCCCCAGACTGCAGTTCTGCACACTGCCATCAAGTTAATCTTCTTAAACATGTCATCCTCCACTCCCCTGCTGACAAACCAAATGTAGCTTCCTTTCCCTTTTACTCCGTAAGCGATGCGCATGCTCTTTTCCATATTGCTGTCCATATTCATGCCTTTTCCTTGATTTGAATATTCCCTCTCTCTACCTTCAAGCCAACTAAATCTTACCTCTTTCTGCCTGAACTCAAATTCCATCTCCTCTTTGCTCTTCAAGCCTATGCATCTTCTCCCTTTTCTGAACTTTTCTTGTACCTATGTCAGGCCCTGACTCTAGTGAATAGCCACCTGGGAACTTCTACCTCAGCCTAATGGCCACAAGAACCCTCCATTCTCAGCTGCCATTACTTACTGTCCTTGTCCCCACCCTACCCCAGCCCCTCATCCTATCCTGGCAGTAGTTCAAGTTCAAGGTGGGATTCCCAGCCACCATTGTTGTTTTATATTAAACATCTTATAGGAGATTTAAACATAGTCCAAAGTAGGCAGAATAGTGTACTAATGTACACTACCCATCTTCAAGTTGCTTTATTTATATTTCACCATTCTCATATCCCCCCATAGGATTATTTCAAAGCAAATTCCAAACGTATCACTACCTCTTTAAATACTTCATTAGTCTCTCTGAAAGATAAGTATTCTGTTTTTAAAACAACCATAATGCCATTATTAAACAAAGTAGGATTTTCTGATGGCAAGACTAGGGAGAAAGTGGAGACAGAGGGACAGAGTTTACATGGAAAATACATGATAAATTATTATAGGTATCCTTTATTTAAAAAAAAAACCCTCCTAGCAAAAGCCCCCCCCCACACACACACCAAAATTGTGTGTTTACTTCAAGAAACAAGACAGAAACTATGAGACTGCTTTCTATTCCTCTGTGGGCCAGGGAAGGAGAAGACTTGGAGTCAGAATTAACAGGGACTAATAGAGGAAGAGAGTAAAGCTAATAGAGAAAAAAGTAAAGCCCTCAGAATAAAAAAAAAAAAAAGATCTGGTCTTACTCAGAGGTAATTCCGCCCACTCTGCTCTTCCCTCCAAATATTTTCCCCTAGGCCCTGCCCAGTTGGAGCCTTTGAGAGTCCCTGTGAATGACTGGGGGAATTATTTTCTGTACTTGGCTGGTTTTGATAAAAGGTGTCCTAATCTCATCATATTCCTGGCAGCACGAGGAGATCTGTTCCTGGCATCCCAAGTTAGAATTCTAGACATATTTTCCCACAGAAGCACTTCTATATATGGTTAGATTCTATGGTGCTTGAACAATATAAATTTAAAAGACTTGTGGATTTTCCTGGGAACCTAACCGCCATGTATGACATTACTTCTGTGGGAAATTGCTTTTGAATTCCAAATAATTGACTTGCAATGAAATTTGGGTTCCAGACTGCCTATAAAGATTACAGGTGTAATCAGTCTCACTGATTTAATAGTCTTGCCAGATTATATGTTAGGTTTTTTCCCCCTCCCAAGTTAGATTGCAGATTGTATAAAGTCAGACTTTGTTCTTTCATGTCTGCCAGCACATTGCAGAGCATGTAGGCACTCAGTATAAATTTGTCAATGGCTAGATTGGTTGAAAACTCAAGTATTTGTTTAGCCTCACACATTTTCTCTTTTTGACTCTTTACTTTTTTCCTTCTTCTTTTCCTGTAAAAGGTTGCCATCCAAATAGCAATGCCTGGTGGGTTGAAGCAGTGGAAGTATTTGAGAACAGTAAAAGACCTTGAAGAGGATGTATTTTTATTTTATTTTTAATTCATAAAGCCATCTTTCCACTGCCACAACTAAGCTCCCCTCCTGAACTCACCAGTAGAAGATGGAAAAGGCAGTTGCCTGCTTCTATTTCTTTGTACCACAGTCATTGTTTACCTCTGTGGCCCTCTCTAGTGACTGTCTAAACCTAAGAAACACAAACTGCCTTGACTGATCAATTTCCAGACAGCTAGCAAACTTAGCATCAGGTGTGGAAATTCTAGAAGACTTAACATAGATGTTTGTTTTTGTACAGAGAAAAAGGCTTTTAAATGAAAGGTTTCAAAGAAATATGTCTCTGTAGTTTATGACTGTTAAATATTCTAGAAAGGGAAAGCTATAAGAATAGGACTTTGGGCTGGATGCAGTGGCTCACACCTGTAATCCTGTCACTTTGGGAGGCCAAGGTGGGAGGATCACTTGAGCATAGGAGTTTGAGGCCACCCTGGGCAACATAGTGAGACCCCATCTCTACAAAAAATTTAAAAATTAGCCAGGCGTGATGCCGAGTGCTTGTAATCTCAATTACTTGGGGGTCTGAGGTGGGATGATCACTTGAGCACAGGAGGTCAAGGCTGCAGTGAACCATCATTGCACCACTGCACTCCAATCTGGGCAACACAGTGATACCGTGTCTAAAAAAAAAAAGAAAAAGGACCTTGCCCTAAGGGTTTTTGCCTAAAACAAAATCTCCTCTATTACCAATCTGGGCATTTATTAAGCCTGGGAAACAAACTTCTTAAATGGATCAAATTCCCAGACAACTAGCCATCTGAAAATGAGGCAGGACATACTAGTGAATTTAACATAATTGTTTATTTTCCTAGGGTAGATAAAAATAGCTTTTTCAGTTTGGGAATTTTCTCCTTTCAAAAAATTGTTTCTGTTGTGTATTAGTGTTAAATATGCTAGAAAGGAACAGCTGTAAGAATAGGAATTTGTCCATAGGGACCCACACTCAAATTGCTTCATTACTTTAAATAGCACTAAGCTAAATATATGTGCTTTCTGAGAAATAGCCATGTATTTCCAAGATGACATTTATGTATCAATTTATATAAACAACAGGCTCTGGAATATACAGAATAAGCCTAAGACATTGCTGATACATGTTGAAGAAATTGATCCAATGTACAGAAAGAATATTCATGACAATTTGTAGAGAACATCTTAACTAGAGTAAGTTATAAAGCATCTTTTTCCCTGTTCCTCTAGGTAATTATGCACTTTATCTTGTTCTAGGAGTATACCATGCTGTGTCTGTTATGCGGCAAAGCCGAAGATACTATCAGTATTCTCCCTGATGACCCCCGACAAATGACTCTCTTATTCTAAGGATCCTTCTACAGATCTGTTATAACTATATTGTGTTGGTTTACAATACAGCAAGCCTGATGGTTTGTCTTATTTCATTCATACTGAAAATTCTTTGCATATTTTTTTTCTGCTTAGACTTACTTATTCTTTGAGGAAAAAAGGTAATGTAGGAGCTCATTGTTCTCTAGAGCTGAGCTCTTCTGCTAAAGTTCAAAGTTCACATCAGTGTAGCCAGAGTGAAGCATCTTTGTTAGCAGTTATGTGGTCAGAAAACAACTAGAATGGGAGCACACCTGGTGCCCAGATTTTGGTTTCCAATAAAAGGAACCAGGACTCCTTAGAAAATGAACTGATTCTAGAACTGGGATATGAACTGTACAAGATGAGCCTAGAGTATCTTGTGCCACAGAAAAATGAAGTACTGAAATTAAAAAAAAAAAATCATAGTGATTGGGAGTATGTCAGCATGATCGAACTGAAGGATCTCTGAAAGGCCACAGCTGGAGCAATTTGAGTAACAAAATAAAGTAGTATTGGGTTATAACCCAAACTATATAATAAATATTTACAAGCCCAAACTAATATAAATGATTGAATGGGAACAAATCTCTTGTGCAGAAGAATTTCAAATAATTTATGTAGATACTCCCCACTTAGTGGGCTCTGCATAGTGACTTCCTTGCAGAGTATAATATGGAAAGGGGGGAAAAGAGTAACTTTACAGTGGAGAAATCTGACAGACACCAGCTCAGCCAGGTGATTGAGGTTAACATCATCCATGATAAGCCCTTTTGATAGCATGTATCCTTGATAGCATCACATCATACAGAATGTGATAAGAATGGCACTTTACCTCTGTGGTCCTCCTCCCCAGAACTCAGAACCCAAGTCTGATCAGGAGAAAAACATCACACAAATTCCAATTGAGAAGCATTCTTTAAAATACCTAACCAGTACTTCTCAAAACTATCAAGGCCATAAAAAACAAGGAAAATCTGAGACATGGTCACAGCCAAGAGGAGCCTGAGAAGACATGACTGCTAGATGTAATGTGGTATCCTACATGGAATTATATACCACGAAAAGAAAAAAAGGTCATTTGGTAGAAACTAGGGAAATCTGAATACAGTGTGGACTTCAGTTAATATAAATGAGAAAATGGTTTCATTGGCTTTAAAGGGATTTTAGAATATCTTACTTTGCATAGTTTCATGAGCACTGGCCAGGAGGTTATAAACTGGCATTTAGGCCTCTCTGCCATTTAGTAGCAGTATAGTCATTAAGCAAAGCATTACTCTGGACTTTATTGTCCTGTTTCTATCAAATTGGACTAACAAAAATTGATATAATACATTCATCACAGTATTGTTAGGAGATTTAAATGAATTAGTGAATGTAAGATACTTTAGAAAGCATGTAAAGTACTAGAAACAATGAGGTGGCTTCAATTAGTGCTCATTCTGAGACCTAAATTTAAAGGGTCAGGCATTAGAAACAAAAGTGTTTCTTCATATCTAGGAGATTTGGAAATTCTGAACTAAGGTCTTATAAGAACAAGAAATGAGCAAAGTGTTCATTGTAGATACTAGGGAAAAGCTTTGTTGAATAACAGTAATGATGATAATATCTGAGCTTTATTAAGTACTTACTACATGCTAAGAGCTTTTTAAGCACTTATTTAATCCTCATTAACAAATTCATAAGGTAGGTGCTATTGATAGTTTAGCCATAACCAGATATGGCTTGTTATTTGTAAGTTATCATGAAAAGGTTTATATTCACTATTCTTTATTTCAGTGTAGCACTTTTAGAGCCAAAAAAACTCAGGCACAAAGAAGTTAAATAACTTGCCGGGTGCGGTGGCTCACCCCTGTAATCCCAGCACTTTGGGAGGCCAAAGCAGGCGGATCACCTGAGGTCAGGAGTTTGAGACCAGCCGGGCCAACATGGTGCAACCTCGTCTTTACTAAAAATACAAAAACAAAAATTAGCCAGGGGTGGTGGTATGCACCTGCAGTCCCAGCAACATGGGAGGCTGAACAGGAGAATCGCTTGAACCCGCGACAGGGAGGTTGTGATGAGCCAAGGTCATGCCACTGCACTCCAGCCTGGGAGACAGAGCAAGACTCCATCTCAAAAACAAAAACAAAACAAAACAACAACAAAAAAAGAAGTTAAATAACTTGTTTAAGATCACACAGCTAGTGCAGTTACCCCCTCTCAGTAATTATGTTTGGCAAATATGAAATACAAGGATCTGGCAAGGTTAGGAAGAGGTTAAGAATATCAGTGACAGTACTCTGAGGCATCTGGGCATGTCAGATGAAGATTTATTATTCAGAAAAGTTAAGTCAGCTGTTGCAGGGATCAGTTGTTTTATTCCTGGAAAATGTTTTTCATTTTGCTGCAAATCTATATCTGACCTGCTGAGGAAATCGTTTGGTGAAATGAATCCAGAAAGCAGAGAAAATGCTTCATTACTTTAAATAGCAGCATTAAGCCCATTATAGCCTCTGAATTGTCCCTTCCTTGAGTTTGCTAATGCTTCCAACTTAGTCATTTGAAGCCCAAGAGTCTAATTTTATATGCCCTGCCAATGTCCTCATCTATTGCAGAATGTATAATTATCTATTTGTTTTGGACTATATGTTACAAAAATTTAAAACATAAGATCCTCTCTCTATATTTCATTATTGGTGAACCCACATTGTGCTGTGTTTTGTGATATTTTATCATTTTCTAGATTCTTATGTGGATCTAATAACGACCACTTGAACCCAGTTTCACAGAATCCTTATTTTTCTGTTCAAATTAGGAATTAGGGACATGGATGAAATTGGAAATCTTCATTCTCAGTAAACTATCGCAAGGACAAAAAACCAAACACCACATGTTCTCACTCATAGATAGGAATTGAACAATGAGAACACATGGAGACAGGAAGGGGAACATCACACTCTAGGGACTGTTGTGGGGTGAGGGGAGGGGTGAGGGATAGCATTAGGAGATATACCTGATGCTAAATGACGAGTTAGTGGGTGCAGCACACCAGCATGGCACATGTATACGTATGTAACTAACCTGCACATCGTGCACATGTACCCTAAAACTTAAAGTATAATAATAATAAAATAAAAAAAAAGGAATTAGGCAAAACATGGCTCTTCTTTTTACTTTCCTTCCTGAGATATAAGAAGGAAGAGAAATCACCTGTGGGGATAATTGGAAACATGGGGATAATTGGAAACGTGGGCTTATCTTGGCACCTCCTTTTTCTCTAATCATTCTGTGATGTACAGGTCTGGCTAGTTAGGCTCCTGAAGTTAAAAGCTCAGCCACTATTTGTTGTTTTGTTTGATCTAGCTCTTTCTCACATGGTTTTAGGTTCTCCCAGTACTAATTTAATTGACATCAGATAGCTTGGGCACAACCAGATATGGCTTGTTATTTGTAAGTTACCATGAAGAGGTTTATGTTCACTGTCCTTTATTTCAGTGTATCAAAAGTCCTTTCGGTTTCATTCTTTCATGTTGTGAGCAGGGCTAGTTATTTGAGGCGCTCAATTTAAAAATGTATGTTTTTTTTTTACTGTAGTACAAGACTGTTGTAAGATACAGTATAGTTGGATAGAAAAGGAATTAAAAGATCTGGGTCTAGAATTAGCTTTGTCACCTGCTAATGATGGGACACTGAGCAAGTCACTTATCCTGTCTGTACCTCAGTGTCTTCAGTGGAAAACTAGAAACCATCATGCCTCCACAGAATTTTTAAATCTAATGATTTTTAAATCTAATGCTGTGTGCAGGCAGCTGTCAGTGGTCTTTATGAAGAAAAATCTGAGCTAGAAGAAAGCACTGTTGTGTTATGGTTAAGAGTAGAGGCTTTGGAGTCAGACTGACCTGGCTTTAACTTTCAGCTTTGCTGCTTCCTAAGCTGTGTGTCCTTGGCAAGTGTCTTGCCCAATTACCTTTTCTTTTAATAGAAATAACAATTTTTCATGGGATCTCTATGAGGGTTAAATAACCTAGTGTATATAAAGTACCTAGCCCAGTCTGTGCCCATAGTAAATATTAAATGAATGGTAGTTTGGATGATGGTTGTGATGGTGATTATAATAAAGTTCTAGAGTTTGACTCAGTGTTTTTGAGACAAGGTCTCATCCAGGCTGGAGTGCAGTGGTGCAATCATAGCTCACTGCAGCCTCGAACTCCCAGGCGCAAGCAATTCTCCCACCCTAGCTGCCTGAGTAGCTGAAACCATTACAGGTGTACATCACCATGCTCAGCCGATTTTTTTTTTTTTTTTTTAATTTTTTGTAGAGACGAGGTCTCACTGTGTAGCCCAGGCTACATAGTGAGCTCCTGGGCTCAGGCCATCTTCCCGCCTCAACTTCCCAAAGTGTTGGGATTATAGGCTTGAGCCACCATACTGGGCCTCAGTGTCTCATAAACTAAGGAGAGATAGCTATGGGAACATAGTCATGAAGATAATTATCGATTTCAGTGTCTTTACCCTGGCCTCCTAAAATCACTTGTTCCAAGCTCTGGTTTTTTTGTTTTGTTTTTTGTTTTTGTAAGAGCCCTCAGGTTAGTGATTCTCTCTGTCCCTCCTCTGAGTTGAATAGCATTATCTCAGCACTTCTGGGAGAGTTGTTAAGGAGACTTCCCCCTCCTTCTGGGTGCCCCTAGGGAAATCTGATTAAAAGATTTTTGTTTATCTAGAAAAGTGGGTGATATTTTAAAGCTTTGCCTTGTCTGTTTATGATCACAAGCTAATACTTCTGAGGATGATAAGGGGGACAAACAAGATGAAGAATAAAGGAAAGGAAACACTTTCTAATTTCTCTTCATTTTAACAACAGCACAACTAAATATTTGGTAAACCTAAACATCCTTTTAAAATAGAATCTTCCAGTCTTGCCTTCCCTGTTTCCTCCTGAGCTGAATAGATCAGGTTCTGTCTGAAGCAAATAGTGTTTCCCCTCCCAAGTGAAGAGCCTTCATTCTAGCTTTATGGCCTTCTCTTGACTTTCTGCAGAATAACTTATACTGTAATTCCCATTCCTTTGGGAATCCCTAAATAATTCTTTGAACTTGGGCCTCAAGGGAAAGACTGAACACATTGTACTGGTGTCTCAGGCTCTAAGTTGCCTGTGGCATGTTTCCAACACCCGAGATAGCTGGCTCTGTTACTGGATGTAACAACAGGCTATGGTACTGTCAAGGTGATGACTAGCATCCAAGAAGAATTCTCTATTTTGTCAGGAAAGCAATTTGTCTGCAGTTACTGCTCTAAAATCAGTACATGGTCCTGCCCCATAATAATTCATACCCCAGCTGTTGACTTTAAGAGCAGGAATCTGAAAGGCTTGAGGTTTCAAGAGTGAAGGTAAGGGTAGCCTTAAGTTAGCAGAAGGCCCTGCAGAAAGGTGTCAGGGGATTCCCACTGTAATACTCAGGTTACCCTTTTGAAATAAAGCACTGTTGTTGACAGGTTTAGTTGAAGGTCAGAAAGTGGGGATCCTAAACATCTATTCCACATTCACTCTCATATGATGCAAGTGCTTAGAAAATGGTTAGGGTAAGCAGAACAATTAAAGGAAAAACATTTTCCCTTCAGCATTGGGCTTCTCAAGCAGTGTGTCCAGTTTGGAAAACTGTCCCTTCAGGGTTTCAGTGAATAGAAGTGAAAATATTCCATCTAGTGGTCAAAGAAGGGAAGATGAAATGAGAAGTTTCCAGGATGAGGTCTGTGGGGCAAGGTGACAGGCAGTGGCCTCTCAGCAGGTATCTTTTCCAGAACATGATAGAACCTGACCTTGGCGGTGGTGATATGTTTTGATTATGTCTGCACTGGATGAGGAATTGGGGACACCATCCTTGCAAGGCCTCTGAGCAAAACTGTCCTCACAGTGAGGAATAATGATGTTGCAAATGGCAGATTATAAACAGCCTGACTCTGAAGGGAGGCTCTCTCCCATCCCCAACCCCTTCCTTCTTACAGAGGAAGAAATGAGTCCAGTCATTCCTGCCTCTATTTGTCTGGAGCCTGAATTTGTGAATATGTGATTTTGAGAAGAATGAGGGTGTAATGTGAACTTTATTTATTTATTTTGAGACGGAGTCTCACTCTGTCGCCCAGGCTGGAGTGTAGTGGCGCCGCCATCTTGGCTCACTGCAGCCTCCACCTCCCGGGTTCAAATGAGTCTCTCACCTCAGCCTCCTGAGTAGCTGGGATTACAGGCGTGCGCCACCACACCTGGCTAATTTTTTGTATTTTTAGTACAGACAGAGTTTCATCATGTTGGCCAGGCTGGTCTCGAACTCCTGACCTCAAGTGATCCGCCTGTCTCGGCCTCTCAAAGTGCTGGGATTATAGGTGTGAGCCACCACACCCGGGCCATGAACTTTAAAAAGGAGGGAGAATCAGTCTAGCAAAGGATCAAACACCCGAGATGTTTGATGATCAGGAAAAAGATAAAGTGCTGTTTGTGTTCTCAGTAACTACACCCTCTATGCCCTTGCTATTGGTAAACATTAACTAAGCTGACTGCCCAGGAATTTCCCAAGGCACAAGTCAGATCTAGTTGGCCCAGTACCCACAGTGCTATTGATGCTTCCTGACTGTAATCCTCCTAACAGCCTCCCAATATCCCCAACCAAAGGGCTCATTGTCTTTTCCTCCTCTACCTCCCATTATCACTTTCTCTTTTTCCCCAGTTCTGAAGAAGAGCTGTAAAGGAATAATATAATTCACATTTCCCGTAACTGCACCTGCCACTGCAGACCTTGGCCAGCGCTTGCTTTCCTGTCAGTAATTAGGGCATCCCTTGATCCGTCAGATCCTCCCCTCCCAAAGCTTTGTGTGCTAGCAGCTCCTCTATCCCACCTGCAGTTTGTAGCTTCCCTCCGCCCTCTGTCAAAGAACACACACACAGGCTGGCCGTTTCCACACCTGCCCTTTATTGGTCTCTTCTAGCAGAGTGGCTCCAGGCCCTTCACGCCTCTCAGACACCACCCATGAGGGTTTAGGAAGGTGCCATCATTCTGTGAAGGCCCAGAGCTTACCCAAGTCTTGGAGCCCAAGTTGAATCACCAACCAGAGGGTTGGGAGAGGAAAAGGAAACAGGCAGAGGGGAAAGGCAAGGCTCTGCAGTGAAGGGGACTGATATCAAGGGAATGCTGAGGTCCAGCAGTGTCTCCTGAAGGCATGCTGCATCCTAAGGCTCCTCAGGACTGGATGGAGTAGGAGATCTGTGTGTTGAGCAGTTCACATCTATATGGCAACTTTAAGGAGGCGCTTGATGTCAGGCTCAATGTTGATGGTTGGGAAGGTGCGGCTGTAGCGTCGGAAGGGCTCTCCCTCCGGCCCTATGAGGAACTTCTCAAAGTTCCAGGCCACATCTGAGCGGCGCACAGGGCTCCAAATGATGAGCTTGGGATCGGTCATGAGGGAAAATGGGTCATCATAAGGGTAGGGGAGCTTGTCCTTCAGGTAGGCGAAGACAGGATGCTCGTTCTGCCCATTCACCTCACATTTTTGGACAAGGGTGAAGGTGGGCTGGTATCCACCCCCAGGACGGACATACTTGAGACTGTTCAGGATCTCCTCATTCTGACAGTTCTCCTAGGGGAGGAAAAAGACAAAGTGCGTGGACAGTGGGTGGGGGAAGAGAAAGATCCACAACATGAAACTCTTTCACCCTCCTACACTCCCTCCCCAGGGTCATTCTTTTTCACTGTGAAAGAGAGAGAGACAAGACAGACGAGGTGTTGCTCACTGCAGCCTTGAACTTCTGGGCTCAAGCATTCCTCCTGCTTCAGCCTCTTTAGTAGCTGAGACTACAGACACAGGCCACCATGCCCGGCTAATTTTTTTTTTTTTTTGTAGAGATGGGGTCTCACTTTGTTGCCCATGCTTTGGCTGCTCTTCAAGATTTAGCACTTCTGAGCTGTTGCTTTTGTCTCCAGTCTACCCTGAGCAGTTCTTAAGGTGTTTGAAGCAGAAGAAAGAGAAAAGAGGCTTAGGTTATACTGCTTAGAACCTCCTCTTCAACTAACCTACCGACCCACCTACCCATAAATCCATACCTACACACACACCCCTTTCCTTTCCTCTGCCCTGGTTTTGCCTCGCCTGCTTTCAATTGCACGTGTGTTGAGTATAGCCTTTGCCTCTGCCTACTCAGCTCCTTGAACTGAGGGTGAAATTGAGACCCAGAGGAATGGGATTTACAGCTTCTTGCTTTCTTCTTGCCTTGTCCTAGAACTGAAGTACAAATGGGAAGAAGCTTTGATGAAGGAAGACCCCCATCCAAGAACATCTAGTTTTCAGGTGCCATAACAGCAGAGCAAGTTCAAGGCAACAATGAATGTGTACTCTAAATGGAACTACTTAGTAACCAACAGGCATGAAGTAAATAGGATACAGGATTTAGGGTTTGGCAATAGGCCAGGGGGAGGGGGAGTTGAGGAAATAAGTGCTTGATGGCTAAAGATTGTGAGTATGTAATTATCATTCTTTTCTTGAGTAGGCTGCTACCCAAAGACTGCTGCACCTCCTATCCACTCACTGCTCTCAGCTACGCATGCTTTGGCTCAAAACCTGGTCCCTGCCTTTCCCTCCCCACTGCCATCCCTGTCCTATTCCCTCTCAGCATCACCATTCATGACAATCCAAAAGGCCTATGGGAACCCTTCTTTTCCACCTCTACCTTTCCAATTTAACAGACAGATACCTTCCTCTGGGAGAAAGTTCCTGCTTCTGACCTGTGAGAACTAACTAGTTCAGTCAGTTCCAGGCCATCATGACATCATGAGCCCAGAGCTGATCTCTAGTGGACTTCTCTGTTTTTGTTTCTGTTTTTTTTCCTGAGACAGGGCCTCACTCTGTCACCTAGGCTGGGGTGCGGTGGCACAATCATAGCTCACTGCAGCCTCGACTTCCCAGGCTCAGGCGATCCTGCTACTTCAGCGTCCCAAGTAGCTGTGACTACAGGCACATGCCACCATGCCTGGCTAATTTTTGCAATTTTTTGTAGAAACAAGGTTTCACCATGTTGCTCAGGCTAATCTTGAACTCCTGAGCTCAAGCAATCTGCCTACCTTAGCCTCCCAAAGCGCTGGGATTATAGGTGTGAGCCACTGTACCCTGGCAGATTTCTATTTCTTGATACAAATGGCTGGCTGGCTCCTGGTAGGTTATAGACTCCCTCCAGCAACTTGCTAGGCTGAAGAGATGGTGTGAGGCTGGAGGTACTTCTGGGGCTGGAGGGACATCTCGAAAGAGGGTTTGCTACTTCTGTCTCTCCTGCTCTAGAAAAGGCCAGACAGAAAACTTAGGGAAGAACAGTGAGAGCAGTGAACAGTTTGGGCTCAGGTTTGTCACAGCCAGTGATGCTTCAGCCTTCCTGCTTTCCTGTCTTCCTCACCTTCATACCACTGTGAATTGAACTAAGGGGATTATAACGAGAGGGTTCGCTTGGGTTCATTCTCCCTGCTTGTACGTTAAAATCATAGGTGGAAATAGAAGAATCCCTAAAAGAGAACTCGAGGTGTGTGGGCTGAAGATCTATAACAGCTTGACCCATTAATCAGAAATAGGTGCATGTAATGCCCAGAGGCACGTGCCTTTTGAAAACCTTTCTCTTTCCTGCTTATTTTCTTTCCACTTGGCTAATTTAAACCAACAAAAATCATCCTCAATCTAAATAACAGTTTGCTTGCATTTGCATAGTACTTTATATTTTTCAAGTTACTTTTGTATATCCTGTCCCCTAAACATCATAATAATCCTATGAGCTAAGTGGTATTATCCCCAATTTACAGATGAGGAAACTAAACCGAAAAATGAAGCGCCCTTTCCGAGGGCACAGAGCCATTAAATAGCAAAACCAAGTCCAGCTAGAGCTAAGGTCTCTTGAGTCTGTCCAATTCTTGTTTGATTCCTGGCCTCTACTTTCTCCACTCATTTATTCAACAAATATTTAATGAGTGCTTTCTGTGCCCTAGGCACTGAGGACACAGTGGAGAGAAACACAGACCTGGAACCAGCCCTCATGGAGTAATATAGTAGAAAGACAGTAAACTATAAAAATCACACAGCCTCAGTGTTTAATCTTAAAAAATATATACCTTCTCTTGGTATGTCACATGCACCTAAAGACCTAGCTTAACAAAACATACCCCATTATTCCAGACACTCCAAAACATGGTCATTCAGCCTCTCCTTTTATCCCACCTGAGCTACACCAACCCAACACTTTTGGTGCATTACAAGGAGGGACCCCTCACCTGATGTCCAAATTGGTTGCAAGGGAAGCCAAGGACCACCAGGCGCCTGGGAAAGCGGCATTGCAGCTCGTTGAGCTGGGTGAAGTCCCGGGTGGTTGTGCCTCAGAGCGAAGCCACATTCTCAATCAGCACGGCCCTGCCCCGGAACGTATTGAAATCTACCTTCTCCCCATCCAGGCTGATGGCACTGAGGTCATAGAAGGACTTGGCAATGAAAGCCATGGTGAAGCGCAGAGTGAGCCCCGCAGAGAGGCCTGAGCCCACTTATGAGCCTATTAGAGGGGTGGGGAGGAAGGAGGAGCCAGGAAGGAGGACAGAAAGGATCTAACAATGGAGCTTTGAGCATCCCCAGGATGACTTAGCAAAAACAGGTCCCCACCTGTAAGTGCTGTTTGAACAAGGAGGTTGCTCCTCCTATTAACAGACTGAACAAGGCCGCCTCCCCGCCCCACCCTGCTGCAACCTGGGAAGGGCCAATTTGATATCTATGAGCAGAGGTAAATAATTCACTGCTTACAGGAAACCAGAGCCCTAAAGGTCGAATGGAGAGGAAAAAAAGGGAGGGAGGGATGCAGGATTGACTCCTACTTGCCCCATCAAGTTGTTCTCATTTGACACAGACGTTTATTGAATGCCTGCTGAGTGTCAATCTCTGAATTGTACAGTGAGAGGGCAGGGTCTGCGGAGATCTGAAAGATGAAGAAGAGAATTGAGCCTCCTATCCATGGGACTCAGATGACAACTGAAATATACATATTCCTGTTCACGTTCTTCTCTTTGTTGCTTTCCACCAGGACAAAATCAAAGGGACCCTTAGGAGGAGAGTGTGTCATTTTCTAGGGGAAAAAAGAAGTTTTCAGTGCCTCAGCTCTTGCCAGGCTGAAGAGACAAAGTTGTGTTTATCTTGAAAAGTCTTTCAGTGCGTGGTGCCACTTGTCCTGGAGAACACACCAGCCTCTGCCCCTGCACTGTACCATCTCCTATATTATATCCCCCACCTCCACCTCATCCCCCAGCCCCCAAGTCATGAGGCTCAGTCGTTGCTGGGAGAATGGTGAAGAGGAGTCACAGAACAGGTGGATAAACTTAGTGGATGAACTGCACCTACCTTCCTCTCAGACAGAGATTTGGTCCCCAAGACTTTTCAGAGCGGGTTTGTGCTGGTCACCTTCCCACAGAAGGAAGTGTGTGGAGGAAGTTGAAGCTGCTGTGGTTCCAGACGCAGGCAGGTCACCCCTGATGCTTTCAACAAGAGGCGTGCAGTGCATCGCAGGACATCTGCTAAGGGCCATCTCAGAGGCCCACCCCTGGAAGCCACAGAAACCGAAAAGACCCAAGCACCCGCCAACTCAACAAGTTACTCTTTTAAAAATGCCTTGATTTCTTCATCAGTAAAACTAGCAATGGGGCTTGACCTAGCTTTGGGATTTTAGAGTGAAATTTCAATAACAAAGCAAATGTTTACTAGGGTGTTTTCACAGGGGCACATCCATTGGGAACTGTCTCCTTGGAACAAAGAATAAGCAAGTCCGGGGAGCAGCTGGTCTTGAGAATCTGATTTGTTGAGATGAGATGAAGTAATTATCACCAGGGAGCGCCAAGCTGCCTTGCAGCTTTTCCATGGCTGTTCAAGTATACAGGGACCATGTGTCTCAGCTGGCTGCTCCCTAAAAACAAGTTTCCATTACCTAAGTGGACAGAAGGAGTGACAGGAAGTGTAGAGGGAAGTGTGTCCCCTGCTGAAGCTGGGTGGAGTTCCTAGAAGCAACCAATAAGAAAGAGTCCCCACCAAGCCACTGAGTCACAAGGACTTGGCACTGATAGTGGGCAGAACTGTAACTTGCCGGATTTATGTGCATACCTAGAGCTTCCCCCTAGTACTCTCTGGGCCTCCAGAGACACCTCTTATTCTCTGCTCTTTTGCAAGCCTTCTTCAAGAAGGCCATGGGAGTTCCCAAGATGAGGAGTGTGGGGGTTCCCTCTTCCTTAGGTACATGCCATCCCTTTTCTCCTGGTGTGACCTTGGACCCTTCAGACTCCCAGGGTTCTCACCTTTCCTAATGGAATATACTTGGTGAGGCTCTCCTAAAATATCTCTGTCTCCAAATTTACCTCAAACTGGCCTCGCTTTCCAAAAGCTTACAACTTTAAGCATACACTAAGCAGCGTATGATTCTTATGGCTTTCTGTGGGACAGTGCTTGCTCTGGACACAGCACTGGCTTAGGCAGAAAGCCTGGGTTGGTGGTTCTTAATTCTGACTGCAAATGAGAATTGTTTGTAGGAATTTTTCTAGAGATGCCAAAGCTTTGCCCTCCAGTGATTCCAATTCAGTGGTTTACAACCACAATTCTGCCACTGTTACTTCGGACCCTTAGGCAAATCTTTAAGCTCTTTTTATTGAGACAGGGTCTTTCTCTGTCACCCAGGCAGGAGTGCAATGGTGCAACTGCAGCCTTGACCTTCTGGGCTCAAGTGATCCACTGGCCTCAGCCTCACAAGCCACCACACTCAGCTAATTTTTTCTAGAGACAGTGTCTCACTATGTTGCCCAGGCTGGTCCCAAACTCTTGGGCTCAAGCAGTCCTCCTGCCTCGGCCTCCCAGAGTTGGGATTACAGGCATGAGCCACTGCACCCGGCCAAATCTTTAAGTTCTCTGATCATCTGTTTCCTTGCCTGTGGGACCTGGGTAGATAACCACCCTCCCCATCTCACACGGTGATGGTTAGGGTCAGAAGAGTTTATCTATCACTAGTGCCGGGTAAAGTGTAGTGAAAATCTTAAGACTACTGTTGTCCTGCGTTGTCCTACTCCTTTCTTCATTCAGTCCTTATCCCCAATATTCTCCACCTCCATCAATTCCATATCCCAAAGTATGAAATACCTGCAGTCCTGAGATCCCAGTCTGCCTCTGCTCCCCCGAGGTATCCAATCACAAATCTGAAAGATTATCCAGTCCCACCTCATGCCTTCAGGAAGACCCGTTCCTGACCCACACAAACAGATGAGACTCATCTTGGCTTTAAAACCTGCTCATAGATGTTCAGCATCCTCTCGATAACTGTGTTTCATCTTATTTCTGCAGTGCCAGCCCAATGCAGGGCAACGGGGCTTTGCTTTGGGCCTCCCTGCAGGTGGCACTAGGGAAGGTAGAGAAGGGAAGACAATGTTTGCCGCTTCCGTGGTCACTCTACTGCTGTTGCCTTTGCTTCTGGAGCTGCTTCTACCAGCACTGCCTCTCTCCCTCCCACATCACTGCCAGGGTCTGAGTGAGACCTACCCCCAAGGACTCATCCAGGCAGCCACACCGGTGGTTTGAAATAATCTTTATTTTGTAAACATCTGTGTTTAAAATAGATGAACCCTGCTCACAATTCATATATGGACCCGAGACACAGTACACGAAGTTCACCCGTCACAGGGAGATAGTGGAGGCTCAGGAGCAGGTGGCGTGCCTGGGGCTGGATGGAGTCTCAAGACAGCAGGTGCAGAGGTGGTGACGAGTAAACAGGCCAGCAGAGCCTGGTTAACAGTCTGGGCCTCAAGACATGCCCCAGGCCACCAAAAGTTTAGGGTGAGCGTAGCTGCACCCTAAAATCCCAATTCTCCTTCTGCTCCCATACCTTTTCCCAGTCATGGCCCTTGTGGATAGGGCCTATCAGTCTATAGAATCCTGATTCCATGTTTTCCCTTCCAGAACCCCTAGGGTACAGTACAAATATAGTCCTTCTTTCCTGAGGGGGCTAGGAGAGAAAGACAATGAATGGCACCCTGCCTGATCTTCAGGGAAAGCTGAAATACTGGTCCACAGATTGGAGCCACTGCCCAATATAACTTCTCAAGTCCCTGGCTGAAGACAGACTTGAGGGCTGGCATCACCTACTTCCCTAGCCCCAGTGTGATGTGGCATAGGTCTTGATACCCAAGGAGTCCCATCTTCAAGGAAGCAACTCCAGCCTAGTCACAGCTTCATCCTAGAGTTAGCTGTCTCCTTTTCTCATTAGCCAGTGATTTACAACTTCCTGCTCTCCTTTGCTTTCCACCATCTAAGCTATACCCTGTCCCTAAGTCCTGAGCCACCCTCTCCTGCTGTTTTCCTGGTTTGGTAAGTCAGGAGGAAAGGTTTGATGGTTCTTTCCCCACTTCTTTTTGGAGGAGTAAGGAAGTGAGGTTCTTATCCTTCACATATGAGTGCCCTGGATTTTGGTTCTTAGTTGATGAATACTCAACACCCAGTTCTTTGTTTTGGCTGCAGCCACGCAGTGCAGCTAATGTGTGGCTTAAGAATGACCCTCTTCCTAGGCCTCGCCCACCTTGGGACGGTGGGCAGGAACCCCAGTAGAACTGGTAAATTACTTGTTCCGTCTTTAAAGGGCCTCCTACGAGCTACTCTTGGGCCATATGGGGTTAAAGAAACTTCCTGAACATAGCACTCTGGAGGAAGGAGTCCTCTTCCCTCCACCTGTAGCCACAGTGTGGTTGGCAAACCCTCAAGCCTATCAGGAGGTAGAGGGCAAGATGAGCGCTTTGTCTTAAAGGCCAAAGAGAACAGCACCAAGCGTTTCTACCCAGGGCCTTCCTTCTCTCTTCCCATGAAGTCTTTGCCCTTCTCCCATAAACTTTGGGTCCCAGGAGAACCTTGGTTGCTGAAGGCTAGGCTCAGTCCTCCGCCTGGGAGTCTGAGGAAATGCTCTTCTTACCTAAGAAATGGAAGATGGGGCCTAGGAGGCCCTGCTGTTGCTACATTCCCCTCTGCTGTGCAAACTGCTGTCCCTGGCCAGCTCTCCCTTGCTCTTAACCTGATACATAGGAGCTAGTCCTTCATTTCCAAATGCTCCCCTTTGTGGAGTGCATGGTTGGCCTGACAGTGTCACTGACCCCAGGGCTCTCCTTGCCCCTGGAGTACCCACAGGCCTTGGTCCACATCTTTAAATTTGGGAGCCAGGTGGAGAGAAATTGTGTTCATGCTGCATGGGAGGTAGAGAATGGAGGTGACTTTTTATCCCTGCCACCCCTCATTTTGTTTCCTTCTCTGAAGCACCTGCCTCTGAGCTCAGTTCCCCAAAGAGGCAGGCGGGCAGCCAAGCAAGGGCAAAGCTCTGGTCGGGGAATGGGTAGAGGTAGGGCAGCCCCAGGCTCGAGGACTCCCTGGTTGCCGTTTCCCTCCTACCTCGATGCTCCACTTTCGCAGGTCACTGGGGAGGCAGGCCCATGGCACATGAGGGACAGTGGGGGTGGGGGAAGAGGAAGAAGCACCCTGTAGCCTTTGGCCCACCCACGAGGCAGGGTGGAGGGTTCTTCCTGGATCCAAGGGTGGAACCTCCCCACGAGCCTGGGTCCATCCCCTTGGATAGCTTAGGAAGGAAGGAAAGAGCGAGCTGCACACAGCAGGACACACGGGGGACGGGGTTTGAGGAGCTTTGATACGAAACGCACCGGAGGGGAGGGGTCAGAGAAAGAGAAGTGGGGGAAGAGAGAAAAAGCAGAGAAGAGACACGATGCACGGAGAAAGGAGCAGCTGAAAGTGGCCTGGACTCCAGCCCTGGCTGTTGTCTGGTGGGTGCGGGATGGTGAGACAGTGCTTGCGGCACATCGTGGGGGTCGTAGCAGGCCTGTGGCTGGGGAAACAGGCTGAAGAAGACCACTCCAGGGTGGACGGGCTGGGGACAGGGGCTGCTTGAGATGACAGCAGAGCCGCTCTCAGGGCCAGGCAGGGGGAGTAGTGGCTACTGATACTCAATAGGGTCATCACACGAGAGGACAGCAGCAGGGCAAAGCCCCGGCTCCCCTGTCTGCCCACGGGCCTCCTGAGGGAAGAGGGGTGTCGTGTGGGGTGCCCCACACAGGACTCAGCACCAGCAGGTTTTCGAAGAGTTCGCTGGGCCCTCGGGTTTGCCCTCCTCCTCCTCCAGCTCTGCCAGTGCCAACTCATTGCTGGCACGCATCCGGAGGCCTTCCAGCTCCTTCCTATGGGCCTGCAGCACCAGCTCTGTCAGACGCGTGAATGACTGGAAACCAAAGGGCACAGGTTAGTCCAGTGTCTCCTCCTCTCCCCTGGCAACCCTGCAGCGGCCTGAGGGATAAGGTCCATCTTATGGCTCCTCCTCCCACCTCTGCTGGACTCAGCCCGAGAGAGCGGGCGCCTGGTCACCAGGGCTCTCACCTCTTTAATGTTGAGGTTGGTGCAGGCACTTGTTTCATAGAAGTCCATGCCATACTCCTTCGCCAGCTGCAAGAGAAGGACATTTCTGAAAGAGAGTCAGTAAGGCAGGGGAGGGGCCCATACAACCAGGCACAGGCTTCTGCCACTGCACTCACAACCATGCTGTGTTGTGACGATTTCTCAGAGTAGATAATTTCTCAGATGGGACTGGGAGCTCCAAGAGAGGGTAGCAGAGAATGGGGGAAGATCCTCCACAAATATGCCTCTCCATTCTTCCAGCTGCCACCCCACGCCTCCCAACACACAATCATATATCAGGAGATAAAGACACCATCCATTGTGGCAGTATGGCATCCTCGTAAAAAACATGGGCTCTGGAGTCCCACAGTCCCAGACCTGAATAGCAGCACTGCCACTGATGGCTAGCTGTGTGACCTTGGACAAGTTGTACATTCTCTGTAAGCCCCAGCTTTATCTTCTGTTAAAGGAGACTGAGTGTGTCTCCCATCCATGGTTGTGGGATGATTCAGTGGGGTCGTGCACTTAAAAGCGCTTGCCTTAGCACAGTGCCACACATAGAGTGCTCAATAAATACTATCCTAGTAGGCTTTGCCTCTACTTTCAAATTGGTCAATGACCATGTCTTATATTTTATACCAAACAATCAATTTCATTTTAAGTACTAATGGAACGCTATTGACTGAAAAGGGAGAGGAAAACTCTTGAGGTCCACGGACTGAGTGGATAACTTATCTCAGAAATACCAATCTTGGCTGGGCACAGTGGCTCACGCCTGTAATCCCAGCACTTTGGGAGACTGAGGCAGGTGGATCACCTGAGGTTAGGAGTTCGAGACCGGCCTGGCCAATATGGCAAAACCCCATCTCTACTAAAAATACAAAAAAATTAGCCAGGCGTGGTGGCATGCACCTGTAATCTCAGCTACTTGGGAGGCTGAGGCAGAAGAATTGCTTGAACTCAGGAGGCAGAGGTTGCAGTGAGCCGAGATGGCGCCACTGCACTCTAGCCTGGGTGACAGAGCGAGACTCCATCTCAAAAAAAAAAAAAAAAAGAAAGAAAGAAAAAAAAAATAACCAATATTTCTTTCTGCTCTCTGGGAGGATGGTCTCCCTGCATGCTTGGACATTCCCTCAGCGTCATCCTCCTACCCTTTCTGCCCCCATGGCTTCTCCAGCTGTGGCTCTTTGTCTCCTCATTTGCCTCCCTGGCTCTTTCCTGGGTAAGAAGGACAGGAGTGGGGGAGTGTTGGGTGGGATGGGAGATCATTTCTCGACCGTAACATGGCAGCTAGGCCTGGATGCTGTCAGAGAAGAGGTTGACAACTTGAAGTCCTTCATTACTAACACGGGGATGATCTCTTAAGCAGAGGGCAATCCTGCATTTGGGGACCTGGACTTGGGAGAGTTGCTGCCTATGACGTCTTTGTTTCTGGATGGACCCCGAATCTCTGGGCTTCTGTCCTGAAACCCAGACAACAAGCCTTCCGAGGATGGCCACTCCCCCAGGGCCTTGGGGTGCTGGGGACGTGTGGGAGGACCTGCCACTGGGGAACACACCCCTAGGTCCCCACGCTCAGGACTGGCCCTGGAGGCCCAGCAGAGGACCTGGGGTGGACTTGCCTTTTCCCTCCACTTACCTGCTGCCCTTGCTCTCTTCCCACCTGCCGTTTCTGCTCCTCATCAGCCTTATTCCCAATAAGGATCTTCTGGACGCCTTCTGGTGCGTACTAGGGACAAAGGATGGGCAGAACAGCCAGTGAGTGCTGCCTGCCCCCCCAATTTTCCCTACAGAGTCTGCACTGCCTCCAGCCCACCACCAATTCCAGAGCCCTAGGGACAGGGTGGGCCGACTGGATGCAGGTGCCAGGCTCCCCCAAGTGCCATGGCTGACCTCAAGGGTATCACGGGGAGAGCTTAGGGTAGAAGACACTCTGGCTAAGACTGGTGCTTCCTTGGGTTAGACCACTGGTATCAGAGCTGGAAAGGACATTGGATGTAAGTCCAGCCCTCATTCTACAGGAACTGGGGACCCAGAGGATTCAAATGGCTTCCCAAGGCTCCACAGCTATTGTGCAGAGCCAGGACTAGATCCCAATCTTGCAACTCCACCTGGTCCCAAGATTTCAGGAAAGAAGCTGCTCACAGGGAAGACTTGGAACTAATTCATTTCCGGGAAAGACACAGCCGTGGAGGCCTGGCAGGGTATAGAGAGTGAGGGCATGGCAGCTTCGGTTTCTTCCCCATGTCTTACTCACCCAGAGGTCTTCATCCAGGGCTGTGGAAGGCAAAGCTTCCTGGAAGCATTTGCCTTCCCATCTGGCCCTCGCCTTGCCTTCCCCGGTGAGGCACCCTCTCCACACCCCGGCAGTGAGGTGGCATCTCCTACCTCATCCACGTCACTGACCCACTTCATGATGTGCTGGTAAGAGCGCTCGCTGCTAATGTCATAGACCAAAAATATCCCCTGAGAGAGAGAGAAATAGAGAGATGTGATATGCACAGAGAGAGTGCAGTCATGGGGCCAGAAGGGGCCGTGGAAACTTAAAGGTTGGGTCCCACTCTCCCATTCTCCCTGCTCAGCATCCAGAAATATCTCTTCTCTCAGACCCCACCACTGCCGCCTCCCAGGCCCATCACAGAACTCTCTACAGCAGGAAGACACCACATGCTTTGACCTGGATCTTTGACCCAGGATGGAGGGTGGAAGTCAGGGGTGAGGGCAGGGGCCTGCCTGCAGTGAGTGGGCCATGAACAATGGACGGACAAATGATCAGTGAACAGCTGAAAGACGCCCTGCGCTCCTCCAAGCAGGCGAACTGTATTTAGGGGATCCGTGGCACAGACATCTCAAATACCCAGAGCTGGGAGTGTGGGTGGCAGCTTCCCACTTTGAAACCCCCAATGTGGTGGCTTACCTGGGCCCGCCGATAGTACTGCTTTGTGATGGTCTGGTATCTCTCCTGCCCTGCAGTGTCCCTGCAGGAGAAAGCCAGTCCCTCAGAGGAGCAGGGACCATGGGAACAGACGGGGAGGGGAAGAGCAGAGCTGTCCCCTTGTAGGAAAAACTGGGGAGCTAAAGGGTGAAAAACCAGGGATGCTTGGATCCCCACAGGGATCTGCAGTCAGAGGCCTGGTCATCTGTGCTGGTGCTGACCAGGCCTGCAGGGCCTTGGCCCCTCCTGCCAACTGCCCTCCTGGCAGAAACCAGAAGCCACAGCCAGAACAGGCCTTGGACAGCTCTCTGGAATCTGGCCACTGTGGCCAGATTTGGTTGGATGGGAGTTGGCAGGGGATGCTGCTACACCCCTAGTCCCTATGGGACCTCTGAAGGCAGTGCCCATACTGCTGTGGAATTGAGAGGGAGCTCTAAACCCTGGCAAAGGCAGTGCTTCCAAGACCTCAGGCAGAGAGCCACAGCAGCACCCTCTGCTACTGTGGAAACTTCATCATGCTATCCTGAGGAACTCTCTCAGGGTCTCGCCCTAAATGATGGGGGGTGTAGCCTCCTTCCTTCCAATCTTAACATAGTGTGGCACAGCCCAAGGGCAAAGCCTAATCCTGAGATAAATTCACAATGGTTAGTGTGCCAGTTCCTTCTAATTCCTGCCCTTTGGTGCTTGTAGTCAATCCCCTAAAGTTTCTTAGAGGTTGGAGATTAAGGCTTATAGGAAGAGATGGGCTTCTGAGACTTCGCTTCCATCCATCAGAGAGGTGGCCAGTTATCCCAGGTGAAGCCTAGGAATTTTACACATGGCAGGGGCAGCTAAGGAGCAGCCAGAAGTCCTCTTCTCCTACATCTGCCTCCTCCTCCTCCCCAGCTCACCAGATCTGTATCCGCACTTTGATGCCGTCTACCTCTATGGTCTTCATCTTAAAGTCAACACCTGAAGAAAGGAAGAAAGAAAGAAAGTTAGAAAGCGTACCCACGAGAAATGAACAGGAAAGGGCCAGGCAATCACACTTGAAAGGTTTCCTTTCAGTTTAATTTGGCAAAGGGATGAAGTAATGTAAAGGCCTTCTTTAAGCAGAAACTGACCTTAAGGAAGTATCTGAAGCTTTGAAAGGGGCTTTCCTCCCTCCCTGAGCTGAAAGTTGCCACAAGTAAAGGCCCTGGGGGACCCAGAGGAGGGAGAGTGAATCTGGGGAAATCTACTTCATCACTGCCTTACTCGACAGACTTAAAACATGTCTCGTTCTAGTCATGTGTGAAGTCTTCCTATTTATACTTCTGGAGAGAACGCTGTGTTTATCCTTCCTGAAATTCTAATCTCTAGGAATAGCAACCCACATTATTTGCCTGCTTTCTTCCCTCTCTCTCTTTGCCTTGTTAATAACCAGAAGGGGTCATAGTGCCAGACTGTGGAGAGAGAGGAGGGCTCTTCCAACCCATGATTGTACCTGAAGCCTCAGCACCCAGCCAAGGCTCACCAAAAAGAAGGCCTCATGCGTCTTGGTTGCTGACTCACTCATTCACCATAGGAGGCACTGTGGTTGACTAGAAGGAGCATGGGCTTTGGTGTCAGGCCTGAGCTTATCTCCTCCCTCTGGCCACTCATAGCTCATTGCTATAACATCAGGCACCTTGCTTCACTGAGCGTCCATTTCTGCCTCAGTAAATATCTTCATCAGGGACATTACCAGTATCTCAGAGGGTTGCTGAGGAGGCCGGATGAGATACAGCACCTGGCCCAATTGACTGCAGCTGTCATGAGCTAGTGCAGGGCCGGGTACATGCGGGTGCTTATGAGTGACTGTCATAGGACCAGATGAAGAGGCAGTGGCATGGCATGGCATGTCACTGCGGGAGGGAAAGGAAGCAAAGAGTTCCCACGCTTCTTCATCCAAGGGCTGGAGGAGCTAAGCTGCCACGAGACACAAGAAACCGAAGGGATTTGGCAAATGCGTGCAGGGCAGAAACATATTGGAGAAATCTGCAGCAAGAGAAGTCAGCACCACCAGCAGCAGCCAGCTTGACTCTGAGTGACAACAGAGAGATGAGGGAGGTTGTTTTGCTGACCATGCCTCTCCCCAACTCTAACTATACCCAGGCACTATGCCCAGGGATTCAAGAGCTACGTCTGGTGGGTTAATTAAGCTTACGTCTTTGTGTACTCCCTGGAGCAAGGTCAGGAGTGGGCATGATCAGCCACAGTTTTCAGATGGGAACATGGTAGAGTTCCGAACCGTCTGCCACCAGCTGCACTGCCCGGCCCAGAAGGCCTGAAGGCACCAGCATCCCCATCACCACTGCCACTCCACCTCCGCATCAGTTATTTGCCAAATGGGAGACATCTTCCCTTATCTGTGCTGTCCCCAGCTTTCTACAAAGGCAAACAAATTAAATTCTGTCTCTTCCTTCCCACCATCAAGACCAATCATCATTTAATTACAAGGGAAAAAAGATGCAGAACGGGCAACCTGAACTAAATCGATTTGGTCAGACGTGAATCATTTCTCGCCTGCCCAAGCTGATTCATATCCATTGAGCTGTACTTTTCCAAATGGGCAATGCCTGGCAGCCATTCTTCCATGTGTGCAGAGAAAGAGTGAAGAGAAGGAGGGAGGAAGGGAGGAAGGAGAGAAGCATCAGGCCTTGGGAAGCAGGAGTATGCTTATTTCTGCCTGGATCAACGGTTATCAGGCACCTGTTTCTCCCCAGTACCTGGCATAGAAGGGAATCAAGACATTCTTGTTTCATGATACAGCACCTTCTTCCAAGAAGAACGAGAAATTTTCTCCAATTTGTAATATACCTGGTTTATCCTCACACTAGCCTAGCAAACCTGGCCAAGGACAGTGCCTTGTGCAAAGCCATCACAAGGGGGACAGGAAGAGAGAAGGTTTTATTTCCTTTATCCCACAAACATTTATGGGAACTTCCTATGTGCCCTGCACAGTGCTCAGTGCAGACAGAGCAGTGAAAAAGACATGGCCCCTGCCCTCAGAGAGCCTAGTGGAAAGGAAACAAGGGCTCAGAGAGGTCAATGGCTAGCCAGGGTCAGCACAGCACGTGCAGAGATTCCAACACAGGTCCATCTATGCTGGAACCCACGCTGCCCCTTGCGCTGGTTCTTAGGGAAGCAAGAGGAGAGTCGTGTAGTTGGCTAGGCCTGGAAGCCCTAACTCTGCTTAGTTTCCTTTTTGCCTGTGGGTGCCTGAGAAGGACTTTGCTAGGAGAGGAACTTCCAATATTAAGGTGAATTTTTCCCTGTGAGAGAAGAGGGGATGGAGGGAGAGGTGAAAGCAGGCAACTGTCCCCAGAGACAGAACTGACAAGGAGACAGGGTACTCCACCGGAAGTGAGGCTGGGCAGTGACTCCTTCTCACCTCCTCCCTCACTTCTTAGCTATGTGGCGGGGGACTAAGGCTGAGGAATTCCGGGGCTCGCAGCACTCCCCGGCCTCACACACACCCCACCATCTTGCAACCTAGGTCTCACTGGCCACCTGGGAACATGTGTTTTATTCACCTTTTGGCTATTCATATGCATTCACATATGATGGAAGAAACAGAGTAAGTCTATGTCTTCTGAAGGATTTTCCTTCCTCCCTCCCCGCCCACACAACCTCTCTTAAATTTAAAAAAGGTTAACAGCCCAAGGATCTTCAAGAGGAATCTATTGCTTCTGCGCTCTGTTCCCACACAACCTGGGCCTTCAGCTGTGTCCACCTACCAGTCAAGCCCTGGCCCCAGTAACCCGTGCCCATCGTGGCTCCTTCCCTCTCCCTGCGTGGCTGTTGGTTTTTTCCACTGCTGAGCACTGCAGGACAAAGTCAACACACTGGCCTTATTGAGGCCTCTGCAGACGGATGCTTTCTCACCTTGGCCAGCCCTCGCAGCTGCTTAGCAAACTGTTTATTCACATGTGTGTTCACCTATCACTGTCCCCCCACTGAAGACTTCAGCTCCAGGGCACCCCCTCCCCACCCCTGTGCTCTCAGCAGGATACCTTCTCCACTGTTTTATGGCCCAGATGAATGCCTTTCCTCTGAAGCCACCTCCTTTCTTCAGATTTTCCTAAGTTCTCTCTGCCTTCCCTCAGGGAAGAGTCCTCTGTCCACATCTGGCCTCTTTTCGGTCATCAGCCCCACCTGGGTGCACACCCAGAGAGTCAGCCCTTTTTGTTGCATCTTTAGTATCCGTGAGAAGAAGAGATATTCTCCATCTATCTCTGCCTCCAGTGGTTTCACATTCCGGCTCCTCTAAGGTCATATTTCTCAAACTTCCAGGTGCATGAGAATCACGCGGGGATTGAGTTAAAATGCAGATTCTGATCTGGTAGGTGTAGGGCAAGGCCTGAGATGCTGCAGGAAGCTCCCAGGTGAAGATGACGCTACTGTCCACATATCGCCTGAGTAACAAGCTGTTCTCAAAGTGTGTCCCTGGACCCACAGCATCAGCATCACCTGGGACTTGTTAGAAATGCAAATTCTGGCCGCACGCGGTGGCTCACACCAGTAATCCCAAGACCTTGGGAGGCTGAGGTGAGTGGATCACCTGAGGTCAGGAGTTTGAGACCAGCCTGGCCAACATGGTGAAACCCCCGTCTCTACTAAAAATACAAACGTTAGCTAGTCATGGTGGCGGGCACCTGTAATCCCAGCTACTCAGGAGCGGGTCTGGGGTGTGGGGAGAATCGCTTTAACCCAGGAGGCAGAGGCTGCAGTGAGCTGAGATCATGCCACTGCACTCCAGTCTGGGCGACAGGGTGAGACTTCATCTCAAAAAAAAAAAAAAAGAAAAGAAAGGAAAAGAAAACGAAATGCAAATATGCAAATTCTTGGGCCTTACCTCAGACCTATAGAATCAGGCCCTCTAGGTATGGGGTCCCGCAATCAGTTTCAATAAGCTCTCACAGTGATTCTCACACATGCGTAAGTTTGAGAACGACATTAGGACAAAAGTTTTGCACCTGAAGTGTCAAGAGAGCGAGAGCACAAGAGTTCTCTGTTTCTCAAGGTGTGCTTTGCAGAGCTTCGGCTTTAGAATCACCTGGGGTGACTTAAAACAAAGACAAAAACAATGACCTTGACGTGCCTAGACCTACTGAATCATAATTTGAGGGTGAGGCCCAGAAATCTGTATTTTTAACAGCACTGTGGGTGATATTAGATAGAAGTAGTTTCAAGAGCTATATATGTCATGGAAGAAACATCCATTGGCCTGGAGTCAGAAAGACCTGGTCCAAGTCCTGGTTCTGGCACTTACTGTGTAACTTCAGGCAAGTCTCAACTTCTCCTAGCTTCAATTTTTTTTTTTTTTTGGGATGGAGTCTCACTCTGTTGCCAGGGATGGAGTGTAGTGGAGCAATCATAGCTCACTGCAGCCTCGATCCTCCAGGACTCAAGCAATCCTCCCAGCTCAGCCTCTGGGTAGGTAGCTGGGACTGCAAGTGTGCACCACCATGCCCAGCTAATTTTTTTTTTTTTTGTAGAGATGAGGTCTCCCTGTATTGCCTAGACTAGTCTTGAACTCCTGGGCTCCAGCGATCCTCCCGCCTCAGCTTCCCACAGTGCTGGGATTATAGGCATGAGCCTCCGCACCAGGCCGATTTTCTTAAGTGTAGAAGGAGAATACTGCTTCCCTCCTAAGGGCTGTGCTGGGATAAATTAAACGATGTATGTGAAGCACTGACAGCGTAGTCCTCTCACTCCTACCTTCCCTCTGCTGAATAAAGGCTTCCTGGGGAGTCAGGAAAACCAGCCCAGAGAACCCTGAAGTGGAAGGCATTACAGAGTCCTGGCCCCTACTAACCAGGTACCCTTGCCAGCCAAGGGACTAGAGCATCAGCAGCATCAGAGGTGTGTGAGAAATGCACATTCTCAGGACTCGCCCAGCCCTACTCACTCTTCTGCACAAGAAAGTTTCAGAACCACACCCAGGTGCATAGTGCTTGTCTTTACAGCATACCCCTGAGCTATGGAATCCCTCAGCTCTTATGCGGGTCCCATGAAGTAGGCAGGAGTAGGTATTATTGTGAGCCACAGGGAAGCCAATTCTCATGTTCCCACTGACTCATGTTCCCACATCCCACAGCTGAGCTGGACTGGAAAGCTGGTGTCTTAAAACCCACCCAGGGTATGCTTCACTCGGCCAGAGGCTTCCCAACCCTGGGAGGCTGAGGAATCTTACCACCTTTTCCCACATGCCCTGGCATACCCGATGCCTTTTCCCACACACCCTGGCATACCCGATGCCTTTTCCCACACGCCCTGGCATACCCGATGCCTTTTCCCGCACACCCTGGCATACCTGATGCCTTTTCTCTTTTTTCTTGACGGAGTCTTCCTCTGTCGCCCAGGCTGGAGTGCAGTGGCACGATCTCAGGTCACTGCAACCTCTGCCTCCTGGGTTCAAGCGATTCTCCTGCCTCAGCCTCCCAAGTAGCTGGGATTACAGGCACGTGCCACCACACCCAGCTAATTTTTTGTATTTTTAGTAGAGACGGGGTTTCACTGACATTATGCGGCATCTAGAAGTGAGGCAGGGGGCACATGAGGAGAAGCCCGCTGCTGTGGTCTGAAGGTCTGTGTTCCTCCAAAATTCCCATATTGAAACTTAATCCCCAGTGCAGTGCTGGTGGGAGGTGAGGGCTTTGGGAGGTGACTCAGTCGTGATGTTAGAGCCCTCATGCATGGGACTAACGCCCTTAGAAAAGAGGTCTGAGGGAGCTTGTTCCCTCTTCTGCCATGTGAGGATGGAGCTAGAAGGTGCCACCTTTGTCACAGAGCATCAGCCTTCACCAGACACTGAATCTGCTGGCACCCTGATCTTGGACTTCCCAGCCTCCCAAACTCTGAGCAATACATTTCTCTTGCTTTAAATTACTCAGCTAAAGGCATTTTGTTACAGCAGCCAGCCCTAACTAAGACACCCACCATAGCCTATTTTCTCCTTCCTCCTTGGCATGGTTCATGATTCCAGTAAGTCCAGATTCATCACCCCGACAGTGTCCCTACAAAACAGTCTACTTCCTTTCTTGGGTACAGAAAGAAATAGGGCACAGAAGTGTTAAGAAACAAGCAAACCACTTCTACACAGCTCTGGCAGAGGTTCTCGGAGACGCTGAGAGCCCCAGGAGGAGAAAGTCAGACAGATGGGCCCTCTCCCAACCAGGTGCCCAAAGCACGGAGAGCAGCTCATTGTTTTTCCCGGCACATTAGATATGCCCATCATGGTGCCTGCCACACCCTGTGTCCCTTTCTGGCTAGAACAGCTCAGCCCCAAACCTCTGCTCAGAGAAGCAGGGCTGGGTGCAACATGTTCTTTGTGGAGAAGCAGGTTCAGACTGGACCATCAACAGGTTTGCTGGTGACCCACAGGGTGACCTGGCCAGCAGAGGCAAGGGAGCTTAGCTAAGCCAATCAAACCAGCTCACTCCAGGCAGGGCAGTGGGGACTGACCAGTTGGTAATGAGCAGGGCATGAGGCAGACAAACATGCAGAAAGAAGCGGAGAGGCCTAAGGATGATGAACATGCTGACTGCAGTTGGGGCTGGGGACGGTGGATCCTAGCACAGCCATGGGTCCAGACCAGACTCCAAGTTCAGCCCATGGGTATCCATAGAGCACATGCCCCTTTTCTTAGTGACACCTGAGAGTGCCTCAGGATTGGCCACTGCTGCCTAATGGCTCCCCCAAGCTAGTGAGCCAGATGCTTCAACAAGGGGGCTGGAAGGAAGACCTCCTAAACCATCGCTCCCTGCTCCTTACTGCCCCCTATTTTTGTCTTCTAGCCTCAACTACACAAAAAGAACCTAAGGGGCAGAGAATACATTTTGTGGTTGACAAAGCATTTGTTTTGTTTGCTCGTTTTTAAAATCTCTGCCACATAGTGCCAGCATAGTGCCAGGCATAAAGAAGCAATTCCAAAACAAATTCTAAATAAATAAAAAGGCCAAGCACAGTGGCTCACACCTGTAATCCAAACACTTTGGGAAGACGAGGTGGGAGGACTGCTTGCGCCCAGGAGTTCGAGACCAGACTGAGCAAGAAAGTGAGACCCCATCTCTAGAAAACAAAAAACAAAAAACAAAAAAACCCAGGTGTGATGGTGTCCACCTGTGGTCCCAGCTACTCGGGAGGCTGAGGCAGGAGGATCACTTGAGTCTGGGAGGTTGAGGCTGCACTCCAGCCTGAGTGACAGAGCAGGACCCTGTCTCAAAAAAAAAAAAAAAAAAAAAAAAGCAATTCCATGAGGGGGATCTCCCCCTCACCCCAGAGAGCATAAGAAGGGCTGCATGCCTGAGGCTTAAGAGCAGGGAGACGTGTCCTGCCACCTGATGCCTCAGACATTGGCAAGAAAAGCTCCTCAATCAACTGATGGTGCCATGCAGCCATGGCCTGAGGCAGCAGCCCTGGGCCCCATCCTCTTCCTGCTGTGACTCTGTCTGTATGGTGTCTGCCCCAGCAGCTGCCAGGCCACAACTGGAGCCCGAGGGTGCTGGGACAGCGCTGCTGTTGGAGAACTGGGAAGACAGGCAGGGCCCTCCTCTGGGCACCGGGGGCAGGGGCAGGATAGAGGGATGCAGCAGGCGAGACACCCAGCACTCACGTGACTCCTAAGCTAGCTCGCCTTGGGTGGGCAAACAGGGAAAAACTTGGTGCCTCCCCAGTACAGCAGTGGAGGTGCTGTGACGCTTACAGAAAGGAGCAGGCAGGGCACATCCACACTAAAGAACACCCCTTCCCATCACTGTCTGCCTCCCTAGAAAGCCCTAGAAAACATGGAGGAAGTGTGGCTCAAGACACAGAGTGTCCTGGCCATTAAGAGCACAATTGGGAGGTCAAGTTTGGTTCCAACCCTGCCTTTATCACTAATTACCTGCATGGTGTTGGGGAAGCCAGTTAGCCTATCTTTGCCTCAGTTTCCTCACCTGTAAAGTGGGGGTGACAGAGGATTCTCAGAGAATTTTTTTTTTAAGATTGTGAGATAAGGTGTAAAACCCATAACACAGGGTCTGGCACGCAGAACTTTATTAAATGTTAGCAGAAGCAGCCGTCAAGCTCCCTTAGGGAAGCATGAGATTAGCGAGCCCAGAGCTGCAGGAGGGGGAATGGAAAGAGCTCTAGGATGTAGAAGGAGGCTTATGTTGGGGAGAGGAAGGAGAGTGGGACAGAGAGATGAAGCCCAAGCCAGCACTTGGCTGGAATGTTTCAACAAAAAGAGGAAATGCCGCCCCCTGTGGGGCCCAGATGGCTCCTGGAGTCTGGCTACAACCTCAATTCTGGCACAGGTAGGGTGTGCCTACTAGCGGGCCAGCACCTCATGGGTTAAGGGCAGCTGCCAGCTTGCCTGCCTGCCAGCCAAGCTCCGCATGCTTCAGTGGAAACAGGGCTGCCTCTGGGTGCCAAATGTTATCACCAGGATCAACCACAGCCCAAAGGACCAGCAGTGCGACCTGAACTTTTCATTAGTAATGAGACTCCACAACGAGGAACAACCTAATACACCTGAAACCCAAGGCAGACACCCAATCCCCAGGGCCAGGCCAGCTCCAGTTACCAAGCACAGGTCCCAGGAGTGCCCCAGCCCCTCCCACTGCAGGAAACCAGCATGTGTGGGCCATGTGCACCTCCTGTGGGTTGTGGCAGGAGGTCACCTCTAAAGAGGTCACCCTGTGCAGCCCTCAAACACCAAAAAAGACCCCATTCACACAGGGATCCCGGGAGCTGATATGGTTTGGCTGTGTCCTCACCCAAATCTCATCTTCTTTGGTATATGCAGAGATGAGGGGTCAGTGCTTTAGACTAAGGTCCATGTTGCCTATTATTCAGGGTCAGAGCTGGTATCAGATGATGCCCATCAGCTCAGCCAGGTTGCTGGAGTGACCCTCCAGGGCCACCTCTGCAGCCAGGGCACTCTGGAGTAAGGAATCTCTAGGGCTCAAGCAGTGAGGCCATCCACTCCCTCCAGCCTCATCATCTTAACAGTCTCAAGCCCAGGCATGGTGGCTCACACCTGTAAACCCAGCACTTTGGGAAGCCAAGGTGTGAGGATCACTTGAACCCAAGGAGTTCAAGATCAGTCAGGGCAACATAGTGAGACCATGTCTCTGCAAAAAATTTAAAAATTAGCCAGGTGTGGTGGTATATACCAGTGGGCCCAGTTACTCAGAAGACTGAGGTAAGAGGATCACCTGGACCTGAGGCCAGGAGGTTGAGGCTGCAATGAGCTGAGATCACACCACTGCACTCCAGTCTGGGAGACAGTGCAAGACTCTGTCTTAAAAAAAAAAAAAAAACAGGCCGGGCGTGGTGGCTCATGCCTGTAATCCCAGCACTTTGGGAGGCAGAGGCAGGCAGGTCACCTGAGGTCAGGAGTTCAAGACCAGCCTGGCCAACATGGTGAAACCTTGTCTCTACTAAAAATACAAAAATTAGCTGGTCGTGGTGGCAGGCTCCTGGAATCCCAGCTACTCGGGAGGCTGAGGCATGAGAATCGCTTGAACCTGGGAGGCGGAAGTTGCAGTGAGCCAAGATTGTGCCACTGCACTCCAGCCTGGGGGATACAGTGAGACTCTGTCTCAAAAAACAAAACAAAACAAACAAACAAAAAACAGTCCCAAGAAACCAATACGACCTATAACTTCCCTCAGGGAAGAACAGAAGTCCTCTAGGAAAATGCATTCATTCATTCCTTCATTTGTTAATTCATTCATTCAAACTGTTATTGAATGCTTACAATGTGCCAGGAACTAAGCCAGGTACTAGAAGATAAGCTATGAACAGCACAGAAAGATCCTTGTCATCAGAGCTTAATTCTAGTGGGGAAGACAGATGTAAGTAATGAATACCTAATTTCAGAGAGCCATATGTGATAAGAAGCAACTGCGGGATAAAGTAGAGAGTGAGGAGACCCCAAGCACAAGCAACCTTAGACTGGCTGGCCAGAGAAGACATTTTAAAGGAGGTAACATTTGAGCTGAGACCTAAATGACAAGAAGGTGCCAGCAGGGAGATCCAAAGAATCAGGTAGAGGAAGCAGCAAAGATCCTGTGGCAGGACACATTTCAGTCAAACTCACAGTTCCTAGGAAGAGGGTCAACAGTACTCTCTCCTTTGTTACAAAAGGGGAACTGCAGCAAGACCCCTCCCTTCTCTCAGGTCTTGTGTGGACCCTCACATGTGCACCTGCATCTGTACTGTTTACTGCGTGTCTTCTAGCATCTGGTTTAGTTCCTGGAACATAGTCAGCATTCAATAGCACTTACACTTGTCTGGAGGCGTGAACCTGAAGAATACACCAAGAAACTTCTCAAATGCCAGCAAGGCCAACTTCAGAACTCCCTGCTCCTATGTGATGCTGAGATCTCTATACACTGAATAAATGGCATGCGTAAAGCCCACCGTCCCTGTGTAGGTAGTAGGTACATAGTAAGTATATGGAGTAGATAATCAGGATCAGTGTTCCCCTTCCCCACTTTTTTTTTTTTTTTTTTTTTTTTTTTGAGACAGGGTCTCACTCTGTCACCCAGGCTGGAGTACAGTGGTACGATCTCGGCTCACTGCAACCTCCACCTCCTGTGTTAAAGTGATTCTCCTGCCTCAGGCTCCCAAGTTAGCTGGGACTACAGGCGTGCTCTACCACACCCAGCTAATTTTTGTATTTTTAGTAGAGACGGGGTTTCACCATGTTGACCAGGCTGGGTCTTCCCCTTGCTTTTCCCACTGCCTTGTGCACAGACCTCCCTAGAGCCTTGGTGACATGTGCAGTGTGCTCCAGCCACCCCATCTCGCTCCCCATTGGCAGCCCCTGGAACTGGGTCTCGCCTCCCTAAGCCTGCTACTTAGGCCAGCGGGCACCACAGAGGCAGCCAAGACCCACCAGGCTACTGACCACTCACTCCTCCAGCCTCCTTCTCAGGCAGGGCTGTGCTGACTGGTAGCAAAAGGTTCAGGGAAGAAAAGACTAGGACATAGAAACTCAGGAGCAAACATCTTAGAAAGAAGGGGGCTTCCAGATGCACCTGCCCTCACCCAGAGCCAGCAAAGCAATCTCCTGGCAAGGGGCTTCTTGAACTTCAGCTGGTGTGACCATGGTGTGGCCACTCCAGCTGGCCCCAGCAAGGCTGAAGAGTAGCAGCCCCACTGGAGGTGTTCTCCACAGCACCTCCTACAGGGAAGAGGATGTGTGCTTCCCCCACACCCAGGGCCCCTGGAGAATCCTGCCTAGTCTTCAAGACTCCACTCAAATGTCACTTCCTCTTCAAAGCCTTCACCAGCCTCCCCGGGAGGGATTTCTCACTCCTCTGTGATTCCAAAGCATCCTGACATTTCTTTTGCATAATATTCTGCTTGTTTGGATGTCTGGTTCCCAGCTACACTGTAAGCTCCCAGAGGGCAAAGCAGCATCCTGTTCACTTCAGACTCTCACTGCCTGGCAGCAGGTAGATCACTAAATATTATTCAACAAAGTAGAGTAAATGAAAGCAAAAATGAATGAGCAAGTGAGACGAATAAATGGATGAATGAAGTCAGTACATATCTAGAGAAAAGATGGGCAAAGAGAAAATTTTAATCAGGGAAGAGCAATTAGAAAATAACCCACTTTTAGGCCGGGCGTGGTGGCTCATGCCCGTAATCCCAGCACTTTGGGAGGCCGAGGTGGGCGGATCACGAGGTCAGGAGATGGAGACCATCCTGGCCAACATGGTGAAACCCCTTCTGTACTAAAATACAAAAACTTAGCCCAGCGTGGTGGTGCGTGCCTGTAGTCCCAGCTACTCTGGAGGCTGAGGCAGGGAAATCACTTGAACCTGGGAGGCAGAGGTGGCAGTGTGCTGAGATCTCCACTGCAATCCAGCCTGGTGACAGAGCAAGACTCTGTTTCAAAAAAAAAAAAGAAAAAAAGAAAAAAGAAAGAAAAGAAAACAAACCACTTTTTTTTGTTTTTATTTTTGTTTTTGAGATGGAGTCTTGCTCTGTCGCCCAGGCTGGAGTGCAGTGGTGCGATCTCAGCTTGTGGCAACCTCCACCTCCTGGGTTCAAGCAATTCTCCTGCCTCAGCCTCCCGAGTAGCTAGGATTACAGGCACCTGCCACAACACCCGGCTAATTTTTTGTATTTTTAGTAGAGATGAGGTTTCACTATGTTGGCCGGGCTGGTCTCAAACTCCTGACCTTGTGATCTGCCCACCTTGGCCTCCCAAAGTGCTGGGATTACAGGCGTGAGCCACCGCACCCAGCCATAACCCACATTTCAAAGCCAACTGTTAGCCCTTTCTATAGTTCATGGTGCCATGGTCACAGAGTTCTCAGTAATTTTTTTTTTTTCCTGAGACAGGGTCTCACTCTGTCACCCAGGCTGGAGTACAGTGGTGTGATCACAGCTCACTGTGGCCTCCAACTCTTGGGCTCAAGCAATCCTTCCACTTCAGCCTCCTGAGTAGTTAGGACTACAGGCACATGCCACCATAATCAGTTAATTTAAAAAGTGTTTTTGTTTTGTTTTCTTTTCTTTTCTTTTTGTTTTTTTAAGAGATGGGGTCGGCCAGCCATGGTGGCTCACTCCTGTAATCCCAGCACTTTGGGAGGCCGAGGTGGGTGGATCAGCTGAGGTCAGAAGTTCGAGACCAGCCTGGCCAACATGGTGAAACCCCATCTCTACTAAAAACACAAAAAATTAGCCAGGTGTGGTGGTGCATGCTTGTAATCCCAGCTACTCAGGAGGCTGAGGCAGAAGAATCGCTTGAACCCGGGAGACAGAAGTTGCAGTGAGCCGAGATCGAGCCATTTGCACTCCAGCCTGGGCGACAGAGCTAGACTTCATCTCAAAAAAATAAAATAAAATAAAACAGGGCTGGTGATTAGCCCCTTCCTCCTCAGTGGGAGGAATTACGTGTCCAGGAAGCCCTGTGTTCCCCTTGACAAAGCTCACTGACCAGAGAGAAGAGCCAAGGAGAGGGCAGAGGCCTATACAGAAAACTGGCAGTTTCACAGGGAAACTGGTGCAAAGATTGGATTACAGAAGAAGGCACTCTGAGAAGAGCTGGCAATCAGGGTAGAAGGATAATGGCCAAATATCAGCTTTCATGTTATAAAGCTCATCACCAGCCTGTCTGGGGAGCGGGGAGAAGGAAGGAGGAGGAGGAAGGAACAGAAACCAGGGAGTGCAGGTAGGCGGGAGGAACCGGTGCTCCCAGCTGTGGGTGCATCTGCGGATCTGTGGCACAGATGCACAGCAGCGGAAACCCTCCGCGGGCTTCAGATATGTTCCTTCCCAAGGTCATGTCCTTGGGGAAGGGGTGGGAGGCCGAGTCTGTGCCTGTGTCAGGAGGAGAAACAGAGGCCTGAGGCAGAGCGACACCTAGCAGGGGCCCAAGCCTTGAGGCAAAGCCACCCCATCCTCTCCTCTCAGGTCACCCCACTGCTTCACACCTCCTCACCACCTCACTCTTCCTTCTCAGACCCTGGCACTGCCAGGGAAAGGGGGGTACTAGAGCAGAAACTGAAATGAAACACAGCTTCCTATGCACTCCCTTGGAATGTAAGCCAGCTCCTTGGTTTCTGTCTGTTTTGGTCACCACTGTGTCCCCAAATCTTAGCATGGCACCTGGCATGTAGTTGGTGTTCAGCAAATAGCGCCTGAACGACTGAGTGCACAAGTGATGGATACACAGGATGACCTCCTAGCTCACTGACAGTGTATTCATCTCTACAGCATTCTTATAGCTAGGAATAATAATAATAGCCGGGTGTGGTGGTGGGTGCCTGTAATCCCAGCTACTTAGGAGGCTGAGGCAGGAGAATCACTTAAACCCGGGAGATGGAGGTTGCAGTGAGCCGAGATTGTGCCACTGCACTCCAGCCTGGGCGACAGAGAGATACTCGGTCTCAAAAAAAAATAAATAAATAAATAAATAAAATAATAATAATGATAATATGATAGCAGCTATTATTTTATCGAGGGCTCTGCCAAGTGCTTTATATGCGCTAGGCTCTATAATCTTCACAACAACCTTTAAGAAAGACTCTGTTACCATCTTCAATTTACAGATGCAGAAACGAAGCACAAAGATGTCATCAAAGTGTCTGAAGGTCACAGGGCCAGTAAGGCCATGGGAAATGTGCATGTTAATCTGGGCTCTTTCCATTCTGCTCATTGCTTCTCACCTTCCCTTCCTTTCTAGGTACCAGGGGAACAGAGTAGGTAGAGACTGGTCTCAGGCTGCCTGAAGGCTGACACAGACCCAGCCCTGACCCTCTCACAACGTCACACTGCATTTGCCCCCAGCTCCTCTCAGTCTAGAAACCTGCAAACCCCAGGATCCTAGTGTCTAAGCACAGGCCCCAGTGTCTGTTAGGTCACCCCATTCCAGGCTTGGATCTAGCCCCACCCCCTCCCTCACCATCTCCCACCTCCTCAGTCAAAAGCAAAGTCAAGACAGGCAGCCAAGCCAGTCCCAGCAGAACTCCTTGAGAAAGGTGACATAGCAGCAGCAACCCAGCCTGAGAAAGTGCCCTGAAGCCACAGCAGCCCAACCTGTCCAACCAGATCACCCTCCTCCTCACCCAGAAGGAGTGTAGCCTGGAGGGTGGCTTTCAAAACAAAAGGTCCAGGGACTAGGTGACAGGTCTACTCAGGGAAGACTAAGGATGGGAGGGAGAAAACCAACTCCTGAGGGAGTGAGGTAGCTCACGCCTATAATCCCAGCATTTTGGAAGGCTGAGGCTGGTGGATCACGAGTCCAGGAGTTCGAGACCAGCCTGGTCAACATAGTGAAACCCCATCTCTACAAAACGTACAAACATTAGCTGAATGTGGTGGCATGCACCTGTAGTCCCAGCTACTTGAGAGGCTGAGGTGGGAGGATTGCGTTTAGGAGATCGAGGCTGCAGTGAGCCGTGATTGTGCCACCACCACACTCCAGACTGGGTGACAGAGTGAAACCTAGTCTCAAAAAAAAAAAAATAGAAAAGAAAAGAAAACCAACAACTCCTGAGCAGTCTCTTCAGTTTCCATTTGTGGTTTACATCATCTCACTCCTGGCCACCATGCAGAAAGGTCCTCAAAGGTCCCCTGAACATAGATGTCCATGTATGACATCTTCTCCCTACCTGGTCATGGCACAGGTCCCATAAGATTCTTTCAGAAGTTGCCAGGTTGATTGGCTTGAACCACTCCCCATTCTGGAGGGAAAGTAGAACAACTGACTGTGTGGAAGTTGGTGTTGGTACCACTGGGGGTGAGGGGCCATTCAGAGGTTCCTTCATGCCCAGATACTACTGCAGCCCCTGACTAGTCTCCCTGCTTCAAGTCTTAACCCCTTCTTCCAGCCAACCTCATTAGTACCCTACTCAAAACCCCTCCTACCATTGCTAAGGCTCATGTTCCACCTCCTTGGCCAGGCTCTCAATGCCCTCTGCCAACTGGTCCCTGCATTCATTCATTAATTTAACAACAGGCATTGAATCTGCCTGGCCCTGTACTAGGGACTATAAAAACAATGAGGAATAAGATTTGGTCGCACCATCAAGGCACTTATAATTTGGGAGACAGAGAGAGAAACAGAAGAATCTTCTCACTTTCCTGAAGAATCCCTTCTGTTGCATCTAAACTGCCTAGAGCCCCACGGACACCTACTCAATCCCACCTCTGTTATCTCTGCTCATGTTACTCCATCTGCTCCCTTCTGCTGCAGGAACTGACGAGCAGCCCACACTGAGGCCTAGCTTCAGCCTTCCCTGCCGGTTCTAGTCCACAGGGGCCTCTCTCTTCCCCAGCCTCCGACAGCATGGAGTCGTGGGAATAGCACTCACCCATCCCATCCATCGCCATTCTCCGGCTGCCTCATGGTACATCTTGCATCATAATTTAGCTTCTGATACCCACTGTGAGACCTTCATTAAGAGTAACTGCAATGATCATAATCCATCCTTTACATTTGAAGAGTGATTCACCAAGTTCTTTCAGATATCTCATTTTGGCACTAGCTCTTTGTTTTTTGTTTTTCCCTTTGTCTTGCCTCCCCATCTAGGTTATGGGCTTCTGTGGGCAGAAAACGTAGACTGCAATATGTCTCTAAAATGCCTGGCACAGAGCTTGGTAGTGAATGCTCAATTAATTTGTTTAAGGTAGTATTTTGGGGACCCCTTCGCACCAACCCCCAGCCAGGCCAGCACAGCTGCACAGAAAGGAAATGCCTGTGGCAGAGCCAGTGGCAGGGCCACCTGCTGGTCTGCTGGCCAGAAAGACGAAAAGGATAGGGGGAGGGACAGTCAGTGTCTCAGTCTACCAGGGAGGCCTCTCACTGCTCCCTGGCGGGTTCTTCTCTAGAAGATCGCAGGCCGTTAAAGTGGAGTACACAGTAAATCACAAAAGTACTGGCCTAGGTGATATCCACATGAGCCAAGAAGCCAAACTATCTTGGCAATAACTGGTGAATTACCTTGTTTTCTTAATTCACAAAAAAAGCCCCTGGGAAAGGTGCCTCGATCAGTGGCCAGCATGGTCATGTAATGTGTTTTAGGTAATGCACAATTTGAGAACAGTGACTGTAGGTATTATTCATCTTGGAATCTCTCGGTCTCAGTGCAGAGCCTGGCATACAGGACACGCATTTTTTAAAAATAAGCGAATGACTATGACTTGGTAGCACTCATTTCGTTGGCTCCTTGATTTGTCTCCTGGCTGCCCCTTCTACCTCCTTGAGAAACTGTCCATATCACTTAAGGAAAAAGCTTTTCTTGACCATCCAACTCTTTCCTTTAAGTTTTAGTTAATGCTGAAAAACACGCCCAAGATAAGGGAGAATCCCAAGTCCCTTAATAAGCTTTAAATAAGAAAGCATTTAAGATACCCAGTGGGGCAGATTTTAAAAGGCTGGTGTGAAGAAAGACAGGTTTCTTTCTATTCCATGGAATCCAAACTCCTAGAGTCCTCTGTGTCCTGTGGAAAGGGGGACCCTAGAGAATCCTCTGTGTCCTGTAGAAAGGGGAACCCGGGTGTCAGAAGCGGAGGAAGAAATCTGGGAGCCATCTTTAGGTTTTAGGCCAATATACCAAGGGCCTTGAGGGGAGACAGTGCTGCAGAGACACCCCTACTCAGTTCACTGATTCACCTATGTGCCCAAAGTGGTCTGCCCTGGAGGGTTTCAGGAAGTCCCTGTGACCTATTTAGTGTTCACCTATTAGCAGAAGGTGTCTAAGAAGGGAGATTACAAGGGGAAGGGACAAGGAGAAGGGTGGATGATTAGAGGTGTGAGGCAATGGACTCTCTTTAAGGAGAGCACGAGCCTCAGAGGGCCATCCTGGTATTTTAGAAAGAGGGGTGCCCTCAAAAAGGAGGGTATGTGTCTCCCAGGGGAGGCTGCCTCCCACAGCACTAAGCAGGAGTCCCAGAGCTTCTGAAATGAGGTGGTTGAATGAAGCCCTCAAAGGGAAAAGTCCATGTCACCTATAGGACTTGGAATGGGACTAGGAGAGCAGGTGCAAACAACAGCTCTTCAGGCCAAAGCCAGGGCCTCCCAGGCAGCCCACAGCTCTCTGGAGATAGCTCAGTAGTTCCAAGCACCAGGCCTCTCCCAAAAATAGCCACTCCTAGTTTCCTTAAGGGATAACCCACCGCCCTTTGTCCCTGAGCCCACAACCTGTCCTCATACACCATCTGGTTCCTCTGCCACTTCCTCCATCACGCCCATGCCTTTCTCCTGCACCTGCCTCTTCCCCAAGTCCTCCCGGCAGGCACAAAGCCTTAGTGTCTATAGGCTCCCCTTCTTTCTGCAATGTCTCTCATCCAAACCATGGCTCAGCCCAAGCTCCTGGGTTTCCTAAGAGTTGGCCTTACAGCTCCTCTGAGAAAGACGGACAAGTTCTGTTCCCTGACCCTAAGTCCTGTTGTTTCACCCTTCAAGTTGGTGAAACAAAGAGAGGAGACCCTAAAAGCTCAATGATAATGGCAATAGCAGTAAGAACAATCAGCATTTATCGAGCTTCACCATGTGTCTGGCTGTGCTAAGCACTTAACAATCGTTATCTCATTTAATCTTGACAACAACTTGGCAGGTAGGTGCAATTATTATACCCGTTCTACAGATGAGAAACTAAATAAAGCTCAGAAGTTTAGGCAATATTCAAGGTTGCTTTGCCCCACAGTGAGGTCTCAGGTCTCTTGGACAATAAAGCTGGCTTCTTAACCAGAAGGTTCTGTTCCTCCTGGCTGTATCTATCTGCTCCTACTTCTCTCTCAGCAAGGAATGTGTGTTGGGGGGAGGGGGGATGGTGTGGACATGAATCCTCAAGAGGAAGCTGAGAGCTGGTGCCCATCCCTGATGGCAGCAGGGACTTCTAGGAGAGCATTCCAAATGGATGACCAGCCAGCCAGCAGGTGTTTCCAGGGGCCTGGGCAATGCAGAGGCTACTCCAGGGCTGACCCGGGTAGCAGCTGAGGATGAAATTCCCTCTACTCAGACTTCTCAGGGAGGGGGCCCCTCACAGCCTAGAAGCGGGAGACTGACTGTCTCAGAGGGGAGGCCATGGACCCATTCCTAGAATAAGTGACCCCATCATAGTGCTGTCTGGGATGCCACCGGGTCTTGTCCCTCTAACCACAGGCTCCAGCACTGCCAGATGAGAGATGCCCTCAGGCGGGTCCTGCCTGCCTTCTGACCCCTTGGTCTGGGCAGGTATTCCTGACACTCCTCCATCCTCTTTAGCCTCCCTCAGAACAGATGTCTCCTCTTCCCAGGCGCAGGGGCTCCTCACCCTATCTGTGTCCTCCCCCAGGTGTCCCACCTTGCGGCTTACCTTCCCAACTCTGCCCTGGAAACTCGATCCCTGTGGCCCCTCCGTACGTCCTCTCTTCCCCCCCTCGCCCCCCGCCGGCTCCACCTTGGGTCACCACAGAACCAAGGGCGCCTCAGTGACTCCGGTCTCCACCCTGACCCCCTTTTCCGTAGCAGAAGCTTTACTTCCCCTCCCCCTGGGGGTGTGGGGATGTTATTCCAGCGGCTACGATTCTTGCTACCCCAGCTCGGGGTACCCAGGCCTACACCAGCTCCCCTCACCCCCGGTTTCTCGGTTTGATGGGACGGAAGGCTTCCCGGCAAGAGGCGGGAGACCCCACCCCTGGTCCGGACGGCAGGCAGCAGGGACACCCTCACCTGCCAAAACCTATGCTCACCCCGAGATTTATCCCGGACTCCGGCCTCCGGCGCCACCGCCTCCAGCCGGAGGGGCTGGCAATTCCTCCCCAGCTGGGGACGGGGGCGGCGGGGAAAGGGGCCGCGGGCGGGGAGGGAGGGGCGCCCCGGGCCACCGCCCCTTACCGATGGTGGAGATGTGCGAGGAGTGGAACTCGTTGTCGGTGAAGCGGCACAGCAGGCAGGTCTTGCCCACCCCGGAGTCCCCGATCAGCAGCAGCCGGAACAGCACATCGTACTGCTTCGCCATGACTGGGGCCAGCGGGGCCGGGAACTGCGGGCGGGCAGCGGGCTCAGCCCTGCTCCGCCGCTGCCATCGCGGCCCGCGCCCGCCCGGGGACGCTGCGGGCGGCGAGGAGGACGCCGGGCCCGGCCCCCGCGGCTGCCTCGCCCGCCCGCCTGCCCACTCGCTCGCTGGGTGCCGGGAAGCGCGGCTGCGGCGGGAGCCCGGCGCGGCGCCCGCTCGGCTCGGCTCGGCTCGGCTGGGCTGGCGCGAGGCGGTGGGAGGAGAAACCGGCGGCGGCCCCTGCCCGCCCCTTCCCCTGCGCCGCCGCCGCCGCCCCGGAGAGAGGGGGCGGGGAGCGCGCGCAGGAGAGCGGGACCCCATCGAGCAGGCGACGCTGGGGCGGGGCGCCAGCCCCCCCTCCCAACCCCTTCCTGCCCGGGGCGGGGGAACGTTTTCGTTTTTCCGCGGACGCTCCGAATGGGGGAGTTGAGGTGAGCCCCCACCCAGCCCACTTCTACCGTGCTCCGCTTTCCGGGCTCACCACTTCTCCCCATATCCCACCCCAAGTCTGGCGCCGGTAATTCCGCCCGCCGTGGCACCCTGCATCTGCAGGATCTGGCCGGGCTCCCCAGTGGCTGGTACCTCAGCTGGGCTCACCCGAGGTAGGAAGGCCTTGAGCAGGATCTGGATTCGAACACCCGTCTCCATGAGTCCCCGAGAGTGTGGGTGGAATTCCCCCTCCCTGCCATCTGGCTGCCCCTTACCTGTGTGACTGTGTCACGGCCCTCCCCCGTCCCCATTTTTTCTTTAAATGGGGAAAATGCCTATTCACGGCCTCCACCAGGGTGAAAAGATAGATGGCCATAAGAACATCTCCAAGTGCAAAATCCTTTAGAGGTGTGCGGGCAAGTCTCCGTTTTCCCTCTAAGGTGCTTAGGATAGGTGCCCAGGTGACCAATGTATTGTTTCAGACCCCTAAATTTCTCTGTGGTATAGCCAGTGGCACCAAAGAATGAATGGCCCTTGTTCAAGATCCAGTTTCCTACCACTGAATGTGTTAGCACCGGAGAGAGGCAAATGAATGCTCTCCGGAGTTGAGAAAATTGCCTATCCCTACCAACGAGTATTGAGGGAGAGCAAAGTCTAGCCTATTAGGTCTTTAAAAAGCAATGAAAGGCTAGGCGCGTTGGCTCATGCCTGTAATCCCAGTACTTTGGGAGGCTGAGGCGGGCAGATCACTTTGAGGTCAGGAGCTGGAGACCAGCCTGGCCAATGTAGTGAAACCCAGTCTCTACTAAAAATAAAAAAAAATTAGCTGGGCACGGTGGCTCGCCTGTAATCCCAGGCTTGAGAGGCTGAGGTGGGAGGATTGCTTGAACCCATTAGGGGAAGGCTGCAGTGAGCCGAGATCATGACACTGCACTCCAGCCTGCGCAACAGAGGGAGACCTTGTCTCAAAAAAAAAAAAAAAAAAGCAATGAAAAGTATATATGTACATACCTGTTTTCAGGCTGAATATTGGATGGAGAATGTATTTTTCAATAGTAGGTCAAGGAAAGTGGTAAGCCCATTTACTTCATTTGAAAAGGTATATTTCAGGTTAAGTGTCTGAATTATAATAAGAGGGGAAAAGTTCAAGACCAGCCTGGCCAACATGGTGAAACCCCATCTCTACTAAAAATATAAAAAAATTAGCTGGGCGTGGTGGCCGGTGCCTGTAATCCCAGCTACTCGGGAGGCTGAGGCAGGAGAATTGCTTGAACCTGAGAGGCGAAGGTTGCGGTGAGCCGAGATTGCGCCATTGCACTCCAGCCTGGGCAACAAGAGCAAAACTCTGTCTCAAAAAAAAAAAAAAAAAAAAGCCGGGGGGCGAAATCCCGAGCCTGCTAGCTACTCTGATTACACAGAAAGCTAAAGGAACTGATGTAGTGGATTCCATTATTTCGAGGTGCGCGTCTCCACAGTGGGCTTACATGGGGTTTCAGGTGCATGCCAAGGGCTCTGGAGTAAGGCACACTTGGGTTCCAGTCCCAGTGTCACCACTCACCAGCTGTGCAATCTTGAGCACATTACTGAACCCCCCTGTGACTCAGTTTCCTCATCTCAAAATAGGATATTTAGAGTGACTACCTTACAGGATTGCTGGAAAGATGAAATAAGATAATGCATGGAAAGGACAGGCCGTCGCGGTAGCTCACGCCTGTAATCCCAGCACTTTGGGAGGCCGAGGCGGGCGGATCACGAGGTCAGGAGACCATCCTGGCTAACATGGTGAAACCCCGTCTCTACTAAAAATACAAAAAATTAGCCCGGCGTGGTGGCGGGCGCCTGTAGTCCCAGCTACTTGGGAGGCTGAGGCAGGAGAATGGCGTGAACCCGGGAGGCGGAGCTTGCAGTAAGCCGAGATCACGCCACTGCACTCCAGCATGGGTGACAGAGCGAGACTCCGTCAGAAAAAAGAAAAAAAAAGAAAGGACAGCATAACACTTGACCCAGCACTCAATAAAGCAGAGGTGCAGAAAACACCCTGTAATGTTTCCCCTGTGCATCCCGGGTGGTAAGAATATCCCACAGATGAATATGGCCAGGGATGTTTTCTAGGAACCGAGGCCCAACCTGCTGTGATTTTCCTCCCACGACCACCAGAGTACCGAGCGCAGATCCAACCCAGCCTGACCCCCTTTGGGCACCGCAGCTGCCTTCCCATTGATCGGCACTGTAATGGTAAATAGCTCTCTGCAGGCCTCCTCACTGGGACCTTTAGTGGCTCTCTGCTTGCTTCTGTCTGAGAAAACAGGAAAGAAAATGCAAGCTGACGTGGATTCCTCACTTCATTTTGAAAGAAATGGCTTTCCCTAGGCAAGACAGGAAAGGGAATGAGGTTTGCTGAAGGAATCCAGAGAAATAAATGTTCATACTCATAAAAAATTGAGCATATGTAGTCATACTGGACTGACCTCAAATTCAGTAGCTTACATTGCTTTAGAAAAAAAAAAAAATGGCTGGGCGCGGTGGCTAACCCCTGTAATCCCAGCACTTTGGGAGGCCGAGGTGGTCAGATCACCTGAGGTCAGGAGTTCGAGACCAGCCTGGCCAACAGGGTAAAACCCCATCTCCACTAATAATGCAAAAATTAGCTGGGCATGGTGGCGCACGCCTGTAATCCCAGCTACTCCGGAGGCTGAGGCAGGAGAATCGCTTGAACCCGGGAAGCAAAGGTTGCAGTGAGCCAAGATCCTGCCATTGCACTCCAACCTGGGCGACAAGAGTGAAACTCTGTCTCAAAAAAAAAAAAAAAAAAAAAAAAAAAAAGGAGTGTATGTAGTCATACTGGACTGACCTCAAATTCAGTAGCTTACATTGCTTTAGAAAAAAAAAAAGACCAGGCGAGGTGGTTCATGCCTGTAATCCCAGCACTTTGGGAGGCCAAGGTAGATGGATCACCTGAGGTCAGGAGTTTGAGACCAGCCTGGCCAACATGGTGAAACCCCATCTCTACTGGAAATACAAAAATTAGCCAGGCCTAGTGGTGGGCGCCTGTTATCCCAGCTACTCGGGAGGCTGAGCCAGGAGAATCGCTTGAACCCAGGAAGTGGAGGTTGCAGTGAGCCGAGATCGTGCCACTGCACTCCAGCCTGGGCGACGGAGCAAGACTCTGTCTCAAAAAAAAAAGAAAAGAAAAGGCCGGGCGCGGTGGCTCACGCCTATAATCCCAGCACTTTGAAAGGCCAAGGTGGGCAGATCACAAGGTCAGGAGTTCGAGACCAGCCTGACCAACATGGAACCCTGTCTGTACTAAAAATACAAAAATTAGCTGGGCGTGGTGGCACGTGCCTGTAATCCCAGCTACTCAGGAGGCTGAGGCAGGAGACTCACTTGAACCTGGGAGGTGGAGATTGCAGTGAGCTGAGATCACACCACTGCACTCCAGCCTGGGCAACAGAGCAAGCAAGACTGTCTCAAAAAAAAAAAAAAAAAAAAAAAAAGAGATGGGGAATAGTTTAGAAACCAAAACCCAAGCTTCAAATATTCATCCTCATCCTCATCTGTGTTCAGCCACTTTCAGAGCCATCATACAGATCTCTCTGTGTGTCTATGTGTGTGTGTGTCTATATGTCTGTGTGTGTGTTTTGTGAGATGGAGGACCTAAGATTTTGGGACAATGTTAGCAAAAGAATCATATAGATGGCCAGGCGCGGTAGCTCATGCCAGCACTTTGGGAAGCCAAGGTGGGTGGCTTACCTGAGGTCAGGAGTCCAAGAACAGCCTGGCCAACATGGCAAAACTCCATCTCTACTAAAGATACAAAAATTCGCCAGCATGGTGGCGCACGCCTGTAATCCCAGCTACTCCGGAGGCTGAGGCAGGAGAATCCCTTGAACCCAGGAAGCAGAGGTTGTAGTGAGCTGAGATTGCACCACTGCACTCCAGCCTGGGCGACAGAATGAGATTCTGTCTCAAAAAAAAATAAAAAAAAAAAACATATAGACTAGTGGAGACAACAAAGTTCACTTTAACCCGGTCTTTGTAAATGAAATACCTAAATTCCATCCCCTTACCTCAGTCACTCAGTGGAACATTTTGGCATCCTCCCCATTTGTGGTCAACTTGGACTGGGGCACATTTCAGTAGAACTGGGAGACATCTGAGGAATGGTTGCTGAACATCTTTTCCACTAGAATCCTCCTAGAATCAGTCTCTCAATTATGTGATACTGATTCTTCAACCAGGGAGACAAGTGCCTGCCCCCATCCACCCCATCCCCACCCCAGCCACACTGAGCATGCACCCAAAGGCACCACTGTGGGACCTGCCATAGCAACAGCTGAACAGCTGGAGAGTTGCACCAATAGGCAGTCCATCACCAAGACTCAACGCGGCTGGACCATGGGGCTCCCCGTTAGTGAAACACCCGCCTCTTCTAGACTTACCCTGTGTTTCCTACTCTGGGGGACTGTTAGTGATGTGCCCGCGGTGCAGAAGGATTTCCTCCTTACCTCGTGATTGAAAGAAACAGGACACATCCCCTCTACCACGGTCTCAGTACTGTCCTCCATTCACATGCTTTTTCTTTGTTTTCCCCTGACTAAATAGAGAATGGAGGAAAGATACTCAAATGACAAGGAAAGAGGGGAGGAGGCAAATTATCAGAGACACGTGCATTTGAGGGCTGGGAACCACAGGAAACAATTCTGATGGTAATTGATGTTGACACAAAATGACCCACAGTACCATTTCAGGTTGTCCTTAGTGTCCTGGCCACCACCTTCATGACTGCATCAGTTTTCTAGGGATGCCATAACAAAGTACCAGAGACTGGGTGGCTTAAACAACAGGAATTTGGCTGGGCGTGGTGGCTCACGCCTGTAATCCCAGCACTTAGGGAGCCCAAGGCGGGCAGGTCATGAGGTCAAGAGTTCGAGACCAGCCTGGCCAACATGGTGAAACCCCGTCTCTACTAAAAATACAAAAATTAGCCAGGCATGGTGGCCCATGCCTGTAATCCCAGCTACTTGGAAGGATGAGACAGGAGAATCGCTTGAGCCCAGGAGGCGGAGGTTGCAGTGAGCCAAGATCACGCCATTGCACTCCAGCCTGGGCAACAGAACAAGACTCCGTCTTAAAACAAACAAACAAACAAAAACACACACAAAAACACCAGGAATTTATTTCCCACAATTGTGGCAGTCAGAAGTATGAGATGAAGGTGTCAGCAGGGTTGGTTTCTCATGAGGGATCTCCTTGGCTGTAGATGGCTGTCTTCACGTTCACATGGTGTTCCACCTGTGCCTATCAATGTCCTAATCTCTTTTTTTTTTTTTTTGAGACGGAGTCTCACTCTGTCACCCAGGCTGGAGTGCAGTGGTGCGATCTCAGCTCACTGCAAGTTCCGCCTCTCGGGTTCACACCATTCTCCTGCCTCAGCCTCCTGAGTAGCTGGAACTACAGGCGTCCGCCACCATGTCCGGCTAATTTTTTTGTATTTTTAGTAGAGACGGGGTTTCACCCTGTTAGCCAGGATGGTCTCGATCTCCTGACCTTGTGATCCGCCCGCCTCAGCCTCCCAAAGTGCTGGGATTACAGGCGTGAGCCACCGCGCCCGGCCGACATTGTTCTTTATAAGATCTGCCTTGCAGGAAGGATCAGAGAGAGTGCCTGCCAACCAAAGACAAAGAGACGCCATACCCCAGGTCTCTCACATATCAGGACTTATAGGGTCTCCTTTTTTACCTAACTATACACTTAAGACCCCTCTAAGACTGCCTTGTAGACAGCAGGGGAAGAAGGGCTCTGTCAACAGGACAGGGGAGAGTTGACCCTGTAGTTCTAAATTAGCAGACTTGAAAAAGATTGTTTGAAAGGAGTAGTAATAATATACATTGGAAAGATGTCACTAAATCTGTCCAGAAAATTATTTTGAATCTACAAAGGGATACCGTTTGTCCAGTGGAGTGAAACACTGAAAGAGACCTCTTTGTTAATTGAGGTTTTTAACTTCTAGAACATGTGGCATGACGTTCTTTTGATTATGGAGTGTAGGGGTGGGTTGCCCCTACACACCTGTGGGTGTTTCTCGTAAGGTGGGACGAGAGATTTGGAAAAGAAAAAGACACAGAGACAAAGTATAGAGAAAGAAATAAGGGGACCCGGGGAACCAGCGTTCAGCATATGGAGGATCCCGCCAGCCTCTGAGTTCCCTTAGTATTTATTGATCATCTGTGGGTGTTTCTCGAAGAGGGGGATGTGTCAGGGTCACAAGACAATTGTGGGGAGAGGGTCAGCAGACAAACACGTGAACAAAGGTCTTTGCATCATAGACAATGTAAAGGATTAAGTGCTGTGCTTTTAGATATGCATACACATAAATATCTCAATGCTTTACAAAGCAGTATTGCTGCCCGCAGGTCCCACCTCCAGCCCTAAGGCGGTTTTTCCCTATCTCAGTAGATGGAGCATACAATCGGGTTTTATACCGAGACATTCCATTGCCCAGGGACAGGCAGGAGACAGATGCCTTCCTCTTGTCTCAACTGCAAGAGGCATTCCTTCCTCTTTTACTAATCCTCCTCAGCACAGACCCTTTACGGGTGTCGGGCTGGGGGACGGTCAGGTCTTTCCCTTCCCACGAGGCCATATTTCAGACTATCACATGGGGAGAAACCTTGGACAATACCTGGCTTTCCTATGCAGAGGTCCCTGCGGCCTTCCGCAGTGTTTGTGTCCCTGGGTACTTGAGATTAGGGAGTGGTGATGACTCTTAAGGAGCATGCTGCCTTCAAGCATCTGTTTAACAAAGCACATCTTGCACCACCCTTAATCCATTTAACTCTGAGTTGACACAGCACATGTTTCAGAGAGCACGGGGTTGGGGGTAAGGTTATAGATTAACAGAATCTCAAGGCAGAAGAATTTTTCTTAGTACATAACAAAATGGAGTCTCCTATGTCTACTTATTTCTACACAGACACAGTAACAATCTGATCTCTCTTGCTTTTCCGCACAATGGAGGGCTACCCCAGGCATTGACTTTCACCTGGCAGAGAGGGGAAGCGAGCAAATAGAGGATCGCATGAAAGGTTTTAAAGGGTCAGGTCTAGGTGTAGTGGATATCACATCTTCCACTTTTTATTGGCCAGCACCCACTCACAAGCCTCTGCCTAAATGCAAAGGAGACTGCTGAGCAGCCACTTCCCAGCTGCAACTCTCCCTGTGGAAGGGGAGCCAGTCTCTGGTGGACAGCTCATGTTTCTACCACATACAAAGAAGCTTCAAAGTGGCTCCAACCCTAGCTGTGAGTCAGCATCACTTGTGGAGCTTTGACAAAATGCATGTGCCTGGGCCCCAGCCCCACAGATTCTGATTTAGTTGGTTGGGCTGGTGCCTGGGAGAATCTGGATTTTCGAAGGCTCCACCAATGATCCCAGTGCACAGCCAGGCTTGAGAGTCACTGGTATGCCTTACAGTGTACACCTCTGGCATTGCCTCTCAACAGTTTAAAAAAAACTTTTTTTTTTTTTTAGACAGACTCTTGCTCTGTCACCAGGCTGGAGTGCAGTGGTGTGATTTTGGCTCACTGCAACCTCCACCTCCCAGGTGCAAGTGATTCTCCTGCCTCAGCCTCCGGAGTAGCTGGGACTACAGGAGCACACCAACATGCCCAGCTAATTTTTGTATTTTTAGTAGAGACAGGGTTTCACCATGTTAGCCAGGATAGTCTCGATCTCTTGACCTCGTGATCCACCCGCCTCGGCCTCCCAAAGTGCTGGGATTACAGGCATGCGCCACCACACCCAGCCAAATAAAAAATCATTTCTTAGAGTTTTCAAGGTGAACAATGTTGTTTAGTTGGCTTCCATTTTGTATCTGCTGGTAAAATATTCACCATGATAAACCCAAAACAGGACTGTGAGTCAATACTTTTGCACAGGTTTTCAGTAATAGAGTATATGTAATGATTAATAATATATAATGTAATTTATTTCATATCAACATACAACACAATAAAATAATGCAGCCATGTAGTATTGATGATTTATTGATTTCTGAGAAGCTCACAGCTGTTCTTTGTGCCATGAAATCATTGTACTGCATTTAGAAAGCTATTCTTTTGTTTTTTATGATTGGAAACATTTTATATTCCATTTTGTGTAATACAGAACATTTTAAAATACATTTCACAATTTCTAAATTTCGATATAATTATTAAAAAATGATTACTTCAGACTAGTCTCTTACAAATGTTACTAAACACAAATATTATACATAAAAGGCCATCTTCATTAAATAGATTAGAATGAATTACTCCTTCAGCTACATTCCCACTGTAAGAGAATACATTCTTGGGGAATATATTCTGTGTATATGTATTATGTCTTATTTTATGTTTTTATCATTTATATATATTTTTCATTTTTAATCTTTTCTACTTAATAGATTTATTTATATTTATACTTTTATTTTATACTCATTTTTATTTACATGGTCTCTGTAGTTATTAGATAGTGAGCTCTTGAAAGATAAGGCTAGTATTATGTTCATTGTCATTATCATCTACAATTATGTTACACAAACAAGCACTCAAATGTTCATTACAATGACTGGAAATCATTTGAACCATTTAACTTATTCAGTGTCTATTATGTCAGGGAGTACAGCAATGAATAAAACAGACCAAAAAAAAAAAAAAAATCCCTGCCCCATAAAGCTTACATTTTGGTGGAGAAAGACAGATAGTAAACAAATCAATACACAAAATATAAAGTCTCTGATCTAGTGATGAGAAAAATAAAGCAGGGGAGTGAGATTAAGCTATTACCAAAGGGGGTGGCACTCCCATTTTACATGGGGAGGAAGGAAAGATCTCAAGAAAAGGGAAATTGGGGTTAGATTAAAGAATTTGGGCCAGGCATGGTGGCTCATGCCTGTAATCCCAGCACTTTGGGAGGCTGATGTGGGAGGACTGCTTGATTCTAGCAGTTCGAGACCAGCGCGGGGAACACAGGAAGACCTCATCACTATAAAAATTTTTAGAAAAAATAAATTATAAAAAAAAGAAAAAGAAAAAAAGAATTTGAGTAAAAACTATAAGAAGGGAGGGCAATCCGTGTCTATGTCTGGGGCGGAGCTCTGCAGGGAGAGGCAACACAAGCATCAGTGCTCTGAGGCTGCAGCAGGAGAGGTGTACACAGAACAGCAGGGAGGCCAGTGTCAAGGCAGTGAGCAAGCTGGAGAGTGCAAGGGAAGGGGCCAGAGAGGTGAATGGGGTTCTCTAGGCCACCTTGACTTTGAGATGAGAAGAGAGCTTTGAGTGAAGGGGTGGCTTTGCTTACATTTTTAAAAGTTCAGTCTGGCTTTTTCATTTTGTCTTGGATCTTTGAGGCTGCTAGAACAGAATCCCATACACTGGGTACCTTGTCAACAACAGAAATAAAGTCCAACATCAAGGCACCTGCAGATTCGGTGTCTGGTGAGGGCCTGCTTCCTGGCTCATAGGTGATGCCTTCTCTATGTGTCCTTATATGGCAGAAGGAGTGAGGGAGCTCTGTGGGGTCTCTTTTATAAGGACATGAATCCCATTTATGGCAGCTCGGCCCTCATGACCCAAACACCTACCAAAGGCTCCACCTTCAAACACCTTCATATTGGGGATTAGGTTTCAACATATGACTACTGGGGGCACCTAAACATTCAGTCTATAGCAAGTTTGTATTAGGGTACAGGGGGACAAGAGTGAAAAGAGGGAGAACAGTTAAGAGATTAGTGTAAGAATCCAAGTAACAGATGATGGTGGCTTGGACCAGGACACTGGCAGTGGGATTGGTAAGCAGTGATCAGATGCTAGATATATTTAGAACAGAACTTACAAGGAGTGAGAAAAAGAGAGGCAGCAAGAATGATTCCAAGGTATTTGGAGTAACTGGAAGGATGGAGTTATCATAATAGAGATCGGGGAGACTGAGTGCACAAGTTTGGAAGGGAAGACCAGCAGCTCTGTTGTGGATATGTTAAGTTTGAGATGCCTATTGGAGATCTAAGTGGAAATGCAAATAGACATTAGACATGAACTCTGGAGTTCAGGAGAGATCCAGGTTGGAGATACAAATTAGGGAGTTTTCAACCTATAAGTGTTATTTAAAACATTGAGACTGCCTGAGCTGACAGGGAAGTTAGTGCAGACAGATAAGAAGTCTGAGGACTGAATCCTGGGGTACCCCAAGCTAAGGTATCCAAGATATTAGAAAGGCAAGGAAGGAGGAAAACCAGTGTGAGGCACCACAAGGACAATGTGTTTCAAGAAGGGAAATGATCAACTGTGCAAATATTGCTGGGAAGTCAAGAAGGAAGACTTGAGATCAGGACTGAGACCTGGCCCTTGGATTTGGCGATATGGAATTTAATGGAGAGTTGATAAGAAACGATTGGAAAACCTGATTAGAATGGGCTTGAGAGAGTTGGAAGAGAGGACCTGGAGACGTTAGTAGTAGCAAATCTTTCAAGGGTCTCCGCCAATGAGTCATCGGGAGGTAGCTGGAGAAGGAGTGGAATCAAGAGGGTTAGAGATGCACCCCCCCCCACCCCCTCATAGCCAGGCGCGGTGGCTCATGCCTGTAATCCCAGGACTTTGGGAGGCCGAGGCGGGCGGATCACGAGGTCAGGAGATCGAGACCATCCTGGCTAACACGGTGAAACACCGTCTCTACTAAAAAAAAAAAAAAAAAAAAAAAAATTAGCCGGGCGTGGTGGCGGGCGCCTGTAGTCCCAGCTACTTGGGAGGCTGAGGCAGGAGAATGGCGTGAAACCGGGAGGTGGAGGTTGCAGTGAGCCGAGATCGCGCCACTGCACTCCAGCCTGGGCGACAGAGCGAGACTCTGTCTCAAAAAAAAAAAAAAAAAAAAAGCCCCTCACCCTCCACGCTGCCAAGAATGAGAAAATGGCATGCTTGAGGGAGATCTGGATGATCAAGTAGAGGAAAAATTTGGTGTTTTAGGAAAGGAAAGGGAGAATTGCGACAGTCTTTGGGGGGTGGCGCGTGAGGGGAGGGAGATGACCTGGTCCTAGGTAGGAGATGGGGCAGTCATTCCATCTAGGGGAATAGGAGGGACAGGACCGCCGAGTAGGAGGGCACAGATGATGGTGGGCAGTAAACTTGGGGAGGAAGTTAATTACCTAGCGGGATAATAGATGAGTTCTTTCCATTTTCCAAATGTTCCAATATGTATTACTACACAGTTTCACAAGATATTAAAGGAAACAATTCATTCCGACATACGGCTTGTATGAGTGAAAACAGGGAGAACGGTGAGAGCAGTTTTAAAACTTACTCCCTAAACGCACTCCAGGGTCGGAAGCGACCTCTAGGGGTTCATTTAGACCATTACTTTTTTCTTTTTCTTGCTCTTAAAAGTATAAAACAGCACGGTCCACATTTAATATTATTTTTAAAGAAACACGATCAGTTTAATTTAGAAAAGAGTATCAGGCATGTGAGTAAAATAAACATAAACCATCTGCAGTCCAAGCTGGAGTTGCTATTATCATGACTAAGAGTTTTCTCTCTAAATATATCATTCTCTATAGCACCATTAATATTTATGTTCATTCTGCTTCTTGAATGAGTGGTTTTATTAAACCAAGAGGAGGGACAACTAGTGGGCTATTTGATCCAGGTCTTCTTGATGCTTACATGGAGTACAAACCCCACATATTTTTCATTGCTGGTTTCACTTGATTTGGTGTTGTCACTGGGTTTCCTCTGCCTGGGATGTTCTCATCCCCTGGATTAATTAACTCACTTCCTCATGGGAGTCTTTCCAGACCTTCCAGGCTACCTTAGGGTCCCCCCATCATGCAAGCTCACACACTCCATGCTTCTTTCTGCCTCATCCCATTTCTCCCAACTGTCATGAAAGAGTCAATTCTGTCATTACTGTTTAATGTTTTTTCTGGTAAGTCATGAGACCCATAATGGCAGAGACTGTGTCTGGCTTGTTCACTGCTGTCTCCTTAGCACTTAGCTCAGTGCCCAGCACTTACCCTGTACTCAATAAACATTAATTGAATGAGAACACACTATCCTGCCGGAGACTCTTGCCCATGTTCCTATTCACATCTTTTGGATCCCACTGCAGAGGAGACTGAATTTCAGAGATGAATTTTTATTTCTAAAATACAGTTTGCAATTGCTTTAGGTGCATCTGTGACAGATGCAACAATTTGTCACAAAACTGTCCCAGCTATTCTTTCAATAGCACAGTCTTCAGGATTGAAGCGTTAAGTTTCCAGCTCTCCTGCAAAGAAACTCTTTGTGACAAAGGCTGAATCCTTAGATATAACCCTGACCTTATCAGACCATTTATTTCCCAAAATATAACTAAGGGAAAGACAGTAAGATGCCAATACAGGGGGCAGTATAATGAGACCATTTCACATTGTGCAGCCTTATCCATGGGTCCTAACCCATACTGTCCCCTTATTTCCAGATTTGGTAATATTCTGGTGCCTCTAGGTCTTAGTTCAGCAACAGTACCACTAAAATGGACATGGTGGTAGTATTTATCCACCTGAGGTCTTTAGGCCAGCCCAGCCTCATCTTTGAAATTTTTGTGAGTGCTTCTATTTACTACCAGAGACTGAGAACAGGGGAATGGCTGGTTGTCAAATGTCACTCTGGTCTATAATCCCTGGATCCTAGACATGTGACATGGAATGGAGTGGGAACAGAGTGAAGTGCTCTGAGCAGGAAGTAAAGCTTGTCTCCAAGTGTACCCGGAATGTCTGTTATCATACCTTCTATAATCTCCTACATACAACTCCCCCAGTTTAATCTCTTGGTATTATAATTTTTGGTGTAGTACTTTTGATGCATGCCCTAAAATAAATTCTCTTCTATTGCTTGTCCAAAGGTAGCAGCGTTTTCCTAAAAATCACAACTTTAAACTTGGTTGTTCTGGAGGCAAGTGTGATGAGTAAGTCCACTCCATAAGAATCAATAAGAATTTCTTTTATTCTAGCTGGGCGTGGTGGTGAGCATCTGTAGTTCCAGATACTCAGGAGGCTGAGGCAGGAGGGTCACTTGAGCCTATGGTTTTTGTTTGTTTTTTTGTTTTGCTTTTTTTTTTTTTTTGAAACAGGGTCTCGCTCTGCCACCCAGGCTGGAGTGCAGTGGCACAATCATAGCTCACTGCAGCCTCGACTTCTTGGGCTCAAGAGATCCTCCCACCTTAGCCTGTCGAGCAGCTGGGACTACAGGCATGCGCCACCACGCCCGGCTAATTTTTTTGATATTTAATAGAGATGAGGTCTTGCTATGTTGCCCAGGATGTTCTAACTCCTCAAGTGATCCTCCTGCCTCAGCCTCCCAAAGTGCTGGGGTTACAGGCGTGAGCCACCGTGCCCAGCACATGTCTTCTAAAAGCTGCTGTTTCTTCCTTTTTCAGGAGTTCTTTCCCATACTGTTCTTCTGGATGACTCCTCGTCATCCTTCGGATCTCAAATGAAAGGTCATTTAGAGAGGCTTGGCCTGACCATACAATTCAATTAGTTTCTTACCCCTTTAGTCTCTCTCATAGACCCTGTTATTTTCCTTCATCTCATTTATCACAAGTCTTCATATATTTATTGCGTTGGATACATTCAATTCTGTCGATTTTCTTAGAATGTAAGGTTTCCAAGGGAAGGGACTTCGTTTTGTTCACTTTTGTATTCCTAGAACCTAGCACAATGCCTGACACATAGCAGGTGTTCCATAAATATCTGCGGACTGACTGTCTATTTCACTTATCCTTGTTCCTTGTACTGCATTTCAGTTCTCGCTACTGCAGTGTAACCTCCAAGAGACAGGAGAAAATCATAATACCCCCCTCCCTCCATCACTGAGTGATACTGAGACGGCGTCCTTGCACGTTTGAGCAGCTGCTGCCTTCTCCTGGGAGGCTGTCAAGTACCCCAAGGTGCACAATAATTCTTTTAGTAATTGCCTGACTGAGGCAAATCAGTAGAGCTGTCAGAAATGCTTTCAAACTTAACATTCATTGGGTTCTTGGGCACCTGAAATTGCAAACAATTGCATTACAATTAAGTGAGAATTAGCAGAATGTTACAGTTCTTTAACAATTTGCGTAACAAACCGAGGCGTCCTACGCCATCTCGCTGAAATGAAATTCGGATGTAGACACCCTTGCGCTTCAGGACTCTACGCTCTTGCAGCAGCTCCTCTGCCCAATGGGGGGCGGCAGCATCTCAGTAACTCACTCGAAAGACGGGTAGGCGGGAGGAGACATTCGCGTTCAAAATCTTTTTGCCTCTATCCGCTCGCCGTAGCGCTTTAGCCCGCTCGAGTTTCAATGCGCGTTGTTGCTTAACGAAGCAGAGTCCTACACACTGTCTGCTGCTCTCCTGATCATGGCTTCTCCGAGTTCTTTCACCTACTATTGCCCTCCATCTTCCTCCCCCGTCTGGTCAGAGCCGCTGTACAGTCTGAGGCCCGAGCACGCGCGAGAGCGGTTGCAGGACGACTCGGTGGAAACAGTCACGTCCATAGAACAGGTGAGGTGGCAGGACTGGGCGAGGCGCCCGCGCGATGTGTTCTGGGAGCGCGAGTCCCGTTCGTAGGGCCGCCCGGGTGCGGAACTCACCGGGGAACTACGACTCCCACAGCGCACCGCGGTGCCTTTCCTCTGGGAAGCTCCGGGCGCCCAGGCTTGGGCTTCGTCGTGGAGCGTTTGCGCGGCCAGCTTGGGGAAGGGTCGTTTCAAGGTTGGGCTTGGAGGAGAGGGCAGTAGCCGAGTCCCCTCTGCCCTAAAGAACGAGAAGAATCGTGTTCTATGCCTGGAGGACAGAGGCAGCCCGTGCGGGTCGGACAGCCCACTCTGTTCTGCCAGTACTTCGGGAGGTTCTGGGGTGCATAGTGCACTTTTCCCAACCTGCCCTCAGCTTCTGGAGGCAGAGAGCAGGGCCAGGCTGCTGTCATGCCGTTTCACGATCTGTTTAATTTTTGACCTACAGTGCCAGGTTTGGGGGCCCGCCTCGTGGGTGGGCATTTTGGTAGTCATTCAGCCATTTGAGCACCAGCTACGTGTCGGACACAATATTAAACGATGGAAGTACAAGGAAATAAAACAGCTCCTGACCAGGAGCCTGGTTGGGGGACAGGCAGGAAAACAGTTTGGAAAGTGATCTAATAGAAAGAATGGATTTTGGACTACTAATCATTCCCTAAGGCCTAGAAGTAGGATCGAACCTATCATTTTGAAAAGTGTTTGGCGAATGAGTATATATTCATATGCCCAAAACCATAGTTTTGTTTTTCTTCTTATTCCCTAATTGGAATTGTTCCCAAGGTTGCTATGTGGAACTGTTTATCCATCTGTCCCTAGGAGAAGTGGTTAGGATAATTCTTAACACTAATAAATGAACATTCTGCTGCTTACTGAAATAAGATCTCTTAGTGAGATCAGTCTCCAGGCTTTACCTTGGAGAGACCTGTTTTGTATTTCCTACTTTAAGTTGGAAGCCTGTACTTTGGCAAAATTAGTAACAATAATTGTTTTATTGTACAGTTATGACTAAATAGAATTATAAATTTATAACAGAAACAAGGGCTTGATACGTGGTTATTCACAAAGTAGCAGAGAAAATATTTTAACTGGAGATTTAAACTTCATGGAATTTAGGGTAGCAAAGGAAATCCTCACCTCTCGAATCTAGCTAATTCTCCAGGTTGGTTTGCCTACCAGTGTGTCCCAGGGAAGGCTGACTGCAAAAGATTGTAAAGAAATTTCCCATTGATGAAAAACCTACAGGATCTTTGCAGAATTCCTAAATGATGGATTGCTGAGTTGATTCAGGTCAAGTGTTTTACTTATTATCTGACCTTAGACTATGGGATTGCCTTTTTTTTTTTTTTTTTTTTTGAGATGGGGTCTCGCCCTGTTGCCAGGCTGGGATGCACTGGCTTACTGCACCCTCCGCCTCCCGGGTTCACGCCATTCGCCTGCCTCAGCCTCCAGAGTAGCTGAGACTACAGGCGCCCACCACCACGCCTGGCTAATTTTTGTATTTTAGTAGAGACAGGTTTCACCATGTGGCCAGGCTGGTTTTGAACTCCTGACCTCCAGTGATCTGCCCTCCTCGGCCTCCTAGAGTGCTGGGATTACAGTCGTGAGCCACTGCTCCTGGTGCGAGTATCTTTCAAATCTAGACCCAACGGTATGGCAGACAGTAAAGAATCTTATATTTCTTTTTCATGTTGTTATTCCAGCACACATTATTAGAGTCTAGGATGAACAGTTTCAGGTAGTAGGATGATAATGTTGTATCTCATTTTTGTGGCCTTCCTCACTGTTTTAATAATCATGTTAGTGACCATTTATTGAGTCTCAGCACAGTGCTAAATGCTCTCCATATGTGGTATCATTCAATCCTTTCACTTTTTATGGATGAGAAGACTGAGGTTTAGAGACCTACCACATTGGTAGGTTAATGATACATTCATCAAAAGTAACAACCTTGTTAGGAGGAGTTGTTTACAGAGGATATACTAGTACTCTTTCAGTTTTAACTAAAGCTTCCATTTACTGATAGCTCAATTTTGTGCCATTGCCAGTAAAAACAAATTGATGGCTGACACCTGTAATCCCAGCACTTTGGGAGTTCGAGGCGGGAAGATCACCTGAGCCCAAGAGACCAACTTGGGCAACATAGCAAGACCCTGTCTCTACCAAAAAAAAAAAAAAAAAAAAAAGTAGCTGAGCGTGGTGGCATGCACCTGTAGTCCCAGCTACTTGGGAAGCTGAGGTGGGTGAATTGTTTTTGAGCTCAGAAGTTCACAGATGAGCCATGATCGAGCCACGGTACTCTAGCCTGGGCAACAGAGTAAAACCCTGTCTCTTAAAACAAAAAACGACTATACTGATTTTGGTACTGGCCTGGGCAACATAGCAAGACCCTGTGTCTATTTAAGATGAAAGCTTTTCAAATTAAAAAAAAAAACAAACAAAAAATAAATGCTTGTTACCTGCTTCCTATCTGATTATCAGAAGACTCGGTTTATTTGTTAAGCAATAATTTGGTAATAGGAGTTAAACCTATAAATAGTGGAAGGAGTCCTTAGCTGTGAGTCGTCTGTTCCATTCGTTGATTCTCATTCATTCAGCAAATACTTGAGCGCCTTCTACGTGCCAGGCACTGTTCTAGACACTCGGCATAAGTTGTTAAACAAAAGAGGCCAAGTTGATGCCTTTATGAAACTGTTTCTAGGCCAATGAGGCAGTCAATTAAAAGAGTTAATATCTATAGCTATCTCAATATAAAATGTTAATTAGAAACGCTGTGGAGAGTAACACCTTGGGATAGAGGGGATAGGGTGTGTCAGGAATGGGTGGGGTGGGAGCAGGGGAGGTCTTCATATAAGGTGTTAAGGGGAACCCTCTGGTGACAACACATGTGATCTGAGACCTGAAGTCTCAGATGAGGGAGGAAGCCATCATGGATCTGGTGCAAGAGTATTCTGGGCAGAGAAAGCAGCAAGCACAAAGGACCAAGGCAGCAGAATGCCAGGTGAGCAGGGGGCTTAGCAAACCAGAGAGTAGGAGATGGGTCGGATCATGTAGGGTCTCATTGGCCTTTGGAAGTACTTTAAAATACCCTGACTGAGATGGAGAGCCACTTGGCTGTATACCTGCCATTTACTGCCCCAGATTCACTTGGCCCTTTTCTAGCCTGCTCTGTAGATGTGCCCCAGGAGGGGGCCCTGCACTGACAGGTTGCCTTGCTTTATGGCTGCGGGCCATGGGAAGTATTGCTGGGGGTGACCGAGAAGGAGAAGAATGAGACCACTGTATTTCTTCCCTCCTGCAGGCTTGTGTGGGGTGGGGTTTCCTTAGACTTAAGGTCACATTTCCTGTCATGTGCCTTCTCTGCGGAGCTCTTTGTCTCCCTCCCTCTCCATCCTTCACACCTTCAGGTCTATGAGGAGTTCAGGTACCCCTGATTTACCAGCTCCAGATACTGCATTTTCTCTTGTGGTTTCCCTACACCTGCCCACATCTTTGTAAATAGTTCCTTTATAAACTCTCCTCAAATCACCCACTTTGTGCCATCTGTTTCCTGCCAGGACTTAGACTGATCCATGATCAGAGAGTTTTGAGCAGGGGAGTGACACAGTCTGACTAGCATTTTAACAGGCTCATTTAGGTTACTGTCAAGAGTAGATGGTGGGGAGTGAGGGTGGATACAGGGAAACCAGTTAGGAGGCTATTGCAGTATCCTGGGAGAGAGGTGACGGTGGCTTAGCTCACAGTGACGGTAGTGGAGGTAATGAGAAATGGTCAGCTCTGGATATTTTTATGAAGGTCTCTACCTTGCTAAGCTGTTTTGTTAATGCAGATGCAGGGAGGGCCTTTCATGACACTAGAGAACAAGACATGGTTGTATTGTTAGTGCCTGCCTTCCTTATTGTGCCATCTGGAATCATCCCATTGCAGACACTCTGATTCAGGCCAGTAGGTTAATACTGATAGTCTCAGAGGTAGCAGCCTTGCCAAAAACAGGTGTTTACAAAAGATACTACTGTTTTTCTTTGAGTTTGTCTTTGAACAGAGGCAAACGCGTCCTCCACTTTAAATGGCATGGTGTCATTGAACCATTGGCATGGTTCATTGTCAATGAAGTGACTTGAACTCTGAGGGGAATATAAGAGAATTATTAGTCTTGATCCCTGCCCTCAAAATTCTTTTATCTTAGAGAGATAAAAAAGAATATGCTGTAAGGCCGAGTGCGGTGGCTCACTCCTGTAATCCCAGCACTTTGGGAGGCTGAGGCTGGCGGATCACTGGAGGTCAGGAGTTTGAGACCAGCCTAGCCAACATGGTGAAACCTCATCTCTACTAAAAAAATACAAAAATTAGCTAGGCGTGGTGGTGTGCACCTGTAATACCAGCTACTCAGGACACTGAGGCAGGTGAATCTCTTTAACCTGGGAGGCGGAGGTTGCAGTGAGCCGAGATTGCACCATTGCACTCAAGCCTGGGTGACAGAGCAAGACTCCATCTCAAAAAAGAAAAAAATAAGAAGAATATGCTATAGGCAGTCACAGAGTGCTAAATTATAACTGCTTTGCACGAGGATTTTGGGGAGTTGAAAAGCCATCTGTGTGGGCTGAGGTGGTCAGGATGACTTCATGGAGAACGTGGAACTGGGTGGGCTGTAAAAAATAGAGTTTGGGGCAGCCATTCAAGGAGGGAGAGCTGTTTTGAGGGAAGACTCAGGCTTGACTGGGGGCGTTAAGATGGCTTACCAGGAACGGAGGGTGCAGGTTGGATGTGGTAGGAAATGAGGTGAGCTGGGCGGGTGGGCCCCTATCAGGGTATTAAGAGGCAGGTGATGTGCTGGCTTCAGGTTCGGGCAGTGGGCCACCACATATCCTAAGGAGGGACCAGCGGAACAGAATCCTGACCTGCTGTTGACTTATTTCAGCTTATAGGATCCAAAATATTAGTAAATGGAGGTGGAACAAATCACTAAATATGATAAAACTTCCCAACTTTTTATGCCTCTGATAGAAGGGACTGGAGCTCTGCTTGGTTAGGTGGTCAGTAGGCTAGCTTTCTGAATCCATTTTATTTTATTGAAATTCAGCATATACCATATTGCCCAAGTGTAAAGTAATCCTGCATATCAAAATTTCCCCATTAAAAAGTCCAAAAGGTTGTTTTTGGTCAAGTTGAAAATACATGTACTTTTAGGTATATAAGTGAAAAATACCTGCTTACAAAATTTACATTTAAATTTGGGTCCATATACCTACTTAAAATCACCTACTTTATAAAGTAACACTAATTTAGAAATGCTGGTTTTCCTCCTCTTCTTATTTATAAAATGTTTCTTTTCAGACTCTTCACATGCATCTTTGACTTCACTATTTTTATCATCACTGGAGCCACTTTTTGAGTCAGCCAATGTGGATTTCCGGACCACATGTTCAGTTCTTGAGATACATCGTTTTTGAATATGAATAAGGTGTTACCACTGAACAGTTTATTCCAAGTTACAAGTATCCACTTGCATAACATTAGACTTTTTTTTTAAGAAAGGGTCTCACTTTGTCGCCCAGGCTGGAGTGCGGTGATGCAATCACCACTCACTGTAGCCTTGACCTCACAGGCCTGCCTTGGCCTACCAAAGTGTTGGGATTACAGACGTGAGCCTAGAATTTTTTTTTTGCAGTGTTTCCAGTTGGTATATATTTGTGGTCACTGCAACTTAACCACTTTATTACTTTTTCAAATGATTTCTATTTTTTTTTAAAGACAGGGTCTCACTCTGTTTCCCAGGCTGGAGTGCAGTGGCATGATCATGGCTCACTGTAGCAACTTTCCAGGCTCAAGTGATCCTTCCACCTCAGCCTCTTGACTAGCTGGAACTACTGGCGTGCGCTACCATGTTCGGCTACTTTTTATATTTTTTTGTAGAGACAGGGTTTCCCTGTGTTGCCCAGGCTGGTCCCGAACTCGAGCTATCCGCCCACCTTGGACTCCCAAAGTACAGGCATGAGCCACCGCGCCCAGCTAAAATGATCTTTAAAACGTTGGTCTACTGGCCAGGCATGGTGACTGATGCCTGTAATCCTGGCACTTTGGAAGGCCAAGTGGGTGGATAGCTTGAGCCCACAAATTCGAGACAGCCTGGGCAACAGGGTGAGACTCCATCTCTAAAAAAAGTAAAAAATGAATAAACAAAATAAAAAGCTGGCCTTACAATGGCAGTTTACACATGGAAGTGTGAGTTTATATCTCCAGGGATAATTACTAAATTTGTGTTTAATTTATCTTGTTTCACTGATTACCATTAGCCAAAGCAGCCTTAACTGAGGTTGTTTTAGGGTATTGTGTCATCCCCAGCTGGTACTTTGTATTCAAAATAAGGAAATTGCAAAACTTCCTACAGCAAGAGGTACTTTGTAAGTATTTGAATATAAAGTGACTTGTATTTTCTGAGAGAGAATTTTTTTTGAAAAGTCTTGCCTTATATTTCATATATTAAATGACTCTTCTACTGCAGCTTCAATGACATGAATCTTAGGCAGCAAATCTACTTTCTGAAACATTCTGTCTCTGGGAGAGGAGGGAGATATAGGAAGCAGAGAAGTGATAGTGCCTGGTATGAAAGTTGGTGCCTCATGAGATTGGCTTTAGATAGAAGCTGTGAAAGAGAAAGTGCCAAATGCATTAGTTGTTGTTTACCACTTACTGAATGGAAACTATTCTCTGCTTTTATTGATTGGATTTCTTTTTTTTTTTCTTTTTTTATTTTTATTTTTTTTGAGACAGAGTTTCGCTCTTGTCGCCCAGGCTGGAGTGCAGTGGTGCGATCTCCACTCACCGTAACCTCCGCCTCCTGGGTTCAAGCGATTCTCCTGCCTCAGGCTCCCAAGTACCTGGGATTACAGGCATGTGCTACCACACCCGGCTAATTTTTGTATTTTAGTAGAGGTGGGGTTTTACCATGTTGACCAGGCTGGTCTCAAACTCCTGACCTCAAATGATCCACCCGCTTCCACCTCCCAAAGTGCTGGGATTACAGGCGTGAGGTACCATGCCTGGCCTAGTGATTGGATTTCTATTGATTAAATGAAAAACTCCATGAAATACCTTTTAAACAGAGCTGTCCAGAATGCAGGCATTTGGTTAGCTCTTCATTTATTTATTGCCATGGCACCTAAGTGTTGGGGACCCTAGTACAGTTACTTGATCCCTGGCCCCTAGAGTCTAACACAATCTCTCCATTACTGAACAATACAAACTAATATACATATAGTTATGTATCACTTAACAGTAGAAATACATTGTCAGTAGGAAATTTCCTTGTCATGTGAACATCATAGAGTGTACTTAACACAAATGTAGATGGCATAGCCTACTACACACCTAGGCTATATGGTATAGCTTGTTGCTCCTAGGCTACAGGCTACAAACCTACACAGTATGTTACTGTACTAAATACTGCAGGCAATTGGAACACAATGGTAAATATTTTTGTATCTAAACATATGTAAATATAGAAAAGGTAAAGTAAAAATATGTTATAAAAGATAAAAAATGATAGACCTATCTAGGGAACTTAGCATGAATGGAGCTTGTGGGCCTGGAAGTTGCTCTGGGTGAGTGAGTGAATGAGTGGTGAATGAATGTGAAGCCCTAGGATATGAGTGTACACTACTGTAGACTTTATAAACACTGTACACTTGTTACTGAGCAGACATTATGAAAAATAAAAATAAACACGGTATGCTTAAGCTACACTAAATTTATTCATACGCTTTTTTCTTTCAATAATAAATTAAACCTAGCTTACTGTAAATTATTTACTTCATGAACTTAAAAAATTTTTTTACAGCTTTTTGACCCTTTTGTAATAACAGTTTAAAACACAAGCACATTGTACTGCTGTACAAAAATATTTTCTGTATATTTTTATTCTGTAAGCTGTTTTCTACTTTAAATTTTTTAACTTTCTTTTTACCTTTTAAACTTCTTTGTTAAAAACCAAGACACAAACGCACACATTAGCCTGGACCTAGACAGGGTCAGGATCATCAGTGTCACTGCCTTCCATCTCCACATTTCATCCCACTGGAAGGCCTTCGGGGACAGTGATAGGCATGGAGCTGTCATCTCCTAGGATAACAGTGCGTTCTTCAGGAATTCCTCCTGAAGGACCTGCCTCAAGCTGTTTTATAGTTAATTTTTTAAATAAGTAGAGTTACACTCTAAAATAATAATATATAGTATAGTAAACATGTGAATTAGTAATGTAGTTGTTTATTATCATTATCAAGTGTTATGTACTGTACATAATTGTATGTGTTATACTTTTATAACACTGACAGTGCAGTAGGTTTATTTACACCAGCATCACCACAGGCATGTGAGTAATGCTTTGTGCTACAACATCATGAAAGCTGTGTTACTAGGCTGTAGGGATTTTTCAGCTCCATCATAGTCTTAACGGGACTGCCGTGGAATATGGGGTACGTTCTTGACCAAAACATCCTTATGTGGCACATTACTATATTAGTTTATATCATATATGTGTGTATAGTTTATAAGTTGATACATACTTAGTTTATATTATATATTTTAAAGATATATGTGTATATTATATATGTATATATTTTATATATATACATGTGTGCATATAAGTGTATGTATGTATATGTACGTATGTATGTATGTATGTATGTATAAAGCCTGACCAGCAAACTTGAAAACATTCTGTACACAGAAACACCTAGCCTGGGGCTGGGTGCAATGGCTCATATCTGTAATCTCTGCACTTTGGGAGGCTGAGGCACGCGAATCTCCTGAGGTTGAGACCAGCCTGGCCAACTTGGTCAAACCCTATCTCTACTAAAAATACAAAAATTAGCCAGGCCTGGTGGCAGGCACCTGTAGTCCCAGCTACTCAGGAGGCTGAGGCAGGAGAATCGCTTGAACCTGAGAGGTGGAGGTTGCAGTGAGCTGAGATCATGCTATTGCACTCCAGCCTGCATGACAAGAGCAAAACTCTGTCTCAAAAAAAAAAAAAAAAAGAAAAAAGAAAAGAAACAACCAAGCCTGGGCTGGGCACCGTGGCTCATGCCCGTGATCCCAGCACTTTGGGAGGCTGAGGCAGGAGGACTGCTTGAAGCCAGGAATTTGAGACCAGCCTGTGCAACATGGTGAGGCCCATCTCTATTATAAGAAAGAAAGAAAGACAGAGAGGGGAGAGAAAGTAAGAAAGAAAAGAAAAGAAACATCTAGCCTGTGCCCTGTCAGGAGCAGGGGTAAACTCAACTCTTGGGTTCCCTTTTTGCCATATCGTGAGTGATCAGTTGCCTCATGATTAGAGAAGGTGAGAGAGGTACTGTTAGGCTTAACATTTGTTAGGTTATACATTAAATAATGGGAGAGCTGGCCTTGGAACCTAACAGTTAGGTATAACATTGTGTTGATGGGAAAACAAATAAGGTCTAAAAACCAATGAACTTTGAGAACACAGCTTCTGCGTATGTTGTGGCCTGCCTATCTAAGTAGGTGTAGGGGATGAGGTATCACAAAACTAAGCACTTTGAAATCCTTTTCCTTTATTTTTCTAAGAAATTTATGGTTAACAAAAGTATAATAATGTAATTAAGAGCCATTTTTCTATAACTGAGAATTAACATTTGCTAACATCTTTTTTTTTTTTTTTTTTTTTGCTTCTGGTTATTTGTTTAAAGGAAAAGCAATTAGAAATATAGCCAAAGCCTCCTTTAACCCTATCCCCAGTTCAGTGTGCCTGCCACCCTTCCCAGAAGCAGCCCTTATCATAAGTTGTGTGTGCATCCTTCCACTTCACTTTTAATCCTTTTATGCATTCATAAACAACTGGATTTGTGTTTTTAAAAATTCACATAAATTGTCACACTGTCATTTTGCCTTTTTTCATTTCACAGTAAAAAAAAAAATAGAAACAGAGTCTTGCTTGATCAGTTGGAGTCTTGTCAGATTTCTCTGATGGTCGTAATTTTGGAAAGACAATCTCCCTTTAGAATTGTGAGAGGGTCCTGAATTCTGCTAAGATGTAGGTGTAAAGGATAACCAGCGATTATTCCGGAGGTCACAAGATTTAGAGCTTTCTCAATTACTCCTGTAGATAACATCCCAATTGCAGAACCTAAGATTGGCTGTTTGAGATGTCTTTTCAGATTTTTGCATTTCTGACTGGCTGACTCCACACAGACAGGTCCTGTGGCCCCACCCACAGGCTGACTCAGTGCCGGAGGACCATCTTCCTTCCACATCCCTATGATTTCATCCCCAACCAGTCAACATTCCCATTCCCTAACCCCCTGCCCACCAAACTATCCTTGAAAAACCTCCAAACCTTTGGGAAAATTGATTTGAGTAATAACTCTGTCTCCAGTGTGGTGTTGCCAGCTGCATGTCAGTTAAAGTCATTCTTTATTGCAAGGCTGTGGTCTTAGTGAATTGATTGTGTCTGTGCAGCAAGCTGGAAGAACCCGTTGGGCGGTTACAAAATGAGTAAATCTCAAAGAGGTGGCATAGACTTCAGGTTTAACTACAGTGTTCAACTGAAACAAAGAAGGATGTTGGGGAGGCCCGGAATGGGGAGGTGACCGGGAAAAGCACAGTAAACAAGGATAAGGTTTGTTATGCAGGTTTAGGCAGGTGCCTTCTCCATTGGTAAGAGTTCCTAGTGGCTTAGAGTCATCCTTGTCTCCCTGGTACAGAAAGAGAGGCAAATGGAGATTTCCTTTTATAGATGTAATTTTCCCTTACAAATGAGGTAACTTCTACTCTGTTTTCAGAGCTTTTCCTTTGTCTGCTGTTTCTCAAAATAATCAGCTCAAAGTAATCCTTATGCCAAAGAAGCCTATCGTGGGAAGACATATTCTGGTCTCCTACAGTCATGTTTTGAGGTGGCATATTCTGGTCTCCTGCACATTCAAAATGTTAGGTTATTTAGAGAATTTTTGTTTGTTAAACATTTAAAAGGTTTGTTATCTTTGTTTATCCTTTACTAGTTGAGAAGAAAAGTACGTTACTGTTTTTAAATTATGAATGAAGAAAGTACTATTTGAGGTAAAACTTTGCGCATCAACCTCTGAGCTGAAATTTAGTGACTATTGCCACTACTAAAAATCTTGTTTTATCAAACCTTCAACCTAAATTAACAGACAGAGGCTCTCTAAAAGAACATGACACTTATTTGGGAATAGTGTATTGCAGTGGGAATCTTTGTGCCACAGTAAACTATGTGCATATTCAAGGAGGTAAAGGAAGACAAAGGTTTTTCAAGGAATAATGAGGATTATATAATTCTTTTAAGATAATTATTATTGGCTACAAGGATCAGTAACAAGTGTGACCAGTCTGAGATTGGACAGGCAATTGCTGGACAGATGTCCTTGTGGAGATATTTTTTGTGTAAGGTTGTGATGACCTTTGTGCAGGATTGTGGTTTTTGCAGAGTCATTTGGGATAGTTTTTGTTAATCAGGCATTGATGCATGAGAACCCTCTCTTCATAGCTGTCCCTGGCTTTATTTGTCAGGATTTTTAAACACAAGTGACTCCATTTTGATTTTGACAGTGTTCACAAATGTTAGCATTGCATCAGAATCCACTGGAGGACTTGTTAAAAGAAGTTGGGTGGACCCCACCAGCTAAGTGAATCTATAGGTCTATACTGAGAATACCTGAGAATTTACATTTCAAACAAGTTTAGCTTAGTTTCTGGAGAACCTGTTTCTTGAGTAAGAGGAATGGTTTCTATGACTCATAGCAGCATTATTCATAATAGCCAAAAAATGGAAACAGCCAAATTGTCCACCAGCTGATAAACTGCTAAACGAAATGTGATAGATCTACACAGTGGAATATTATTTGGTGAAATAATATGAATAAAAAGAAAAGGAGTACTGGTACATGCTACAGCATAGATGAGCTTTGAAAACATTATGTTTGTGAAAGAAGCCAGCCACAAAAGACCACAGCTTTTATGATTCCATTTATATACAATTCCAAACAGGTAAATTTATAGAGATAGAAAGTAAATTAGTGGACCAGGCATGGTGGCTCATGCCTGTAATCCCAGCACTTTGGGAGGCCAAGGCTTATGGATCACTTGAGGTCAGGAGTTTGAGACTAACCTGGCCAGCATGGCGAAACCCATCTCTACTAAAAATACAAAAAATTAGCCAGGCATGGTGGTGGGTGCCTGTAATCCCAGCTACTTAGCAGGCTGAGGCAGGAGAATCGTTTGAACCTGGGAGGCAGAGGTTGCAATGAGCCAAGATCGCAGCACTGCACTCAAGCCTGGGCAACAGAGTGAGACTCCATCTCAAAAACAAAGAAAGTAAATTAGTGGTTAGCAGTGGGGAGAATGATAAACTGGATTTGATGCTTAAGAGGTGGGGGGTTACTTTTCAGGGGAGTGAAATGTTCTAAAATTGATTGTGATGGATGCACAAATCTATGAATATGCTAGAAGTCATTGATTTGTGCAGTTTAAATGAGTGAGTTGAATGGTATATGAATTATATCTCAATAAAGCTGTTAAAAAAATACACCAGTTCTTAGTTCTCCATGGGACCTGTTAAGAAAAAAAAGAGAAATATACCAGAATATACTAGTTCTTAAAAGAAAATTATTCATTGTTATGAACAGCTGACCTGTAATACACAGATAGTCATCAGAATTCATAACTTGACTTTTCAGATATGAGTTAGTTACTAACTGCATTGGAAAATCACTTGTTCATTCTGAAGAAATGATTAGGAACTCCAAAGAGAAGGACACTATGTTGGGAAAATTTTAAGCATTTTCCACCTTGTGGTATGACATATTTCCATGTTTTTGTCAGGTGTCTTAGCTTAGAAATAAACCTCCATTTTTCTTGCGTTGTACTTGGCTGCTTTCCCGCAAGAAAGCTGAAGATGGGACTTCTGATTAAGGAGTTCCTGGCTGGGAGCTTTCCTTCCTAGACATCTAAGTGCCAGAATGCCAAGGGGAAGATGGGTTCATGCATTAGCCTTTGAATATTATTAAGTCGTATGGATTTGAATAGGCTTGTACTGGGGTAAAGGAAGTGAATTTTCTTCCCACTTGATTTTGTGTCATTCAGAATTCATTAACTCACTTAGATAAAACAGTACAGTTGGTCTTCCATATCCGTGGGTTCTGCATCTGTGGATTCAGCCAACCACAGATCAAAAATATTTGGAAAAAAGATTGTGTCTGTACTGAATAAGTACAGACTTATTTTCTTGTTATTATGTCAATCTAAAAGGAAGAAGCTCAGGCAAAGTTAATGTAAGTAGAGAGTTTATTTGGGCCAAGCTTGAAGATTGCAACCCAAGAGCATAGATTCAAGTTGCCCTGAATATACACTCTAATTAGCAGCAGTTACAAGTAGGTTTTTAAAGGACAAGAATAGTTACCCAGGGCCAGGTGAGGTGGCTCACGCCCGTAATCCCAGCACTTTGGGAGGCTGAGACCGGCAGATCACGAGGTCAGGAGATCGAGACCATCCTGGCTAACATGGTGAAACCCCTTCTCTACTAAAAATAGAAAAAATTAGCTGGGAGTGGTGGCACACTCCTGTAGTCCCAGCTACTCGGGAGGCTGAGGCAGAAGAATCACTTGAACCCAGGAGGTGGAGGTTGCAGTGAGCTGAGATCGCACCACTGCCCTCCAGCCTGGCAGAGCCAGACTCCGTCTCAAAAAAAAAAAAAAAAAAAAAAAAAAGAATAGTTACCCAAAAAGCTGGCTGAAAGAAAAGCAAAAGAAAAGAAGAGGCGATTCCTAAATTGTTTACCAAGACTCTACACTAAAATTACATAAGGTATACATTATTCTTTGTATCACAAATTCCAGGAACATGAAGATAATGGATGAGGCAGCTAGGGAGGAATGAAATGCCTTTAAACAACTGCCCCCGGACATGGGTGTTGGGAGCATAAATGAAGTCCTATACTTGGTCTCTCTGGGCCTGATAAATTTTGCATACCTCACATAACTCAGACTGCTCTGAGCTATTTTTCTTTTCTCGATTGCAGTTACATTGTACTAGGAGGTATTATAAGTAATCTAGAGATGATTTAAAATACAGGCGTGCACTATATAACAATCAACAGACTACATATACCACAGTGGTCTGGAAAGATTATAGTACTGTATTTTCACTCTACCTTTTCTGTGTTTAGATACTTTTAGATATACAAAGGCTTACTATTGTGTTACATTTGCCTACAGTATTCAGTACAGTAATATGCTGTACAGGTCTGTGGCCCAGGAGCAGTAGGCCACACTATACAGCCTATGCGTGTGGTAGGCTATACCACCCAGGTTGGTGTGAGTATACTCTGATGTTCCCACCATGATGAAATCACCTAAGAAGGCGTCTCTCAGAATGTATCCCTGTAGTTAAGCTACTCGTGATTATATGGGAGGGTTGTATAGGTTTTGTGTAAATACTCCAGCATTTTATATCAAGGACTTGAGCATCCACAGATTTTGATATCCTGGGAGATCCTGGAACCAATCCCGCATGGATACTGAGGGATGATGGTATATCATAGGCAAATCTTTATTTAATGATCTTACCAATTTCTTATATATTTTTCTATCCCATTCAGCTTATACGCATGACTGAGAAATGCAGTCTGTGTTTCATTTAGGCTGGTGCTTTATTTTAGCTGCATGAGTGTCAGGAATGGAAAAAGAATTATGATTCTGGGACAACTTTCTTATTCCTCCCAAGTCGGATTCTCATGGTGACGTCAGTCTGTTTTTTGAAGTATTATAACCTTTTAAACAGATCATCCTTCAAATTCATGTTCAAAAGCAAATATCAAAGCGTATTCTAAAACCAGATGTAAATTAATTTTAGATTGGCTGCCATCGTAGATGATTCATATCACTGCTCCCCTCATCATCACAGATAATTCTTTCATGCTTCTCAAAGGGACTAGGAGCTCTACCTCAATGGGTATTTCGGAAATAAATGACTCAATTTTGAAGTTTCCCAGGGAGATTTTTATGTATCTTGAAATCTCAAAAAAAAACATGTCTCACTACAAAGATTAGGAATGCCAAGGAAGGTGAACGCCAATCCTGTTAACCAGACGCTCCCTCATTACTATACCTTGTATACAGGAGCTCTCCCATGAGACCACATTGTGTCCACAACCATTGCCTGATGCACTCAGCAAGTCAATACACCAAGGGGTTGGCTGGGCGTGGTGGCTCACGCCTGTAATCCCAGCACTTTGGGAGGCCGAGGCAGGTAGATCACCTGAGGTCAGGAGTTCGAGACCAGCCTGGCCAACATGGTGAAACCTCATCTCTACTAAAACTACAAAAATTAGCTGGGCGGGGTGGTGGGCACCTGTAATCCTAGCTACTTGGGAGGCTGAGGCAGGAGAATCACTTGAACCCAGGAGGTGGAGGTTGCGGTGAGCCGAGATCATGCCACTACACTCCAGCCTGGATGACAGAGACTCCGTCTCAAAAAAATAATAATAATAAAATAAAAAAAAAGAAAGACCGGGGTTGCAGCAGAGAAGGAGGTTTAGTCATAGGGTCACCTGATGAGGAGATGGGAAGAATCCTCAAATCCCTCCTTGAGGAATTTGGGGTTAGGGCTTTTAAGGGTTTTGGAGTGGGCTGAAGTGCGGAGTGAGGAGTTTGTTGATTGATTGAAAAGTGTAGGGTGAAGTCATTGACAGGGAGATAAGGAAGCTGTATTCTCAGGCAGATCCTGTTCCTTTGTGGGGGTTTTCAAACTGATTGCTGGACTTCAAAGTCTGAAAAACATCTTAGATGATCCTTAAACAAAAGTCTTATGATTCTAATGTCAGAGATCCTGGCTCTGTAGGAATGATGGGATACAAATGGTCAGACGTTTAGCAACCAGGAAGTGGGCTGAAGTGCAGCCTGATTCATGCTTAATTATAACTGTATTTCTGTCCAGAACCCAGCACGCAATTTTTGTCAACCATGTGGGGCGGTTTTAGCATTATGGTGTGGTCTTCAGAAGAGAAAGATCTGATTTCTTTTGTGACCTGACTTTCTGAGATCCTTCATTTTATGGGACTGTGGAGTCCTGTGTGTGACGTAGGACCAGAATTTGCTATTTGTTTTGGTGTTTCAACAATTGATGTTGTTATAAATCTCCCAGATGATTTTAATATTTTAACTGTTCAGTTTTACAATAAGAAGCATGACTGTAGGCAGAAACTAATTATGTATTTGAGAGTGGTGAGTTAATGAACATCCAAACAACTTCATAGAGCAGGAAGAATACATATTTCAAGTGGAGGGGAGAAAAAAAATCATTTTCCCTCTACCCTTCTAATTTCTGGGTTGGAACCACTATAACAAACCAACAGGGTAACAAAAGAAAAACAAGCAGAAGTTTGTTAACATGTATGCTTCATGTATACATAGGAGATACCCAGGGGAAAATGAGTAATTCTGAAAGAGGTGATCTAGAACTCCAGCTTCTAAAGCATTTTCAACTAAAAACAGAGAAGATTGTGGGCGAAGCCAGTTATGGGGAGGTGAACAGGACAAGTATGGTAAATAAGAGTAATGTTTGTTATGCAGATTTCAGTAGGTGCCTTCTCCATTGATAATAGTTTCCTCTGATTTAGTCATCCTTCTCTTTTGGTACGGAGAGGGAAACACTCTCACAAGTGGAGATTTCCTTTATAGATGTCAATTTCCCTCAAAAACTGGTATACTCTGTTTTCAGAGTTTCTCCTGTAGCTGCAGTTTCTCAAAATAATCCTTATGCTGTTGAGGCATATTTTGGGGTGGCATATGCTCTCCCACACAAGCAAGAGACATCTGTCTTCATCTGCTCCCAGAGTAACTGGTGCCAGGGAACCAAACACCAAAACTGCCATTAGTTTGGATATTATGGATTTGGTTTCTGGAAAAGTCCATTGTGATGCCAGCATGGTACAGGGGATTCCCTCTCGCCTTGTCCTAAGCCTGTCATCCTGCAGAACCCATCTTACAGTACTGTGAAGTTCCAGACCATACCAACCAACCCTCGCCAATAGGCATTTGTGGCAATAGGAAGAAAAAGCTGATGGAGGTCTCATCTGTATTTGTTTTCTCTCTCCTATCTCCTGCATCCTTACCAGGCAAAAGTAGAAGAAAAGATCCAAGAGGTCTTCAGTTCTTACAAGTTCAACCACCTTGTACCAAGGTAAGCTGTGGTTAGGAGTTTGAGGGGATCTGGGAGAACACCACCATGCAGCAGCCTTTCTTCTTTCCTCCTTGAGCGAATCTAACCACGGGGAGCATCTGCTGCAAGAATGGTGTTTCTTGTCCTTGTGGTTACCTGGATATGCTAAGACCCCCACTCCTCCCTCTGGTAGAATACTGTTTAGAGCGATTCTCCACTCGAGCTGAGCTGCCAGGTGTTACATGGGGATTCCCCTCAATGCCTCAATTCTGAGGTCTGAAGATGGAGAGAGGAATTCCAGGTTTTTGTTTAGTGGTGGCCTGCTGCTCTGGTCTTCAGATGAGAACTCTCAGGTTTTTCTTTTTCTTTCTTTTTCTTTTTTTTTTTGAGACAGCGTTTCGCTCTTGTTGCCCAGGCTGGGGTGCAGTGGCACAATCTCGGCTCTCTGGAACCTTCGCCTCATAGGTTCAAGTGATTCTCCTGCCTCAGCCTCTCAAGAAGCTGGGATTACAGGCACCCACCACCACACTCGGCTAATTTTTGTATTTTTAGTAGAGACAGGGTTTCACCGTGTTGGCCAGTCTTGTCTTAAACTCCTGACTTCAGGTGATCCACCCGCCTCAGCCTCCCAAAGTGCTGGGATTACAGGCGTGAGCCACTGTGCCCGGCCCAGATTTTTCTTTTTCATATTGTACTTTGAAACATTTAGAGTCCAGGGAGATGGCAAGGGATGGATTATTATTTGACTGGAAAAACATGGGAAGTTTGAGTTTCTCCATGCCTACTCCCTGTTGGTAATTGTGTTCCATATCCCAAGGATGAAATTTCAAACAAGAAATAGAATGCCTTTTGTTTTCCTTGGAGCTTAGCAAGTTGAAGTCTTCTAAGTCCTGTGAGGTCAGGTATTTTGAAAAGGGAATTATAGGAAAAAATTTATTATTTAATTTGAACCTTTATTTTCTCTTCCAGTGTTTTGTAATATGTCACACTAGAATTTCATAAGGTTATTTCATTCTTGTATTAGTACTTCTCATGCAGTCAGAGTCTTTTTTTGAAACCATTATTTGTTATATTTCCAGCCATCAGAATTGATCAGTAGCCTAAAACTGTGTGGTCACCATTTTATCTTAATGATGGAACACTTTCTCTTCCTTTCTTTTCTTTCTTTCTTTCTTTCTTTCTTTCTTTCTTTCTTTCTTTCTTTCTTTCTTTCTTTCTTTCTCTCTCTCTTTCTCTTTCTCTTTCTTTCTCTCCTCTCTCTTTCTCTCTCCCTCTCTCTTTCTGTCTCTGTCTTTCTCACTTTCTTTCCTTTCTGTCTGTCTTGTCTTGTCCTGTCCTGTCCGGTCCTGCCCTGCCCTGCCCTGTCTTGCCCTGTCTTGCTCTGTTGCCCAGGCTGGAGTGCAGTGCCCTGATCATAGCCCACAGCAGCCTTGAATTCCTGCGAATCCTTTCAGTGCAGCCTCCGCAGTAGCTGGGACTATGGGAACACATCACTATGCCTAGCTTATTTTATTTTTGTTTTTATTTTTTGTAGAGATGGGGGTCTCACTGTGTTGCTCAGGCTTGTCTTGAGCTCCTGGCCTCAAGCAGTCCTCCCAAAGTGCTGAGATTACAGCTGTGAGCCATGGCACCTGGCCGAGAGAACACTTTTCCTTGACATCTCTGAACAAAGTGTGGTTAGGTCACTGGCTGATTCACTCTGGCTGGGAAGTTGCAGGTCTGAAGTTCAGCCTTTCCTCCTTCATCATGTCTCTTGACTTCTTGAGATCTTCTAACAGACTAAATCCTAGCAAGTCAGTCTCTAGGTACTTCTGCTTACTGGAACATTATAAATAGGTCCAGCTTTGTTTGTTACCTTTGTGTCTTTTTTTTTTTTTTTTTGCCACCATTTCCTTAAGAAACTTTTTCTGATTAGCCATGGCAGAAAACAGTTGGAAAAGGCAAGTGTTCATAAGGAAAGACAGGTGGGAGGGTTAACTTCATCTTTGTTCCCTGGGGAAGGAAAGGAGGAAAAATATCAGCTTACTAGTATAGTCTTTCCCTTAACTGCTAAACCAAATCTCTGCATTAACCCAATGCTCTGACCTCAATAAAATGAATTATTCCTCTTGTCATGAGATACAGCTAGAGATTAGCAAATGACGCCATTTATTTAAATAGCTTGGGAGAACGAGCTCTCTTAAATGTAATGGTATCCTTGGCAGTTCGCTGCCCCTAGGCACAAGCTGGTTCAAGCTTAGCCTCCCCAGAGGGGACAAGACTTCATAATGGTGAGGGTGTGGGTGATTGCTTTTGGAGGGGCTTTGTTGTTGTGGTTGTACCCCCGATGACTCACCCGATCGGGCTGAGTCACTGTCCACTGCCTGGGCTCTGGGGACACACAGCCTCTGTTTCTCACATGAACCTTTGATTATTTGACATTCCCTTTTCACTTACCATCAGGATAGAGCCCTTGGTCTCTTTCATTCCTTTTTTAAAATTTGTTTTTCCTTAGCTCATGAGCTGAAGAAAGACTTTTATTCACACTGAGATATGAGGGAAAATGGGAGGTTATAGTCTGGGAGGAAGCAGTTGTTTTTTGAGAGTGGTGGTAGATGATATTAAAGGAGTGAAATCCCCTGATTCATAGCTGGTAGGTCAAGTATGGGTGGGAAAAAAAAAGTGTTCCTCCTGGGCTCGGATCCTTGTGGAAATAGAATATATCAGGGCTCTGGGTTAGTTTCAGGAATTTCACAATTACCCGTTTTTATCATTGTTGCCTATGAAATTGAGTGTTTTAAAGGATGCTAATTAATATTGGAGATACTATACATTTTGGCTGAATGGCTGAGTATATAATTCAACATATCAATATAAGGCTGAAGGCAAACATCACCATCATAGAATAAGCGAGGATATAAGAATAAATTAGAAAATTTATCAGAATTTTAAATCATTATCACAGTCTCAATATTTAACATATTAATAGTCAAAATTTAAAAGTCTGACACTTTAATACAGGAAGTAACCTTCACTGTTAGCTGAAGTGCATGGTTAGCTGTTAGCAGTAAATCTAGATGGCAGGGCTTGTTTGTGTGTCTGAGGTCATGATGCTGATCAAATGGGACAGACTCACACACATGCCCAGGACCACAGACCACGCACAGGTCCAGGGATGCCTGTGATGATGCTGAAGTAGGCATTTGCCTATTCAGTGTTCCAGGGCCAAAGCTGAATAGCAGACTGGGCTGAAAGTCAAGCCTGGAGCTGAATGTCAGTACATTCTATACTTAATCCCCTTCCCAGAAATGATTTTCTTCTCTAAGGTTGGGACTGTCTACCTGGAGTGAGGTAGTCAGTCCCAAGGAGCTTTTTGACCATGCTTTTCATGGTTTTGTTTATTCATGTCTGCTTTCCCATGAAAATTCATTTTTTCTTCCCTGTGGGTATTGTCACGGTTTCACACCCTTTTGAATGTACCCTTTTGCATTTATCACCTTGGCTTTAATAAGAAACCTGAAATGCATAAACTACACAGATACCTCGCTCACATGTAGTTTTTAAATTTGTTTTCTCCTGGGCAAGGAGACGGGTGCTCCTCAGAAGTGAGAAATATTGATAATGTCCCTGTGCTAATAGAGCCCTGGAGGTTAAGTGCTGACAATGGCTCTGAAGCCAGAATACTCTGAGTTAAAGTCCTCAAAGCAGGTCTCTCACAGGCACCAGCTTAGCTCCCGTGTTTTCTACTATTCCTGTATGTGATACAATTTTAGAATTTCCCAGATCCTGAGCAGGTAGAGGATGTATTCCCTTCTTACTGTTGTTCTTTCCAAGGTCTCACAAATAAGTTCACCTTTCCTCGATTGCTTTATTGCTTACATGCCAGGTGCTTATTTTTTGACTAGAGAGGCCCCTGGCTTTAGTGAGTTTAGAAAGTCCCCAGGAACCAGCAATGGACTGAATCCCCTGTCCTCTCATCTGTCACAATCAAATGCATGTTTTCCAGGATGGCCCAGGTTTGGGGGGAGGAAGTGGCTTTGCTCTCATTCCATTCTGCTGCCTTTGTGTGATCCTCTCTTTCAGCAGCAGTATCTAGAGAGTCTCCAAAGGACAGGACACTCTGCTGGGCTCAGGGAAGCCAGAGTGAGCAAGGCTAGCCCTGGGCCTGCCCCTGCTGGGCTCTTGGTCTAGTGGGGGAGGTGGACATTAAACAAATGAACACAAATATACAGTTACCGATGGGATAATTTGAGAGAGAGAATCACTGGGAGAATCTAATTTGGATTGGGAAGTTAGGGAAGGCTTCTTACAGAAAGTGACATTTAAGCTGAATCTGTAGGTGGAATAGGGGTGGCTAACTTAAAGGATGGGGAGAGTGTTCCAGGCAGAGGGAACAGCATGTGCTAAAGCCAGGAGACTGAAAGGAGCGGAGCTCAAAGAAGGCAGCATGACCAGAGCTCAGGGGCGGAGATGAGGTTGGAGAGTAGTGTGGGTGGAGGCACATTGTGAAGAGTCTGGAAGCCCAGTGGGCTCACCCCTCATAAGAAATTCTATTTAAATCATTACCCAGTACACATAGATGTGTAAGTTCCTTCTCAGACAGTGGAAACCTGACTTCCCATAGCCTTAATAGATTTACCCACTTGCTCTCCTGTCACCCTCTGCACAGTGAGACGGGGGCCCTCCTCATCCACTTGAGCTGACAGCCTGCATCCCACCCTGCACCCCCTCAAGTCCTGCACGAAACCTGTCTTATTCTGCTCCATGTAATTGAATGGTTTTGGGGCTGAATTGTTCAGGTAAAAATAGGAAGAGCTCTACCTTTTCTTTCTTAACTTCCTACACAGAAAAGATTTTTGGATAGAGGTGAGTTGAGAATGAAGGACCGGTGAGGGTATTAGTCAGCTTGGGCTGCCATAAGACGGTATCACAGATGGGGTGCATTAAACCACAGAGATTTATTTTTTCACATTTCTGGAGGCCAGAAGTCTAAGACCAAGGTGTCAGCAGGCTTGGTTTCTCCTGAGGCTGCTGACTGGCTTCACCAACATGTTATATTTCTTAATTTCACTGGCGCTTCACTAACTGCCTTATAATCCTTTTATTCGTCTCATGTAGATTCCCTAACACACCCACCACCGTGGCCACTCCACAGCTCTCCCACCATCTTGACTCCTAGTTCCTGAGAAAATCGAGGCTGACCCACCTGACTTTCCTGTTTCCTTCTTCCCACATCAGAGACCTATATTTCGCTAGCTTCGTACCCATCATTTCTCGCTCAAAGAATGCAGCATCCTTCCTTATTCCAGGCTCACCTCTCCTACTATACCCTCATCCCAGCCCTCCTCCATCCTCTTTACAGACCTTCCCTATGGATTTCCTCTGAGCTTTTGCATTTCTAATGTGGAATTTCTCTGCTTACTGCCTTGTACTTTTGATCCAGCTGAACTAAACTAACTCAAATGTGTCATGGTGTTTTCTTCATTTTGCCTGCTTAACTCATGTCTTTCCAGCCTTAAACTCAATGCTCTTCCCTTTGGGAAGAGTTTTCTGACCCTCCATCTCTTCCCGTGGCTGATCACAGCGTTTATTGGACAGGGCTCTGCTTGTCATTTTCACATGTGTGTCCACCTCTGGACTGTCGCTCTAGGGTACAGAGCAGCCTCTACCCCAGTGCTGGACAACACTCTGCCCACACAGATGGGTGCTCCCTGCGTCCTGAGTGGACTTTCCTGAAAGAGAAACTGAGTCTGGCCTTCTCTTGTTTACAATTTGCCTTCACCTCTGCTCTGAATGCTCTTGGAGGTCTCTAGCCCTTCTGTGGTTTGTTGTCTTTTCCCCTCAGTCTTGCTGCAGCATCTGCCACTGTTAAACACCTTCCTGAAATTCTCTCCTCCCTGATGGCCTGTGACATGACACTTCCTTTGCTCTTCCCTAGCATATGTAAACTCTCCTGTTTCTCTCCTTCACTGGCTCCTCCAAACCCTTAGAGATGGGTCTTCCCACAGTTTTGTTTCCAAACTTCTCTCTCTGCCCTCTCACCTTCTGTGGCTTCACCTGTCACTTGTGTGCAGACAAATGCTTCGTAGTCTGTGTGTGTAACCTGAATCCCTCTCCTGAGCCTCACGTGTGTGTCCAGCAGCCTGATTGACATCATCACCTGAATGCAGTCCCAGCATCCTAAGACCCACACATCCAAAAGTCAGCTGATCACGGGTCACACACTAGTTCGGGCCCTAAGTAGCCCCAACTGGGTCAGCTCCTCAGAGCTTCTAACCCTGTCTCCCCACCCCATCTGTCTGCCCACTGCGATATTTTCAGATACTTCAGTTTGTAAACACATACTGACTACCTACTGTTTCTCCAAAGCACAGTTCTGATCATTTCTTTCCTCATCTCAAAAACCTTCAGGACTTCCCTTTGCCTAGTAAATTGAGTAGAAATGCCTTAGTCAGCATCCCAGATCCTTGTTTTTTTGTTTGTTTGTTTGTTTTTAAACTGGGGCAGTACTCCTGCTTTCCTCCCATTCCTCTTTCATCCCTGTATTGAGGTCAGATTCTCCCACCTGTCACTCCTCTTGTACACTTGATACCTGTGCAGCATAGTAGAGTAGCCATTAGCCACCTGCAGCTATTTAAACTTGAATTAAAATTGAATTAAAATTTTCTCCTTCTGCCAGGGCCACTCATCGCACATTCCTCCTTTTTCACACAAACTTTCCTGATCATTCCTTTCTTCATGAGATATCCCCTCCCTTTTGAGCCTCAGTAGTATGTTTTTCCCTTGCAAAACCTACCCATTCTTTCCTTGTAGCCATTGATATACTTACCTCATTTCTGAATTGGAAGAGTTTTTGAGGTAAAGACTACATGAAGGGCTGGGTGCGGTGGCTCACGCCTGTAATCCCAGCATTTTGGGAGGCCAAGGCAGGGGATTACCTGAGGTCAGGAGTTCAAGACCAGCCTGGGCAACATGGTGAAACCCCCGTCTCCACTAAAAATACAAAAATTAGCTGGGTGTGGTGGCACGTGCCTGTAATCCCAGCTACTCAGGTGGCTGAGGCAGGAGAATAGCTTGAACCCAAGAGGTGGAGGTTGCAGTAAGCTGAAATCACACCACTGCACTCCAGCCTGGGTGACAGAGCGAGACTCCGTCTCAGGAAAAAAAAAAAAAAAAAAAAAGACTGCATGAAGGCTCTTACTCTGAGCCAAGTACAGTGGGAATTTGATAAACAATTGTGGAATTGACTACCTAGCAAAGGGAATGGTTCTCTTTCCTTTGTTTCTGTAATCTGCAAGCACGGGGAACATCTTGACAATCTGTGCTTTTTGTTTCCTTCCCTAGTCACACAGGCTCTTCTGCCAGACCAAGAAAGAAGTGCAGCCTCTGTGCTTTGCCCGGCCTGTGCAGGTGGCCATGGGCGGCACATTCCATCTTAAAGCCAGTATTGCTGACTTGAAAGCCAAGGACAGCGACTGGCTGCAGAACACGGTCCTCTGGCCAGGGCTGTGGGTCACACGTGGGAGGTGGAATTTCAGGGAGAGAATAATAGTTGGATAACCGAGAGGCAGGCAGGGAGTAAATTATGGGCCTTGGAGAAGTCATCCCAGACGGGGTGACTGAAATGACAGCGGCTGAGGCAGGGAAGTGGCGAGGCTCAGATTTAAATTGCTTATAGGATGGGGAGGCACAAAGATATCTGTTCTTAGATGCTGGAGGAAGTTTCTGGGTGGACTGTCATTGCCTGGCTGCGTGTGCTCATTGCGGCTTTTCCGTTAGCCCAAAGTCACTGCCTTTAGGAGACAATCGCACTCTAAATGTCAGCTGGCATGGTTTTCAGATGCTTTAGAGACATTCAGACAAGAGCTTCTTTTCTCTGGTTTAGTTGCTCTTTGGAACCAGAGAAGTTGCTGGTTATCCAGTCAGTGATTGCAGGGGGACGTCCTGAAGCTGAGTGTTTACCCGTGTGTGTGTACGTGCACATACGTGTGTATGGTGGAAGCATAAGCTATTAGAATGGGCTTATAAACTGTTTGTCTTTCCAGGCTTGTTTTGCAGAGGGAGAAGCACTTCCATTATCTGAAAAGAGGCCTTCGACAACTGACAGATGCCTATGAGGTAAACACATTACCCAGGAACTCTTGCTGTCAAATTATCCACCAAATCCTCCTCCTTTTTCTATTTAAACGTAAAAGACTGTTGGGGCTGACCTGTTGCAGAGTCACTCTTTGTTCTCTGTGGCTCTGGCAGGAGGTAGGGTGCTGTCACAGAGCTGGGACTCAGCCCTGAAAGGGCAGAACCTAGTCTCTTCCAGAGTGAGTGGAGCACCCTAGATAGGATGGGGCTTTCTTCTGTTACTAGATGATGACTAAGGGGTTCACGTGCTTTATCTAGACCTCCTTGACAGCTGGCTAAATGCCAGTTACCTGTTCACCCTTAACCCTTTGCCCTATAAGCTGATCTAATTTCTCGCTCATTTATTGAGGACTATTGTCCAAACCTGTTAAGTCTGTATCGTGATGGTTACAAATTTTCCAACTTCACCACTCCTTCTAGTAAGTACATTACTTTTCATATCTTCATTAAAGAGACAAAAAACCCTTTCTTGTAATAAGATCTAATTTCTATACTGACTAGAGGACCAGTATAGAGAGTGGTCCTTGCAATTTAACATTACTGTTTAAGAGTAGATCTTTAATATTTCCCAGAGCAACGTCAGGACTGGGTGACGGTGGAGGGGACAGATGTTGGATGGGACTGAGCGGCAGGCAAAGGGTGAATGTGAACAGGAAGTCTCCAGTCTTTCTGCCCTGCTTAACACAGAGCAGCATCTCTATTTTTAATCTGCTTTTTATTTGGGTTCCACATTTGATTATTTGTGGCAATGATTTGCCAACTCAAATGCCTGTAGGGCCCAGGCAGGCAGCATAAATCAGTGAAGTGGGCTGCATGGAGACTGAGGCTAACTGGAGACCCTGTGCCCTTAACTTCTTTCCTGCCCATTACTGCCATCTGGGAATGCAGACCCAGGGTTGCCAAATCATCTTTGTTTCCTTTTTTTTTTTTCTTCCTCCAAATGAAGCCGGAAATCACGTTTTCATGTGACTCTCCTGACAAATGTTGCAGCTACTACCAGTTAAACAATACACATCCATGGGCTAGATTTGGCCTGTGGGCTATGAATTTTCAATCCTTGACTCAAGTCCTCAATAGTTATGTTACAGTTGGTACCATATCAGCTAACAATTTATTGAACAGTGTGCTGAAAGCTTACCATGCATTCTCTCATAATTTATGAGATGGAGTCTCGCTGTATTTCCCAGGCTGGAGTGCAGTGGCATGATCGTGAGTCACTGCAACCTCCGCCTCAGGTTCAAGCGATTCTCTTGCCTCAGCCTTCTGAGTGGCCAGGATTACAGGTGTGCACCATCACGCCTGGCTAATTTTTGTATTTTTAGTAGAGACAGGGTTTCACCATATTGGCCAGGCTGGTCTCGAGCTCCTGACCTCAAGTGATCCACCTGCCTCAGCCTCCTGAGGCTCTGGGGTTACAGGCGTGAGCTACTGCGCCCAGTTGCATTCTCTTATTTAAATCTTGTAACTACATGAGGTAGATCAATCTCTTGTTTTTTGCAGATAATGAAATGGGCATAGTAAAATTAAGTCATTTGCTCAAAGGCACATAGCGAGTAAGATGAGGAGCTGGGATTCAAACTTAAGCTGCATCCCTGGCAGTGTCTTCAGTAGCTCACCAGCCTACCTTCCAGGTGGTGGGTTAGCCACAGCTTGGGATATCAGCATAGTTTTGAAGAGAGCAGCTTGGGCCAACGGAAAGAACACTGGATTGACTCTAAAAACCTAGGTTCTTGTCTCACCTCTGACATTTGCTATTTTTATAATCTGAAAAAGGTTAATCTTTGGACCTCATTTATATATTTTAATTTATAAAACTGGGGCAGTACTCCTACCTACCCTGCCTAGCCTTGAATGCTCAATAATCATTTATGGTTTAATTAGGATCAAGAGCCGTCTGCATTTTGCCTTTGGAAGCCTTTCCTAGCTCCCCAGGCAGAATTAGTCAGTCTCTTCCACGTGCTCCCTCAAAACTCTGTTTTCGTCCATTACAGCATTTCTCCAGGTATATGTACACGTGTTGGTTCCAGAAAGACATGAGGTAACTTATATGTCTGTCCAGTGCTCTCTTCCCCTACAGGTAACCACACACATTCTATATCCCAAGCATCTCAAGAACAGAAACCAGTTCAGGCATGGTGGCTAATGCCTGTAATCTCAGCACTTTGGGAGGCTCAGGCAGGTGAATTGCTTCAGCCCAGGAGTTCAAGACCAGCCTGGGCAACATAGTGGGATGCTGTCTCTATAAAAACTTAAAAAATTAGCCAGGCATAGTGGTGTGTGCCCGTAGTCCCAGCTACTTAGGAGGCTGAGGTGGGAGGATTGCTTGAGCCCGGGAGGTTGAGGCTGCAGTGAGCTGAGATCATACCACTGCACTCTAGCCTGGGTGACAGAGCGAGACCCTGTCTCAAAAAAATAAACGGTAGAAACCAAATTTTATTATCATCCCCCCAGTGTCTAATACAGTGCTTGGCACAAGTAGATACTATCAAATATTTGTTGAATCAGTGATTGAGTTAAGCTAGGAAATCTCTTCAGAGAATGTATATCTCCTTGGTTCTATACCGAGAAAATAGCAGCCCCTAACCTCCTGGCCTGTAGGAAGTCCTCTGCTCAGCCTTCCTTAGATGCCTGCCAGGGAGGGATCCACTGGGTTCAGGGTCATCTTTTTTTTAATCCTGTTGTCTTTTTTTTCTTTTCTTTCTTTTTTTTTTTTGAGACGGAGTCTTGCTCTGTCGCCTAGGCTGGAGTGCAGTGGTGCCATCTCGGCTCACTGCAACCTCTGCCTCCCGGGTTCAAGTGATTCTCCTGCTTCGGCCTCCCAAGTCGCTGGGATTACAGGCGCACATCACTATGCCCAGCTAATTTTTGTAATTTTAATAGAGACAGGGTTTCGCCATGTTGGCCAGGCTGGTCTTGAACTCCTGACCTTAAATGATCCACCCACCTTGGCCTCCCAAAGTGCTGGGATTACAGGCATGAACCACCGCGCCCAGCCTTGTTATCTTTTTTTTTTTTTTTTTTTTTTTTAACAGATGGTCATTTCAGCTCCTGGCTAAGGCCACAAAGCAAAGTGTCCTTTATTCACTGATTGTTGTTTGAGCAAGGGTGCCCTCCTCCCCCTTGCCAGGCTGCTGGGAGTGAGACAGATACAGCCTTGGCAGCAGTGTCTTGGAGTGATTGTGAATAAGGGATGTTTTCTCTCCTGTCTCTCTCCCAGTGTCTGGATGCCAGCCGCCCATGGCTCTGCTATTGGATCCTGCACAGCTTGGAACTGCTAGATGAACCCATCCCCCAGATAGTGGCTACAGAGTGAGTCTGTCTTTGGGAAATCTGGGGTGTTCTCTGAAATTGTATTTTGAGTTTGGGATTTTGTTTTGTTTCTGTTTTGTTTGTTTGGAATGGAAAAAAACAGTGCCACAAAGAAATCTTTGCTCTTCTCATGACCTCCGGCAACTTCCTGAAACTCCTCCACTTTAGAAAACTAATGTAAGCTGGTGGGTAGAACAAGACTTTGAACTTCCAAGAGAAGGATTCTGGTTTCTTCTGTGGCCTTTTCTTTTGGCTCTTGACTCTGGTCTTTGAGAAAAGTCTTAATCATCAACTCTGAGAGACAAGATTTTGCCAGAAAGTACAGTATGCATTTGAACAGCTTCTGTGGGGAAGCACGTGCCAGTCCAGTGAACAAAAATGCCTTTGCCTTTCCTACGCACCTCTATAGAAGTACCTCCCCGCTCCCGGTGCTTGGAGCGACCATGTAGCTCTTGATGGGACTGGATGTGTTACTGGTGTGGCATACAAATGCCATGACTCTCAGTTTTCCTAAACCTGATCGATGATTAGAGATCTAAGCAACTGAGCTTCTTCCCAAGATCCTTGTACAGATGGCATTCGTGATCTGGCATCTCATTCCCAGACACTCATCACCATTTATATATTAAAGAAGAAAAGACTGATCATGACTCCAGTCCTAGGGATACCTGGAATAAGAAAGGGCAGCCAGGAATTGGATCCAAGAGATCCACTGAGAGGCAGCATGGGCTCTAGGCAGCATCTCGAATTTCTCAGCTTCCTCTGGTGCTCTTGAGGTCGAAGCATCTGGGATGAGAGACTTCTGAGCCAGGTTTGTTTCTCCACAGCACAAGGAGGCAGCTGTGCTGGGACACACAGAGGCCTAGCCGGGGCCCCTCTCTGGTCACAGAGCCCCTGCCTCAGTCACATTGTCAGGTCAGAGGAACAGAACTGCACATTGTCTCATTCATTCTGTCTTAACAATAACCTCTCATTCTTGCCTTCCTGGGCAGGGTGTCTTGTGATGAATGTGGATGGGGAAGATAATAAAGAATTAGGCCATTAACCCTTGTGGTACGTAGGATGCTTTCTGAGGGAGAGGCAAGTGCATTGTTTTGATCATCGGGATGCCACTGCAAGCCTGGCTGCTTCCAGCACTGGAAGGAGAGTTGGACACAGTTTCTGCAGTAACAGGAATTTAATTGTCAAAGAAAGGCCCACGTGGTTTTTTTTTTTTTTTTTTTTGAGACAGAGTTTCACTCTGTCACCCAGGCTGGGGTGCAGTGGCACAGTCTCAGCTCACTGCTGCCTCTGCTTCCCGGGTTCAAGCGATTCTCCTGCCTCAGCCTCCTGAGTAGCTGGGATTACAGGCACCCACCACCGTGCCTGGCTAATTTTTGTATTTTTAGTAGAGGTAGGCTTTCACCATATTGACCAGGCTGGTCTTGAACTCCTGACCTCAGCTGATCTACCTGCCTCGGCCTCCCAAAGTGCTGGGATAACAGGTGTGAGCCACCACATCCAGCCTCGTGTGTTTTTGAAATACCAGCTCGGGGGCCTGGGGATTGTTTGGGAAGTTTTCCCTTCACTCCTACACAATCAGGATATTTGGAAAGTTTTCCCTTCACTCTTGCACAATGGGAAAGTTGGGTGTGAGAGAAGAAAGAAAAAATGGGGATTTCTGTGAGCCTGGATCTGAACGCTGGATGGAGGAGGCCGCAGACCCATGAAAAACTGGAAGAGAGAATCACAGGGGGTGCCTGAGGTGGAAGAACTCGAGCCAAAATCGACTGAGTTTTTTTCTAGGCTGTGTACTTGGTGTTTTATAGTGAAGGCTTTTCTGAGGAAGTGTCAGCGCCGCTTCTGGGGCAATGTCACATAGGAAGAGAGGAGCCTTTAAAGGGCCTTTCATTGGAAGCAATCTAAATTAAATATCAACAGTAGAGAATGTTTAAAAAAAATTTTTTTTAAATGTAAAGCTGGGTGTGGTGGCTCACGCCTGTAATCCCAAGCACTTTGGGAGGTTGAGGTGGGTGGATCACTTGAGGTCAGGAGTTTGAGACCAGCCTGGCCAACATGGTGAAACCCCATCTCTACTAAAATACAAAAATTAGCTGGGCATGGTGGTGCATGCCTGTCATCCCAGCTACTCGGGAGGCTGAGGCAGGAGAATCGCTTGAACCTAGGAGGCGGAGGTTGCAGTGAGTCGAGATTGCGCCTTTGCACTCCAGTCCGGGCAACAGAGTGACACTCCATCTCAAAAAAATAAATAAATAAAATACATAAATTTAAAAAATAAAACATAAGTCATTTATGGTGCAGTACATTCTGTGAAATACTATATAACCATTAAAAAATGTATAAATGTGGCCACGCATGATCACACCTGTAACCCCAGCACTTTGGGAGGCCACGGTCAGAGGACCACTGGGGCCCAGGAATTCAAGACCAGTCTGGGCGACATAGTGAGACTCCATTTCAAAAATAAAAATAAAAATAGCTGGGCGTGGTGGTGCACACTTCTAGTTCTAGCTGCTCAGGAGGCCGAGACAGGAGTTCAGGGGTTTGAGGCTGCAGTGAGCCATGATGGCACCACTGCATTCCAGCCTGGGCAACAGAGCAAGACCCTGTCTCAATAAATATATGAATGTGTATATTTGTATGTTAAAATATATGTATTTATATAGAGAGATGTGAAATGAAAATAGTTTAAAAGATTTAATTTACATACATTAAAAATATAGATGATGATATGCATAGATAGAACCAGAAAGATACATGTAGTAGTTATTTCTGGACGATGGGGTTAAAAGTGATTTTATAAACTTTCTGGGCTGGGCACGGTGTCTCACACCTGTAATCCCAGGGCTTGGGGAGGCCAAGGTCGGCAGATCACCTGAGATCAAGAGTTCGAGACCAGCCTGGCCAACATGGGGAAATCTTGTCTCTACTAAAAATATAAAAATTAGCCTGGCTTGGTGGTGTATGCCTGTAATCCCAGCTACTCGGGAGACTAAGGCAGGAGAATTGCTTGAATCTGGGAGGTGGACGTTGCGACGAGCCAAGATCATGCCACTCTACTCCAGCCTGGAGGACAGAGTGAGACTCTGTCTTAAAAAAAAAAAAAAAAAAAGGCCAGGCGCGGTGGCTCACACCTGTAATCCCAGCACTTTGGGAGAACGAAGTGGGTGGATCACCTGAGGTCGGGAGTTTGAGACCAGCCTGGCCAACATGGAGAAACCCCGTCTCTACTAAAAATACAAAATTAGCCAAGCGTGGTGGCGCATGCCTGTAATCCTACTCAGGAGGCTGTTTGTTTGTTTTTTGAGACAAGAGTCTCCTTCTGTTACTGCACTCCCGGCTCCTACTCAGGAGGCTGAGGCAGGAGACTCGCTTGAACCCGGGAGGCGGAGGTTGCGGTGAGCCAAGATTGCACCACTGCACTCCAGCCTGGGCAACAAGAGTGAAACTCCATCTCAAAAAAAGAAAAAGAAAAAGAAGAACTTTCTGGCTGGATGTAGTGGCTCATGGCTGTAATCCCAGGACTTTGAGAGGCTGAGACAGGCGGATTACTTGAGGTCAGGAGTTCGAGACCAGTCTGGCCAACATGGTGAAACCCTGTCTCTACTAAAAATACAAAAAATAGCCAGATGTGGTGGCTGGCACCTGTAATCCCAGCTACTCGGGAGACTGAAGCAGGAGAATTGCTTGAATCCGGGAGGCAGAGGTTGCAGTGAGCCGAGATCACACCACTGCACTCCAGCCTGGGTAACAGAAGGAGACTGTTGTCTCAAAAAACAAACAAACAAAACATTTTTTTTAAGCTTACTTGCATTTTCTGAAGTTTCTACAATGATCTTTTATTATTTTGTAATTAAAAAAGGAATGGTTTAAAAATAAGCTGATTTGTCCTTATTTCAAAAACCACTTGACAGTTAATGAGAGTTTCTGCTTCACAGATGCCTTAAAAGCTTTACCTGTGGTTCTTCTACGCATTGATTTAGTGAACTTTTAAACATTTCTTAGACTTCCCAATAATGTATTTTGCTTTGTGCCTAGGAGGTGGTTACTTCTAGGTGCAGAAAACACTTGTTATGAACAAAGCCTACTGGCTCTGACCCATAAGGAAATAGATTATTTTTAGTAAGATACAGATAAATCTTAAGGACTTCTATATAAATAGAAGATTTTTTTTAGACTAGCTGAAATAGAATATTGCCTTTTTATTTATCTTGCACAGGGAAATGAAATGCTTTGAAATGCGTTCAGTTTTCTTTCTTCATACAAATATATTAAGGTGACCTAGAGTCAAAAAGTCTAGCTCTGCAGTTTTATTATTTTCCTGCCTTCTTTTCCCCTGCATGTAACACACACGCCCCCTACACTTACACAAAGGTTTCTCTTTCCTATTTTGTTCACTGCTGTGCTTCTATTTGTTTAGGGAACAATATGATAAGCTGGGTTCCCTCTAGTGGACAAAATACTTTTGTCAGCTGCTATGACCGCTGACCAAAGCCAGCAAGGCGAGGTTGTTACTGCTGGTATCAGAGGTTTCAAGAATAATGTATTCATAGCCTGGAATGTTTTCTTTATTTTTGGTAGAGACAGTGCCTTGCTGTGTTGCCTGGGCTGGTCTCAATCTCCTGGGCTCAATTGATCCTCCTGCCTTAGCCTCCCAAAACACTGGGATTATAGGCGTGAGCCACCATGCCCAGTCCATAGGTAGGACTTCAGCTTGCCTCTTTTTTTTTTGAGAGTCTCGCTCTGTTGCCCAGACTGGAGTGCAGTGGCACGATCTTGGCTCACTGCAACCTCCACCTCCTGGGTTCAAGCAATTCTCCTGCCTCGGCCTCCCGAGTAGCTGGGACTACAGGCATACAGGCGGGAGCCACCACACCCGGCTAATTTTTGTATTTTTAGTAGAGATTGGGTTTTACCATGTTGGCCAAGTTGGTCTCGAACTCCTGACCTCAGGTGATCCACCTGCCTCAGCCTCCCAAAGTGCTGGGATTACAGGCATGAGCCACCGCGCCCGGCCTTTTTTTTTTTTTTTTGAGACGGAGTTTTGCTCTTGTTGCCAGGCTGTAGTGCAGTGGCATGATCTCAGCTCACTGCAACCTCCACCTCCCGGGTTCAAGTGATTCTCCTGCCTCAGCTTCCCAAGTAGCTAGGATTACAGGGGTGTGCCACCACGCCCAGCTAATTTTTGTATTTTGTAAAGACAGGCTTTCAACATGTTGGCCAGGCTGGTCTTGAACTCCTGACCTCAGGTGATACACCTGTCTTGGCTTCCCAAAGTGTTGGGATTACAGATGTGAGCCACCGCACCCGGCCTAGCTTCCCTCTTTTAAGAGGTTATATGCACACATTTATATGTGTTTATCTAAAATGAATTAATATTTTGGAACTAGACTAAGTACATTTGCTTTGCTTAATGGTTTTGGCACTGAAGGAAGCATCCTCTAATGAGAATCCCATTCTTTGTTACTGAAAGCAGCTTCAGTGAAACAGAGCAAAATAAAATTCACAGGGAGACCATCGCACTGTTAAAGTTATGTTTTTAGCTTCTGTAAGATTTAAAAATTGCCTTTAACTTAAAAACCATTTTAGGACATTTCAGCTTGTAAGATTTTTCCAAAGATAAATTCAAATTTTGCTATTTCAGTGTTTTATCCTTTCCCTTTCAAAAGGTTGTTAGTAGCTTATCCCCGGAATAGCCCCTTAAATATTTTTCCTTTTAATTTTTAAGTCTAGTTTGTATGTTTCCTTACCTTTCAGTGAGGACACCATATCTAGGCCTTTGTCTCCTGGGCATTTTTCCTGGCCAGGTGCTGTTGGCACCTGGTGGGTGCAGGTCAGAGGTGCTGCTAAATATCCTCTACAGGACGGTCCCTGCACCAAAGAATTACTGAGCCCCAGTGTCAACAGTTGAGAAACTCTGCTCTAAAGTAGCCAACTTTTTTTTCCTTTGAGGCAGTCTTGCTGTGTCCCCCAGGCTGGAGGGCACTGGTGCAATCTCAGCTCACTGCAACTTCCACCTTCCGGGTTCAAGCGATTCTCGTGCTTCAGCCTCCCAAGCAGCTGGGACTACGGGCGCATGCCACTATGCCTGGCTAATTTTTGTATTTTTAGTAGAGATGGGGTTTCACCATGTTGGCCAGGCTGGTCTCAAACTCCTGGCCTTAAGTGATCCGCCCACGTCGGCCTCCCAAAGTGCTAGGATTATAGGCGTGAGCCACTGCGCCCGGCCTATAGTAGCCAACTTTCGACCTGACCATTCTTCCAGAACAGCAGCCATCCAGAGACTTGCCGGTGCTTGATGAAGAGTCAAATAACACGTCTGACTCTGTGAGCAGCAGAGGCCACCCGGAATCAACAAGAGATGCTGCCCGTCTTCACCTGTCCATTGTCATATTCTACCTAGGGAAGGAGATTTCCTCTTCACTATATCAAGCTGAAGCTGTTTTAGTTAGTACGAGAACAAGCTTGATGTGATGCCAGCTCATGCATCTTGCATTTACATCCCCTCCTAAGCCGTTCTGCCCATGGATGACTGTTCCTATTTCCAAAGCTGTAATCTTTTTTTCTGTTTTTTTTTTTTTAAACCTGCCCAATTGTGCAGAACATAGCTATAATTTTTATAACTTATCCTAGGCCTTAAGTCTGTCTATGATAGCCTAGTCTAGTGCTGAAGTTTTTTATGTAACCTAAATACTTCTTGCTACAAATTAGTCTCAGTTTTTACCTACTAGAATGTTTATGTAATTATCCTTTGTATATTTGAGGTATTTTGCTGGGTAGCTTTCTCACTGTGATTGTCTGTAATATTAAGCTTTTTATATTATTTTAAAAATAGAGATAAGGTCTCGCTGTATTGCCTAAGCTGGTCTCAAACTCTTGGCCTTAAGTGATCCTCCTGCCTTGGCCTCCCAAAGTCTAGGGATTACAGGCACGAGCCACCACACCCAGCCAAATACTTAAAAAAAAAAAAAGTAGTCATTTTTACAACTCTCATGTGAATTCCCTTTGAGGTGGAAAATGGAGGCTAGAGCCAGATACAGTTCTGACTAATACTGCATTTATGATGCTTTTAACAAGCATTTTTATTGTTGTTCTTCACAACTCGTGGACCCTTATTACTGGTCTTTTCCTGCTATGTTCCTAGTCATTTCCCATATTCATGTGCCTTACCCATCCCCCACCCCTGCCATCTCTAAGCGTAATTCTTGCTATTTGTACCTGTTGCATTTGTTTTATTCTTATTGGTTTCTGATTTGTTTTGCTGCTCATTTTGTATTATATGCTTATTTACTGTACATGCCTTTGAATCCTTCATCCAAACTGATGACGGTGTTTAGAATCAACATTGATTAATTGATTGAGACAGGGTCTCACTCTATTGTCTGGGCTGGAATGCAGTGGCACAATCACAGCTCACTGCAACCTGGACTTCCCCAAGCTCAAGTGATCCTCCCACCTCAGCCTCCTGAGTAGCTGGGGCTAGAGGTGGGTGCCAACGTGCCTGGTTAATTTTTATAATTCTTGTAGAGATGGGGTTTTGCCATGTTGCCCAGGCTGGCCTTGAACTCCTGAGCTCAAGTGATCCCCCTCACCTCAGCCAAAGTGCTGGGATTACAGGCATGAGCCACCACGCCTGGCCAGAATCAATCACTTTAGATCAGTCCTCAGCCATCACCTAAGAGTCCCAAGTAAACTCCTTATAAGGCTGAGAGGCAATCGCTGATATCCCTGCTTTGAACTTGACCCTCTTACAAGATTTACATACTCTTTAATGATGGAATGATAAAAGTGGTGGTGTCCAGCAGAACTTTCTGTGATAATGAAAATGTTCTATATTCTGTAAATGTCTATAGGTGTCTATAAACATCTATACGTGTTCTATATTGGCCACTAGCCACAGTTAGTTGTGGAGTACTTGAAATGTGTCTTGTGTGACTGAAGAGCTGAATTTTCTATTTTAATTAATTGAGAATTTAAATTGCCTCATGTGGCTAGTGGCTGCCTATTGGACAGCACAGATGTATCTCATTGCTACTCAAAATGTGGTCCCCAGACCAGGAGCATTGCTATCACCTGGGAACTTATTAGAAATGAGGACTCTCAGCCGGGCATGGTGGCTCACGCCTGTAATCCTAGCACTTTGGGAGGCCAAGGCGGGCGGATTGTCTGAGCTCGGGAGTTCGAGACCAGCCTGGGCAACACAGTGAAACCCTGACTCTACTAAAAAATACAAAAATTAGCTGGGCGTGGCGGCATGCACCTGTAGTCCCAGCTACTCGGGAGGCTGAGGGAGGAGAATCACTTGAACCCAGGAGGCAGAGCTTGCAGTGAGCTGAGATCGCTCAACTGCACTCCAGCCTGGGCGACAGAGGGACACTCCATCTCCTAAAAAAAAAAAAAAAGAGGACTCTCAGACCCATCTAGTTCTACTGAATTAGAGCTGCAGTTTAGCAAGATCCACAGGTAATTTCTATGCAACTCAAGTTTGAGAAGCACTGATACCTGGCTGAACATTGGAATCACGTGGGGAGTTTAAAAAAAATACTGCCACCTGGGTCCCACCCATAGTGATTCCGGTTTAATTGGAATTAGGTGTGGCTTGGGTGTTGGGATTTTTTTAAAACACCCCCCAAGTAATTTTAGTTGTGCAGCAAGGACTAGTGATGGCTCAAGCTTTGCATGTATCTGAATCACCTGAGAATTTGGTAAAAATACAAAGGCCCAGGATCTTTTCCACCTCAGCAGGACTGGGTCTCTGTATTCTTTTATTAGCTTTCTACAGATTCTGATGCACACATTTTGGGTTTGAAGATCCATGATATAGAAGATAGTTTCCCACTTTGCTGGTAATTGGCACGTAAGCTAGAATGAAATGCCTTGCTGACGTTAAAGAAAATTGATGTATTGCAGCTTTCAGTCATATTCTAAAGGAATGATTTTGTGAATACTTGTTTTTCACAAAATGTGCCACTTGGTGTTTGTACAATGTTTTTTGCTTGTAATTTTTTATTTATTGGTGAACTTCTTGTCTCTATGATAAGTTTTTCTCCCCCTACATTTGTGGGAAAAAAAAATATTTTTTTGTAGAGCTGGGGTCTCACTGTGTTGCCCAGGCTGGTCTTGAACTACTGGCTTCAAGCAATCCTCCTGCCTTGGCCTCCCAAAGTACTGGAATTACAGGCACAAGCCACTATGCCTGGCTCCTTTTTTTTGTTTGTTTGTTTTTTTTAAATATGTAGAAGTATCATTAACATTTTGGTCTTCAGAATTGCTAAGAAGTCTGTGAATGACAGCTGGTAGTTCATAGTCAACTTGCCAATTCCTTAAGGTGCAAGTTGGAAAGCCTTGGGATCAGAATGTTCTGTAATACGGAAGTGTCTGAGATCAAGAGAAGCCCAACCTCCAGTTCTCTAGCACAGCCCCAGACAGTCAGATGCAGCATGTCAGCTGAGGGAGGTTGGCATGGAGGGATGGTATCAAGGTGTGTCTGGTACATTCAGATCCTAACTAATTCGAGGCTTTAGGGTCAGTAGTGTTGCGTTCGGCACGATTCTATCTTAGGAGCTGGGAAAGGGAGTGGATAACCAGGTGACTCTTTTTCTTTCTTTTAAAAAATGTGCTGTTAAGTTTTGTATCAGCTAAAACTTTTTGTGGTACAGAAACCTTTTGGTATGCTAGTGCAGCCAGCCTTTGTTAGGGCATGAGCTTATTAACTATTTGTTTCTGGGAAATGTCATAAGAATTGATGACGATTTGGAAAGAAGGAACAAATTCAAGTTCTCTACAGAAATTAATTGCTGTTAAAAATGTGTCACATGCTGGGCATGATGGCTCACACCTGTGACCTCAGCACTTTGGGAGTCCGAGGTGGGAGGATTGCTTGAGCCCAGGAGTTCAAGACTAGCCTGGGCAACATGGCGAAACCCCATCTTTATAAAAAATACAAAAACTAGCCAGGCGTGGTGGCTCATGCCTGTAATTCTAGCTACTTGGGAGGCTGAGGTGGGAGGATAGCTTGAGTCTGGGGAGGTTGAGGCTGCAGTGAGCCGTGATTATGCCGCTGTCCTGCAGCCTGGCCGACAGAGTAAGACCCTCTCTCAAAATCAAAAACAAAAACCATAGTGCCACATAATTGTTTTCAACTTCAGTTTCAATCCTTGTGTTTTCTACAGTAAAATTGTAGGTGCAAAAAGAAGTATGTGTTGTTTTAACCTGTGACGTTTCAGAACTCACAGAGCAAGGCAGCAGCGTTTGCTTTTGCTTTCTCTGCCCGGATAATGGGAACTCTGAAATCGAAAGCAATTAAATGTGATGTTGGCAAACAGTTATAAACTTGTGTCTTCTTGGAGAGTAGGCTATGTAGTCTTTCTGGCAGCAGTAGCAAGGAAATAATGAGGTGAAAGCGCCCAGGAAAGAAGGCCCCATGAACACTGCAAAGACAGTTTGCTTGTTGTAAATGGAGGTTTCTCCTGGCGGGAAGGCTGTGACCCTGCTGAGCTGTGGAGAAACAGCTTGATAACCAGGGCTTTCCTGGGGCACCCTTTCTGGTGCACTTCGGAAGACCCCGGACTGATGATAGGGCTCTCTTGATTTCACCTAAAGCAAGACTGTAACCTCTGGGCAGCCTGATGCCAGGCTTGGAGGCAAACCCTCAGAAAACAGCTCCCCTCAGTGAGGGAATGGGAGCCTGTTTGAATTAACGTGGAGAATTCTCCAAGAACCCGCAGACTGGGAGGCATTCTCACGGCGAGTCAGTGCAGCTCCTCTTATGTTTACCGCAATTAAGGTGAGCATGAGAGCAGCCTGCCTCTCTTCTGTTCTCCCAGCCATGGAAGCAGGCTCCATTAAAAATGTGTTTTTCAGCCGGATGCAGTGGCTCACACCTGTAATCCCAGCACTTGCAGAGGCTGCGGCGGGTGGATCACTTGAGGTCAGGTAGTTCAAGACCAGCCTGGCCAGCATGGTGAAACCTTGTCTGTACTGAAAATACAAAAAATTGGCTGGGCGTGATGGTGCACGCCTGTAATCCCAGCTACTTGGAAGGGTGAGGCAAAAGAATCTCTTGAACCTGGGAGACGGATGCTGCAATGAGCTGAGATCACACCACTGCACTGCAGCCTGGGCGACCGAGGGCAACCCCGCCTCAAAAAAAAAAACAAAAAAACAAAACTTGCTTCTTACTGGTGGAGTAGAAATCAGTGGCCCACAGAGGCTTAGGTGGCAATGGGAGTGAGAAGACCTCTATTTACATGTTCATGATAGGCCTAGGTGATGGATCCTGACTAGGATGGTTAGTGTGGAAAGAAGCAGTTGAGCACCATGTTTTGGCAAAATTCAAAGGCTGGGAGGTTCCCAAAGGCAAGGAGGAGGAGGCTGGTACCACAGGTCCAGGGCAGCAAGTTGAGTGGAAAGTCTGGGAAAGGTTTGTGTGGGAAGCACGGGAGACTCTTACCCCATAGCTACGAAAGTCGGTTTCTTCCCAGCCTTGTGTTCCCTGCTTCATGACCAACAAGCGCTTAAGTACGAAACTCAGAGGAGGGCAGACAGAAATGATGATAGCTGGAGAGAGAATTAAGCCCTTTGGGGAGAGGTTATATTCAACAAGTGGGAGGAGAGGTTCCCCTCAACTTTTGAGGGAGTGGGGGATCATTGGAAAGGCCTGGAATCTAGTGGGAATTTGGTGTTTTGACATGAATGCTCTCTGACTTTGTTTTTGCCCTTTGGCTGTGTACCTAGTGTGTGTCAGTTCCTGGAGCTGTGTCAGAGCCCAGAAGGTGGCTTTGGAGGAGGACCCGGTCAGTATCCACACCTTGCACCCACATATGCAGCAGTCAATGCATTGTGCATCATTGGCACCGAGGAGGCCTATGACATCATTAACAGGTACAGTGAAAGCCAGCAGTGACAGAAACCTAGAGGAGTTCCCCGCCTGCTGACACGCACTGACTGTTGCCTCTCCTACCTCTTTCCCTGTTTCTCAGAGAGAAGCTTCTTCAGTATTTGTACTCCCTGAAGCAACCTGACGGCTCCTTTCTCATGCATGTCGGAGGTGAGGTGGATGTGAGGTGAGTGGGGTTTTGCACAGGCTGCCACATCAGTTGACTCTAGAGCTCATCTGCCATTAGAGATGCCAAGCCTAAGGAACATCATGGGGAAGCTGCTGCTTTGTCCCAGAATGACACATGGGATGACATGTCAGTGACACGTCAGAATCATTCAGATGTGATGCAGATGTCCTCAGGTGTCATGATCACTTGACTTATTTTATGTAAATGTGAAAATATAAGAAACAAATGCTTTTGTTTTAGAAATTAAAAATACATTTGTTTGGTACAAAATGATATACCACAATATAAATAACTGTATGGTGTAATGTATTCCTTCACCTCTCTGAGATAGGAAGGGAGGGGAAAGTCCAGCAGGGCCTCAGTAAATACCTTCTGAGTGAATTTGATGAAATCATGAGAATGTCTAATCCCTGAGGTCCTCCTGAGGCACATGAGAGTTTTTCTGGGAGGTGCAGAGAGCCTTGTGGGCCGGGAGAGTGCAGTGCAATAAAATCGCATTAACTGATTGGTGCCAGTTAGCTCGAAATTATTATTTTCTTCCATAAGTGTCTGATGTACCAAGCAAGTTGCTTCCTCACCTGGCAGATTACTTATGAGGCATACAGGGAATTCATTGAATAAGCCATTTCTCTAAGACAGTGGCTTATTGAGATTTTATGCCATTTTCTTATTATTTAGTTGAGAAATACATTTTGTGAGGTTTCTATAGCAAAGCTGTCTTACTGCCTATGTGTAAATGGGTTTGCTTCTACACAAGTTGATTAATAGTCTGGCTTAAGCATCTGGTTTAACCATTGGTTTGAAAGTATAGGGGAGGAAAAAACCACGAACATTGTGGAGCATAAAATACATTACAGATAATAGGTAATCAGGCTGCAAAGGCCTTTAGTTCAAGATGTTCTTCTATCTCTAACTTGTCTAATCCAACCAAAAAAATTAGATTAGGATCTGTGTATACCAGTGAAACCAGTAGAACGACTGAGGTAAATCAGTATGTGTTGATTCTTCTTAAGGAAAATGTTAAAAGAGTTTTTTTCCCTCGTGTTCACTACATTTTCGTTCCTGTTCTGTTGCTATTCCCCCAAAATATGCACAGTCTTGAAACGCAGCTTTTAAAAACCTACTAAGATTATTAGGCAAAAGCAAACAAATCATAGCAAGATCCTTTTGGTATTTTATCATATACCTTTTGCAGCTGTGATTATTTGCTATCTTATTCATTCCAGCACTTTTTTTTTCCCTATGCTCTTTATTTATATGTTCTAGATAAATGCTAGGAAACTTCTCCAGTAAGGCAGCTTGGTTCCCCTGCCAAGCACTGTAGCCATATTCTTCCCTGACCTTTGCTCTTTGGGTGATGCTCTGCCATTCGTGCCCGTGCTTTCTATTTACATAAAGGATTAAAGATATGAATGATAGAGAAAAGCTAGCAGATTGCATCCATTTTCCTTGCTTTGCCTGGTTTCTAGTACCCCGATTCCATCATTTTTCACTTGGCATTTCTTTCATTGTCCTTTGCCTGGAAGCATCAGCCAGTCCTCAGGAGTGCTTGTTTGGGTGGATTTGACTTGGAGAAAAGCAGCAGTGATGGGAGAGTTTGACATCTGGAGACTAGCTCGCTGCCCTTCTGGGATAGACAGCAGTCTCTGGATGATCTTTCTGCTCTGTTACACTGCTGATAGTTTCAGAGATGAGCCTACTCAAGGGTCTGTAGTTCCAGTGTATTGTAAAAAATCAAATCACAGTGAACTCATAGCAAGCACTATTTTTTCTCAGTTCTTAAGAAAGGAGACCTCCTTTCTAGGTTATATAATCTAGATCATTCTGTGAGGATAAGGTGGAGGCAGGGATCTAGCATTTGCAGAAGTTTGGTGAGAAAGCATGTGTTGCTCAAGAAAGGACAAGTTCAGTGTTGAAGTGTAGATGGCCTGGTGGGCAGGGGAGCAGTGGAGCTGGAGGGACAGGCTGGGAACAGGCTACAGAGGCCCTGAAATCTCCTATGGAGTCTGGAGTTTAGTGATGTGATCTGATTTGTATTTTCTTAGAAGTTTCCCAATTGCAGTGATGGACTGTAGTGTTCCAATAAAAGCCCTCTGGTTTCAGGGCTGGAGGGAGAGAGAGCAGGAAGACTGATCCAGGTTGAAGAAGGCTTGGATTTGGGTGATGGCAGCAAGGATGGAAAGTTAGTGGACAAATTCAAATTTGAGAGCTGCGATGACTGGGTGGAGGGAAAGGGGGAGAAATACATGAAAAGGTTGTATTACGTTTCCTCCCCATCTCAGCGTGAGACCTGGGACTCCTGTCTTCTGTCATCACTTCTTAGTCCTCACACTTGTGAGAGGCAAACTGTATTATAGGTCGCCTCCTACCTCACAAGTCACAATAGGATTCAAGAGCAAATGCATCTGAGCCTCTTTAAGAGGCCTACAATTGCAAGGAAATTAGACAGATCTTCAAAATTAGCTGCTGGTAGATGATCACATTTGGCATTGGCACTTGTGACTCTTGTGTGCTCCCAATGCCTGCTGGTGGAACTAAACTTCCACTGTGCCTTTGGCTGCTAAAAATGCTGGTAGGATCATAATGCATGCAGCTTCTGCAGAGACTTCTTTGGAATACCTCAGTAAGTCTGACTTCATGTTATATCTATACTGAGTAAGATGGAAACCAGGGCCGAGCGGCAGTGGCTCATGTCTGTAATCTCAACACTTTGAGAGACTGAGATGAGAGAATCACTTGAGGCCAGGAGTTCAAGACCAACCTGGGTAACACAGCAAGACCCTGTCTCTACAAAAAATTTTTAAAAAATTAGCCAGGTGTGGTGGCATGCATCTGTAGCCTCAGCTGCTTAGGAGGCTGAGGCAAGATCAGTTTGAGCCCAGGAGTTTGAGGTTGCAGTGAGCCATGATAGCGCCACTGCACTGCAGCCTGGGCAACAAAGTGAGATCCTATCTTAAAAAAAAAAAAGAAGATGGAAACTAGGCCCTTCTTTTATGTTTCTTAGGAGCCCTTAGGAATATACTTTTTGTTTGTTTTGTTTTGAGATGGAGTTTCTTTCTGTTGCCCAGGCAGGAGCGCAGTGGTGGGATCTTGGCTCACTGCAACCTCTGTCTCTGGGGTTCAAACGATTCTCCTGCCTCGGTCTCCCAAGTAGCTGGGATTACAGGCGTGTGCCACCATGCCCAGCTAATTTTTGTATTTTTAGTAGAGACGAGGTCTCACCATGTTGGCCAGGCTAGTCTCGAACTCCTGACCTCAAATAATCCACCTGCCTTAGCCTCCCAAAGTGCTGGGATTACAGGCATGAGCTACCATGCCTGGCCAGGAGAAGGATTTTTGAGCAGAATTCAAACCAATGATTTTTGTCTTCCCTGTGCCGGGTATTTGAAAAAACCATAGAGGGGAAGGAAAGGCAGTCTGTGTGTGTATACCATGACAGAGGGAGAAGCTGAAATAAAATGTGCCCCGAGAAGAATTAGGGCTGGGAGGATGGAACAGCAAGAATGATCCTAAATCAAGTATAATAATTTTTTGTGTTTGTTTTTTTTTTTGAGACAGAGTCTCACTCTGTTGCCCAAGCTGGAATGCAGTGGCATGATCTTGGCTCACTGCAACCCCCGCCTCCCGGGTTCAAGTGGTTCTCCTGCCTCAGCCTCCCAAGTAGTTGGGACTACGGGCACACGCCACCATGCCCAGCTAATTTTTGTGTTTTTAGTGGAGACGGGGTTTCGCAATATTGGTCAGGTTGGTCTTGAACTCCTGGCCTCGTGATCCACCTGCCTCAGCCTCCCAAAGTGCTGGGATTACAGGCATGAGCAACTGTGCCCAGCCTAATAATGCTTTTTTAAAAAATAGCCCGGGCGCGGTGGCTTATGCCTGTAATCCCAGCACTTTGGGAGGCCAAGGCAGGTGGATTGCTTGAGGTCAGGAGTTTGAAACCAGCCTAGCCAACATGGCGAAACCCCATCTCCACTAAAAATAGAAAAATAAGCCAGGCATGGTGGCATGCGCCTGTAATCCCAGCTACTTGGGAGGCTGATACAGGAGAATTGCTTGAACCCAGGAGGCGGAGGTTGCAGTGAGCTGAGATCATACCACTGCACTCTAGCCTGGGCGACAGAGTGAGACCCTGTCTCAATAAAAACCAAAACAAAAGCAAAACAAAAAATATAGACGTGCGCCTTTTTCATTTAACGTGTGTGTGTGTGTGTGTGTGTGTGTGTGTGTGTGTGTGTACTGGTGAGAGGTTTGAAATCAAGGCTCTTTTCTCCCTCTAGAGGTTTAAGGACTGTATTGGAGTGGACTCACCTGTTCCTATCCTTGTTTGATCTATTACAATTTGGTGGCCTGTTTTGCAGTTTATCTGTTGCAGAAAAAGTATAGTTAATCTTTAATGTGTCAAGGCTGTAAACAGAAATCCTGGCTCTGAAACAGTACTAACATCCAAATGAATGAGCATATCAGAAGTACCTGAATGATACCATAGATTTATGGCAACCATTATAGGTCTTTGAAAGAAGAGCTGAATCCACTTTTGACATGAATTGATATGGCTGTTATTTCCTCTGATGTAGATTGGACCATGTGGAGGTAGGGAGAATAGAATGTCATGTTCTTTCACTGAAGCCATGCCGTGAGCAACTCTATCCAAATAGAATGTCACACCTCTCAGTTGGAGACCCAGGAGGACTGACCGTGTGCCAAGAGTGAGGACAGGAGGTGATTACAGCTTACTAGGCAAGGCGAGCAGTCCGCCCGCGGAGTTCACTGAGCCTCATTAGCTCTTCCGTAGAGCTTAATGTGTTTCCCGTTTCTGTCTTTCCAGAAGCGCATACTGTGCTGCCTCCGTAGCCTCGCTGACCAACATCATCACTCCAGACCTCTTTGAGGGCACTGCTGAATGGATAGCAAGGTGAGAGAAGCCAGGGTTTCTCCTGGCCTCTTGGAGAGCAGGCGGTCACGACACTACTTCAGAAAAATAAAGAAAATGCAGAGGGACTTGGAAGGAAATACAAAAATCACAGGAGATCCATTAGGGTTATCTAATGATTTTTTTAAATACTTAAAATGTCTTCTTTTTTCCAAACTTTCTTTAATGTTATATTATATTTTAGATTGGCAAAGATAAAAAACTTTGGTAAACAATATTAGTGAGAGCCTGAATTGATTTAACCAGTTTTTAGAGCAATTTGACAGTATGTCAAAGGTGCCCTTGCGTAGGACCCAGTAATTCCACTCCCACAGAAACCCTTGCACACACGAATGGGAGAGAGGAGCACAGGACTTGTTTATAAGAGCCAAAAGCTGAAAGCAGATTCAGTGCTCATAAGCACGAGATGGGTAAGTGTGGTATAGTTGCATCGGAATATAATGTAGCAGTGAAAATGAATGAACTAGAGTTACATGTATCAATATGGAAAAATCTCTATGTTGAGTTGAAAGAATGAAAAGAAAAAAATACAAAAAAACCATACAGATTAGCACATTTACTTAAAATTTGAAACATGCAAGAGAATTCTGTATTGTTTCTGAGAAGAATCATGTGGTAATAATATAAAAACATGTATACGAAAGATAAACACCAAATTTAGCATAGTGATTCCCGCTGAGGGGAGAGCAAAGGAAATGAGATAAGTCTGCATAGGAGACTTCAGCTGTAATAGTTAACAACAACAAAGACCTGAAGTGTATATGGCTAATTCTAAGCTAGGTCTTAGATACGTGTATGTTCTATATTTTGTTTGCTGTACTTTCCTGGATGCTCCAAATATTTCATAGTTTAAAAAAAGCAGGCCAGGTGCGGTGGCTCACGCCTGTAATTCCAGCACTTTGGGAGGCCAGGGCAAGCGGATCATGAGGTCAGGAAATCGAGACCATCCTGGCTAACATGGTGACACCCCGTCTCTACTAAAAATACAAAAAATTAGCTGGGCATGGTGGCGGGCGCCTGTAGTCCCAGCTACTCGGGAAGCTGAGGCAGGAGAATGGAGTGAACCCAGGAGGCGGAGCTTGCAGTGAGCCGAGATCACGCCACTGCACTCCAGCCTGGGCGACAGGGCGAGACTCCATCTCAAAAAAAGAAGCAAAAGGTATAGTAGACACATATATACTATGATGGAATGATAGCCAAGCTGAGATACTGTTTTAGTTAAAAAAATTTTATTTTTATCAAAGTAGTATGTATTACCATATAAATATAATTTACAGTGATACCAGATGATATGCTGAGATCATGTTTACTTTTTTGTATGAGTTTCATTTTCCTGGAGTTAATGGATATATCATGAATGTACTTATGAATTCCTTCCCAAATTGTCTGTCAGAGCTATAAAAAATTACTCTAAACATAGTCAAACCCTTCAGGTAACCTGTCTCTGTGCACACGTGCGTTTTGAGTTGCCCCTTCTGGAGCCCTCTGCCCTCCTGCTTCAGTCTGGACAGATTGCTCTCAGCTTGCTACACAGCAGGCATCCCGAAGCTTCCTTTCAGCATGAAATTCACTTCATTTCTCTCCTTCGTTGAAGTCCCTGTCCTCCTTTTTCTTGGTTTTCTTATTTTCATGAAGTATTGTACTCCAACAGATCCCAAAAAAGGGTACCTGGGAGATACATTTTTAATATCTTGCATGTATCTGTGTTCTAATCTCACACTTAATTATTTGGTTAGAGATTTCTAACTTGGCAATGGTATAAACTGTAGTCTTTCTGAATTTTGTAAGCATTGCTTCATTATCTTCTGGCTTCCAATGTCATTGTTAATAAGGCTGATAATAGTAACCAGAGTTCATTGAGGACTGTCATGCTCAATGGTAAGGCAGCTATAGTTGAGAGCTGGAGAGTAGGCACTGCCTGTGTTTGGTTCTCTTTTATATTTTGTGTTTCTCAGCTGAGATTTTCCATCTTTTTATTCTTTATGAGTGCATTTTTCTTCATTTTGCTGTGGTAAGTATGGAATTATAATGTCTGCTTTAAATTGCTTGTCTGGGAATTTCCACATCTGTGTGTCCTGGAGTTGGCATGTCAGCTCCATGAGTCTTCCTGTGCTGAGTGATGTTGTGTTGTGTCCTAGACATTGTGATATGATGGTGGAGGTGTCATACAACAGAACGGTATGGATTCTGTTGGTTTGCCCCAAAAGGGGTTGATGTTTTCAGTTTAGCAGGCAGTCAACTTGGTCAGACTCAAGCTACAAACTGTCACTCATGCAGCAGCTCAGAGCTCAGTTCTTGCTTAGAAGTTGCTTTGTTTCCCCAGCACGTATGTGGAAACTTGAACTGAGTTTAAATGCAGAATTTGGGATTTTTCTTCTTTGACTTTCCTGTTTCTGGATTCGTCCTCAGTTTCTGGCAGCCTGCATCTTCCTGCCAGAAGGATGGTTGGCTTCCCATTAGAGTGTTGGCTGCCCGCCCTGACCCCTGACCCCTGGCCTGCTGCTGCCGCCCTGGGCTATGGCTGCCATCCTGAGGGCAAACCAGAGAGAAAAAGTTGTGGGGGAAGGGAGGGACTAACTGCATGCTGTTCTCTGTTCCAAGTTTCAAACTCCACCAAAATCTGCCTGCCCTTTTTCAGTCAGCTGAACCCTCAGGAAGCTGTTTTTTTGTATTTTGTTCAGTGTACAGCTGTCATTTGCAGGGGGGTTGACTGGTTAGGCACAGACTAGATACGGAACTCAGACAGCCTGGGTTTGAATCCCAGTTTTGCCCTTTCTTTCCTCTTCTCTTCCTTCTTTCTTCCTCTGTCTTTCAATTCTCTCTTTCTTTTTTTGAGACCGAGTCTTGCTCTGTTGCACGAGCTGGAGTGTAGTGGTGTGATCACAGCTCGCTGCAGCCACCACCTCCTGGGCTCAAGCAATCCTCCCATCTCAACCTCCTAAGTAGCTGGGACAACAAGCGCGTGCCACCATAACCAGCTAATGTTTAAAAAAAAAATTTGTAGAGATGGGATCTGTCTGTGTTGTCCAGGTGGGGCTTGAACTCCTGGGCTCAGGCTATCCACCCACCTTGACCTACCAAAGTTCAAGGATTACAGGCATGAGCCACTGCGCCCAGCTTTTTTTTTTTTTCTTTGAAGACACGGTCTTGCTTGTTGCCCTGGCTGGATTGCAGTGATATGATCACGGCTCACTGCAGCCTTGACCTCCTGGGCTCAAGCAGTCTTCCCACCTCAGCCTCCTGAGTAGCAGAGACCACAGGTGTGCACCACAACACCTAGCTAATTTTTAAAATGTCTTGTAAAGACAGAGTCTCACTGTGTTGCCCAGGCTGGTCTTGAACTCCTGGTTTCAAGCAATCTTCCTGCCTCAGCCCCACAAAGTGTTGGAATTACAGGTGTGAGCCACGATGGCCAGCCTGCCATTTCTAATTAGCTTTGTGCTTGGACAAGTTATTCCACTGCTCTGTGTCATAGTTTCCTTATATGTCAAGTGGTGGGATACTGAATTTAATTAATTTAATTTAATTTATTTATTTTTTGAAAGAGGGTCTCACTTCGTCACCCAGGCTGGAGTGCAGTGGCGTGATCTTGGCTCACTGCAGCCTTGACCTCCTGGGTTCAAGTGATCCTCCTGCTTCAGCTTTCCAAGTAGCCAGGACTGCAGGTGTATGCCACCACACCTGGCTAATTTTTGTGTTTTTAGTAGAGACGGGGTTTTCCCATGTTGCCCAGGCTGGTCTTAAACCCCTGAGCTTAAGCAATCCGCCTGCCTCAGCCTCCCAAAGTGCTGGGATTATAGGCGTGAGCCACCACACCCAGCCTTTAAATTTTATATTAAGCAGAAATACAGAGAAATCAAATGGATTCCACTGTGCTGTACTACCTGGCAGTGCCATTGTGATTCTTAATTCTCTGTATGTTTTTTTCTTCTGTCTCTCTTTTTCTATCCCCATCCTGTCCTTCTTTAGCGGCTTGGAATCTTTATTCTTTTTGTGTGTGATGGAGTCTTGCTCTGTCACCCAGGTTGGAGTGCAGTGGCGTAATCTCAGCTCACTGCAACCTCAGGTGCCTGCCACCATGCCTGACTAATTTTTGTATTTTTAGTAGAGACAGGGTCTCGTCATACTGGCCAGGCTGGTCTCAAACTCCTGACCTCAAGTGATCTGCCCTCCTGAGCCTCCCAAAGTACTGGGATTACAGACATGAGCCACCTCGCCTGGCCTGGAATGTTTATTCTTGTTTGGAAACTTGATGATGAATCTTGATGTGGATTATTTTTATTCATTTTGCTGGGCACTCGATTTGGAAGTGCATATACTTTAGTACCAAGATTCTTTATTACAGTATTTCTTTGATAATTTCTTCTCTTGTGTTTTCTGTGTTTGCTCTTTTTTTTTTTTCCTTTGAGACGGAGTCTTGCTGTTGTTACCCGGGCTGGAGTGCAATGGCGTGATCTCGGCTCACTGCAACCTCTGCCTCTCAGGTTCCAGCAATTCTCCTGCCTCAGCCTCCTGAGTAGCTGGGACTACAGAAGCCCACGACCACGCCCAGCTAATTTTTGTATTTTTAGTAGAGATGGGGTTTTACCATGTTGGCCAGGCTGGTCTCGAACTCCTGACCTCAAGTGATCGCCTGCCTCGGCCTCCCAAAGTGCTGAGATTATAGGCGTGAGCCACCACGCCGGGCCCTTTTTTTTTTTTTTTTTTTTTTTTTTTTTTTTTTTTTTTTTTTGAGACGTCTCTTTTTGTTTTATGTGTCTCCCAGATTGGAGTGCAGTGACACGATCATGGTTCACTGTTGCCTCGACTTTCCAGGCTCAAGTGATCATCCTCAGCCTCCTGAGTAGCTGTGACTACAGGCATCCACCATCCGCTAATTTTTTAAATTTTTGTAGAGACAAAGCCTCACCACATTGCCCAGGTTGGTCTCAAACTCCTGGGCTGACGTAATCCTCCTGCTGCGGCTTCCCCAAGTGCTGGGATTACAGGTGTGAGCCACCATGCCCAGCCTCTTATTTATTTATTTATTATTTATTTATTTATTTATTTATTTATTTATTTATTTATTTATTTATTTATTTATTGAGATGGTGCCTTGCTCTGTTGCCCAGGCTGGAGTGCGGTGGTGCAGACCAGCTCACTGCAACCTCTTTCTCCCAGGTTCAAGCGATTCTCCTGCCTCAGCCTCCCAAGTAGCTGGGATTATAGGCGTGCGCCACGACACCCAGCTAATTTTTACGGGGTTTCGCCATGTTGATCAGGTTAGTCTCAAACTCCTGACCTCAAATGATCCTCCTGCCTTGGTCTCCCAAAGTGCTGGGATTACAGGCATGAGCCCCCGCACCTGGCCAGCCTTTTAAAAATATGACATCCCATTAGTACATTTGATTGTCTGACTTTTAAGAATACTTTGAGGCTGGGCGTGGTGGCTCACGCCTGTAATCCTAACACTTTGGGAGGCTGAGGCGGGCGGATCACGAGGTCAGGAGTTCGAGACCAGCTTGGCCAACATAGTGAAACCCAGCCTCTACAAAATATACAAAACATTAGCCGGGTGTGGTGGTGGGTACCTGTAATCCCAGCTACTCGGGAGGCTGAGGCAGGAGAATTGCTTGAACCCAGGAGGCAGAGGTTGCAGTGAGCCGAGATCGCACCATTGCACTCCAGCCCAGGTGACAGTGTGAGACTCCATCTCAAAATAAATAAATAAATAAAAATAATACTGCCGGGTGCAGTGGCTCATACCTGTAATCCCAGCACTTTGGGAGGCCAAGGCAGGCAGATCACGAGGTCAGGAGTTCGAAACCAGCCTGACCAACATGGTGAAACCCTGTCTTTACTAAAAATACAAAAATTAGCCGGGCGTGGTGGCATGCACCTGTAATCCCACGTACTCAGGAGGCTGAGGCAGGAGAATCACTTGAACCCAGGAGGCGGAGGTTGCAGTGAGCCAAGATTGTGCCACTGTACTCCAGCCTCGGCATCAGAGCGAGACTCTGTCTCAAAAATAAATAAATAAAAATAAAAATATTTCATTGCATGGTTCGTTTCCATCTCTTAATCCTTCTTCTTATACTTTGAGAGATTCTCTTAGTATTTATCTTCTAATCCTCTTGTTTTTATTTTTGTAATCCTATTTTTAGTTTTCCTCCCTGACTACTTTTACTTCCTGACTACTTTTTTATCTACTCTCTTGTTCTTTTCTGGGGATATTTTGTCCTCTCAATAGTCTTACTTCATATAATATTTTATCTAAAGATACAACTTTAAAAAGTTTTCTTTTGCTCCCTGTCTTATTTCCTCCAATTTATTTTTGTTTGTTTTGGTCTCCTCTTTCATAGTAGAGACTGTGGTCAAATGTCTGGTACTCTACAGCTGTCTGTTCATATTTAAGGATCCAGCACTGAAAAGCTGCTGGGGAGCTCTGCGAGAGTGGGCAGGATCAAGCCATTCATTGGGGAATTCTCAAAGCAGTGTCTGTAGGGTTTTTCCCTTGGGCTTATCAGTTCCCTCAGAGAGGAATCTTCTAAATTCCTGCTTGGGGTATGAAACTGGCAGCCTTGTGTGAAATACACAGAGGAATGGGGCTGGGGGTATTGTGTTGAGATTACTGACTCTCACGTAATCACATTTGGTACAGTGCTCCCTCCTCCTCTTAGCTTGTTGGATATTCTGGAACTCAGATCCTTTTGATTAAACCTCTGAAACTTCCCATCTTCTGCTGGATTTGAGTAGGGGACTTAAAGGTCTGATTCTTATATAAGTTTGCAACCAACAAACTTGGTTCAGACGCATTCCACTTTGTGGAGGTTCCCTGTATCTCTAATCCTGGAGCCTTTTATTGGAGCAGATCACCTTGCTTTTTGTTGCCCCTCTCCCATCCCTATCCTTTGGGTAGGAAAGGTTTCTCTATTCTACTAAGTCAGTTATTTCTTGTCCTTCTTGTGTTAGTCCATTTTGTGTCAGTATAAAGGAATACCTGAGGCTGGGTAACTTAGAAAGAAAAGAGGTTTATTTGGCTCATGGTTCTGCAGGCTGTTTAAGAAGCCATCACCACCTGGCCTAATTATAATTTTTAAAAATAACGTTTATTTTTTAATAGTATACAGGTTCATTATAAAAACTTTTTGAACAAATAGAAAAACAAAAAGGAAAAATATTACTAGTAGACCTGTACTCAAAGATCACCAGAGGCCAAGTGCGGTGGCCCATGCCTGTCATCCCAACGCTTTGGGATGCTGGGGTGGGAGGATTCCTTGAGGCCAGAAATTTAAGACCAGCCTGGGTAACATGGCAATGCCCCATCTCTACAAAAAATACAAAAAATGGTCCGGGTATGGTGGGGCACGCCCATAGTCCCAGCTACTCAGGAGGCTGAGGTGGGAGGATTGCCTGAGTCCAGGAGGTTGAGGCTGCAGTGAGCCATGATCTGCAGTCAACCTAGGTAACAGAGTTAAGACCCTGTTTCAAAAATAAAAGATCACTAGAATCAACAATCACTCTTTAATTTTATTTTAACTTGATGGTTATCACTATATATATATGTATATATATGTATATATATGTGTGTATATATATATATGTATATATATGTGTATATATGTACATATATGTATATGTATGATTTTATAACTTTTTCCCAAAGAGTAATAATTTGAATTATTATGTTTCTTACACAAGTAGGCTGTTTCTAAGTGTCTGGGTTTTTAACATTTTACAGTTTTTATTATACTTACATTTTTTGGAGACCTAGTCTCACTCTTTCACCCGGGCTGGAGCACAATGGTGTGATCATAGCTCACTGCAGCCTCGAACTCCTCGCCTCAAGTGATCTTCTTGCCTTAGTCTCCTGAGCAGCTGGGATTACACATGGGTGCCACCAGGCCCAGCTTTTTTTTTTTTTTTTTTTTGAAAAGACATTTCCAAAAGTTAATTAGTTGGCATCTTTTCATTCATAGTTGTGATGGTTCACACCTTAATCTGAGTGAACTTTTTCTCTGCCACCTAGGATGGTCCTGGTCTTGTGTACGTCCACTCACTGGCCACTCATTCTGCTTTTCTCAATCTCTTCTTAGGTGTCAGAACTGGGAAGGTGGCATTGGCGGGGTACCAGGGATGGAAGCCCATGGTGGCTATACCTTCTGTGGCCTGGCCGCGCTGGTAATCCTCAAGAGGGAACGTTCCTTGAACTTGAAGAGCTTATTAGTAAGTATCTTTTGAGCCATCCCCCTCTCAGGCCCCAGGTCATGGTGATGTGATTGTACTCAGACATGCAGGCTTCAGGAGAGTTTGGCTATGGGAAGGGCTAAGAGAGTTAGCTCTGTTCCAACACAGAGGAAGGAGTGAGCAGCTGCTCTGTCTTGGCTCCCCCTTCTGCCTTTCTGTCTTCCTGCTTAGAGCTTTTTACATAGTGTGTAGACTACATAGACTGTGTGCTGCAGACATCTGGTGTGAGCAGAGTACCTTCCTTATACTTCAGTTTCGTAGAATTAGAGGTTATCGTGTGTTATAGAAAGAACCTCCTAAGAGGAAAAGTTACAAGAAGAGCTTTGCAGCATTTCGAAACCAAACTTTTATTACCTGCTGCACTGTGTAAACATTTAGTACCTACATTTAAATGAGTTGTTTAGGCAGAGCTGGCTAATTGCATTGAGAAGGCAGCCCAACATTTATGTCTGGACCCCACGCTCCTGGCCAGTATTCAGAAGAAACTCAGAAAGCAGTCAGCTTCAGGGAGTCACTAGATTGTAGTTAAATGATCAGTGGGTGCACAAACACACACACCTCCACGGCCACCAGGGAGAAGGCATTCCCCGTCATGTCATTTGGGGAGCATGTACCCCCTGACCATGACGTCAAAGCAAACCAGCTGCAACTGACATGCACCTCCTCTCCCTGAGTTCAGATGCCAGCCTCCCGTTATGCGGCCCATCGTGAGCTTCCTGGAGAGTTTCTGTTGTACCCTGTAGACATGTAACCAGCAGTGTCTTGCCTCCACCTTCAGAAAGCCTCCCCCGGTGTAGTCTTTTTAAAGATTCATGAAGGCTTGAAGGCTCATGCTGAAACAGCCAACTTTGTATGCTGAACTTAAGAGTTTCTCAGATGTTTTAAAATCTGAACACCAATAAGGCATGAAACAAAAAAGTCCCATCTCCCAGGCAGAGATAAGGAATGTGATTAGGGAGTGCCTCAGTTATAAAGACAGTGTTCTAGATTTGAACCCTGTCCCTACTACATTTGAGACATGAGTCCTTGGGCAAATTGTCTAATCTCTTTTAGCTTGATATTTTTTTCTTTTATAAGGTAGGGATAACAATCCTTATTTTTTTAAGGTTAAAGGAGAGAACATTTATAAACAGCCTGGCACATAGTAGGTACTTAATAAATGTTAGTGTCCCTCTAACCCACAGTAATAATCTTTTTGGCACAAGGGACCAGTTTTGTGGGAGATAATTTTTCCGTGGACCTGGGGTTGGGGGTGGGACGGGGGGTGATGGCTTCAGGATGATTCAAGTACATTACATTTATTGTGTACTTTATTTCTATTATTACACTGTAATATATAATGAAATAATTATACAACTCACCATAATGTAGAATCAGTGAGAGCCCTGAGCTTGTTTTCTTTCAACTAGACAGTCCCATTTGGGGGTGATGGGAGACAGTGACAGATCATCAGGCATTAGACTCTCATGTAGAGCGTGCAACCTAGAAGCCTGGCATACACGGTTCACAGTAGGGTTTGCGCTCCTATGAGAATCTAATGCTGCTGCTGATCTGTCAGGAAGTGGAGCTCAGGCAGTAATGGGAGCAGTGAGGAGCAGCTGTAAATACAGATTAAGCTTCACTGGCTCACCCACCACTCATGTCCTGCTGTGCAGCCTGGCATGGTCTGGGGGTTAGGGACCCCTGCTCTAATCCAGACTACTCCCTTCCATTTGCTTTGGGAGAAGTAGGACCCATATCTGAAGTATGAATTCCTATAGCCCAAGGAAACAGAACAAATCCATGGGCTTAGGCACTGGAAAAAGTAAATTAGTCTGCTTAAAAACACTTAAGCCCTGCGGTAAGTAGAAATGAGGAACCGACTCCCACTGCAGCGCCTGCTTTCTCTCTGCCTGAGTAATGCTTAGCCCACTTCCATTACATGCTGGAAGCCCTGGTTCATTTAAGATCAACCGAGGATATATTAGTACCTGAACCTGCAGTACAGTGTTTTCTGTCTCTTTTAAGCATTTGTGACTGTGACTCTCTATGGGCAGGTGTTGCCTTGAAGAGGGAATAATCTAAACAACAGCTTTTAGGGGAGGGCTGGCCCCCACTTCCATCAAGGGTCCCAGTGGCTCCTTTCAGGACCTTTACCTAGTAAGACTCTAGAAACAGGAAGTACCCTCCCCTGTACCCTTTCAGTTGAGTGAGGCAGCTCTGTAAGTCCGTGGCTGGAACGGCCTAGGTGGTCTAGGGAGGGAAATGGAAATGTCATATCTGCTCAGCCAGTTGGTTCTGCTCATTCTGAGGGACCAAACCCATGACTATCTTGATCTTTGTAGTAGAGTGTGTTTAGAAAACTTGTAGATAAGCAAGGAATGGTGGTATCGTGTGTGACCGCTGAGTGACATCAAGACCAAGACCTATTTTACAGCTTCAAAGTAAAAGATTTTCTTATATCAGCCACAGACTGGGCAGAGTTGTCATTTGGTAATTAGAATGAATGGCTTCTGCTTTCAGGCCTGCTAGTGACTTGCTAAGAGACCTTGGGTAAATTTCCCCAGGTGCCAAGTAAAAGTCAGGAGCAGTTTGAGATCATCTGATGAAATGTAGTACCAGGCCGGGCACGGTGGCTCACGCCTGTAATCCCAGCACTTTGGGAGGCCGAGGCGGGTGGATCATGAGGTCAGGAGATCGAGACCATCCTGGCTAACAAGGTGAAACCCCGTCTCTACTAAAAATACAAAAAATTAGCCGGGCGCGGTGGCGGGCGCCTGTGGTCCCAGCTACTCGGGAGGCTGAGGCAGGAGAATGGCGTGAACCCGGGAAGCGGAGCTTGCAGTGAGCCGAGATTGCGCCACTGCAGTCCGCAGTCCGGCCTGGGCGACAGAGCGAGACTCCGTCTCAAAAAAAAAAAAAAAAAAAAAAAAAAAAAAAAGAAATGTAGTACCAAATTCCATTTATCTGCTTTTAATAAACTCCCCGGAGCAGGGAAGTAATGAGAAATGAGCTACTGGTAGTCTTGCCTTCAATTTCCAACTTAAGCCATGTTTATTAAGAGACTTTGAAGGTCTCCTTACAAACCAGCTTGGCCTCTTTATCTTCTCAGCACTGGCACTGCTTTGGAACCCAGGAAAAGGTAGTTGTCTGCCAGGCATTGAGCAGAGATCAGTGCTGGATGCCTCTACAGCGTTGGCTTAAATGCTTCACTCTGTGTCTATGGCAGTGTGGGGAGGGAAGGAAAGAAAACCAGAGCACCAAAACTAGAGTGCCAAGAAGCCACAAGATGGGAAACCCTCCATCCCACAGATTGACTCCTGGAGATTCTGTCGGGCTGGATTTTGTCTCTTTTAGCCTACAACTGCCTTTCCCATCTGTGTCTCCTCAGCAATGGGTGACAAGCCGGCAGATGCGATTTGAAGGAGGATTTCAGGGCCGCTGCAACAAGCTGGTGGATGGCTGCTACTCCTTCTGGCAGGCGGGGCTCCTGCCCCTGCTCCACCGCGCACTGCACGCCCAAGGTGAGCCTGGGGAGCTGTTCACTTGGGGCTGGATGATTTCCCTCCACTACTCACAAAGTCTGGAAGCCCAGCGTGCTTTTTTAGAGGGGTTGAAATGAGCTCTGTCTATCCTGGATTTTGAGTGCCCAGTGTGGAACCTCATGCCGTGGGGCATGCGAATGCAGAGTAAGATTTAGTTTCATTGGTTTAGTGTCATTCTTTGCTTCTTCAAATTGGCTGCGACAGAATGAGCTTCCTTGAAATTGCTACGGGGAGCGGGGAGGAAGTGGGCGCTGCTTCTGCGTTATCTGGAAGGAGCAGCCCACTCCTGTCCTGGGCTCTGTGGTGATTGCCACCTCCTCTGGGTGCAGGGCAGAGCTGAAAACCCTCAGTGTTGCAACAGTCACTGTTGCAACAGCAACAGGAAAGGCAACTGCGTAAAGGGGTAGAGAACCAGAACCCATGTGTAGGGGTGGGTTGTAGGGGTGGGTTGCCCCTACACCATGGAGAAGAGACTCGCCGTGTCTGACTGGCTGCAGAGTTGTCACTATTAGAAATGTTTTATTTTACATTCATTGAATAAGCCTAAATGGGAGTTTGTTCCACCTGCACCATTGGAGTAGAGAAATCCACGTTCGTTTCTGTGGGGTCTCAAATGGGAACGCAAAACCGAAGTAGTTAGTGAGCAAAAAGTCTGGGAACATTCTCTCTCTATCTCTTGAAACCTCAGTCTGCCTGCTAACTCCTGCACCATCTTTCTGGTGTACTTGATGTGAGAGCAGGTGTCTCTGAGTAGACCTGTGGGAGAGAGGAAGTCATGGGGCCCTGCTGGTTGCTGATCTGTTTTTGGAATGAGATCCCTGGGTCCAAAGAGAAGCTGTTCTTCGGACTTAGTTGGATAATGTAACTGCTCAAATGTAAAAGATGAGATTCTTTTCTGCCCCTCCCCATACTTTTTTTTCCTGTTTCTGAGCCCCCCACCCCCCGTCTTCCCCCCTCCCCGCCGCCCCCGAGATGGAGTCGTGCTCTGTCTCCCAGGCTGGAGTGCAGTGGCACGATCTTGGCTCACTGCAGCCTCCACCTCCCAGGTTCAAGCAATTCTCCTGCCTCAGCCTCCTGAGTAGCTGGGACTACAGGCGCGTGCCACCACACCTGGCTAATTTTTGTATTTTTAGTAGAGACAGGGTTTCACCATGTTGGACAGGCTGTTCTTGAACTCCTTACCTCAGGTGATCCGCCCACTTCGGCCTCCCAAAGTGCTGGGATTATAGGCGTGAGCCACCGCACCCGGCCCTGAGCCTCATTATTTAGTTTCTTAATTTCCTTTGAGTTGTTGAGTTGTGACCATTTCTGACACTGAATTAAAGTAAGCAGAGCCTCTGTCCCATTTTCCCGGCCTGGGCCCACTGGGCTTTAGGTGTCAGTATTAAGGCATATAAGGCACTTACCCTTGGAACACAGCAAGTGCACTGTCAGCAAGTGCACTGACTTTGGAGCCTGCACAGTCTCTGCCTTGACCACCAGTAGGGAAGTCAGGAATTCCCCAAGTCAAACATTTTTTATTTTAGTATTATTTTTTTTTGAGACGGAGTTTCACTCTTGTTGCCCAGGCCGGAGTGCAATGGATCACTGCAACCTCTGCCCCCTGGGTTCAAGTAATTCTCCTGCCTTAGCCTCCTAAATAGCTGGGATTATAGGCATGCACCACCACGCCCAGCCAATTTTGTATTTTTAGTAGAGACAGGGTTTCTCCATGTTGGTCAGGCTGGTCTCGAACTCCTGACCTCAGGTGATCTGTCCGCCTTGGCCTCCCAAAGTGCTGGGATTACAGGCGTGAGCCACCGTGCCTGGCCCAACATTTCTAAGATAGAAAAAAACTTGGGGTCATGGTGATCTCTTTATTTGGAACTGGTGAGGTCAAGCCCCTGGTAAAATGGTCAGTCTTTTACAAACCTGTCCCTGGCATGGATAAGACTCAGTAATTCTGCAATCCCAGGGAAATGTGGAATGAGCTATAACAGGAGCACCACCTGTCAAAGTCTTCCAGGGGGGCTGCTGGTTAATTGTTTCTTGTAGCACATGTTCTAGGGGGCTTAGTGGCATTCAAAGCTTTGTCTATGGAAAAGGGTGCCTATGAATCTTGGTGCTTCCAGCTTTTTTCATTGGCTGGGAGAAGGCCTGTGTTGTCTTCTCAGACACAGGGCATCTCTTGAACTTGGAACAGACAGGAGTCTGTAAAGAAGGGAAGTGTGTTGAAAGGAGGGCAAAATACTGACTTTGGGAGTCAAAAGGGGATGCAGTGTAGAAAGATAGTCACAATATATTGTGATCATATCAAAGCAATATGTGTGGAATCCCATTTTTAGTGAAGAGTTGACTACAAAAAATTCATAGAAAGTATCTAGGATGTGAAGTTACAGGTGATGTTTGCTTCTGTTTGTATTTTCTAATCTTTCTATAGTTAATAGGTATTTCTTGCATAAAAAAAGACAACAAAAGTTATTTTACAGAAACAGGGAAATTCTACAAACAAAACAAGCAAAAAGGTGCGAAAAATATTTATAACAAGTGATGAATGGCTAATTTCTTTAATTTGAAAAAAAATCATACAAACCAGTAAGAAATGGATGGACAACCCAACTGAAAAACAGGCAAAGGATCTGAAGAAAGAGGTCCCAGTGAAAGAACTGTCCTTCTTACTTTTTCTACTACAACTGCCACTACTACTGGTAGCGGAGTCTTCCCAAGCCCTCACTGTATGCCAGGGGCTGTACTGAGCATTTCACATATGTTTTCTCATTTAATTCTCAAAACAACCCTATGAAATAGGTACCATTGTTTACAGATGAGGAAACAAACTACAGTGAGGTTAAGTGATTGCTTTATAATACCTGATTGGCACTCACAAGGGTTAGTATGTGGTTGTGTGAATCCAGACTAGCTGGCATCTGAACCCTGCCCTGCTCATAACCACAGTAGGTGGCCATTAATCCAACGAAAAATTGTTTAGCTCACTTGTAGTAAAAGAAATGCTAATCAAAAGAGTGGCACTATTTGTTTTTATTATTGGATTGGCAGAGATTAAAAAACTTGATACCCTATGTTGGGGAGAGTGTGAGAAAACAGGTAATTTGATAGTGGGGATGTAAATAGGTTAAGTCATTTTTTGGAGGGCAGTTTGGAGACATCCATTTAAATTATAAGGGCACTTACCCTTTGAACACAGCAAGTGCACTGTCAGGAATTTACCTGCAGGGATATTAGCAAAGGATGTATATTGAAGTGGAGTTTCAATAGCAGCCTAAGTGCCTATCAAAAGGTTAAGGGTTAAATAATAAAAATCTCTCCAAACAGTAGCTGCATACCATGGGCTGATATAGAAAGCTCTGCAAGATACAACATGAAGTGTAAGGGGGCGGGGCCTGGAGCAGTGCCTGGGCACACAGCCCGAGATGTACACAGCTTTTCCTGGAACCCTACACAAAACCCCTTGAACAATGGGTACCTTTGGGAGAAGAGAAGCAGACAGAAGACAGAAGGAGGGAGACTTTTTAGATTTTTTTTTTTTTTTTTTTTTTTTTTTGAGACAGAGTCTCACTCTGTTGCTGAGGCTGGAGTGCAGTGGTGCAATCTCGGCTCACTGTAGCCTCCTCGGTTCAATTGATTTTCTTGCCTCAGCCTCCTGTGTAGCTGGGATTACAGGCGTGTACCACCACACCCAGCCAATGTTTTCTATTTTTAGTAGAGACAGGATATGACTATGTTGGCCTGGCTGGTCTCAAACTCCTGGCCTCAAGTGATCCACCTTCCTTGGCCACACAAAGTGCTGAGATTACAGGCGTGAGCCACCATACCTGGCCAACTTTTTAGATTTTCTATCCTTCTGTATTATACTGTGCCTTTAAAAAAAAAAAAACCATGTGCATTACTAATTTTATTTTGGTAAATGTACAAATACATTTTTTAAAAGGCATTGATCATATTGCTAACTAAAAAGCAAAAAGAATGCTCTACATAGTGCAGCACGTGGGTCTAGGCCATGCCCTGACCCAGCAAGTGACCATCAGTGGCTCCATGCCATTGACTACCTTCTATGTGTAAATGACAGTATTTGAGTAGAAGAAGGAATTACTATTAGTACCTTAAAATGCTGGACATGGTGGTTCATGACCATAATCCCAGCACTTTGGGAGGCCAAAGCAGGAGGACCTCTTGAGCTCAGGAGTTCAAGACCAGCCTGGGCAATATAGTGAGAGCTTGTCTCTACAAAAAATTAAAAACAGTTAACCAGACATGGTGGCACATGCCTGTAGTCCTAGCTACTCAGGAGGCTGAGGTAGAAGGATCACTTGAGTCTGGGAGGCAGAGGTTGCAGGCAGAGAGTGCCACTGCAACTCCAGCCTGAGCGACAGAGCAAGACTTTGTCTCAAAAAAACACAAAAGCCTGTAATCCCAGCATTTTGGGAGGCCGAGGTGGGTGGATCATGAGCTCAGGAGTTCAAGACCAGCCTGGCCAACATGGTGAAACCCCATCTCTACTAAAGATACAAAAAATTAGCCAGGCATGGTGCCACGTTGCCTGTAATCCCAGCTACTCAGGAGGCTGAGGCAGGAGAATCCCTTGAACCCCGGAGGCGGAGGTTGCAGTGAGCTGAGATCGCGCCGTTGCACTCCAGCCTGGGTAACAGGGCAGGACTCCGTCTAAAAAAAAAAAAAAAAGGCTTAAGAAATCTCAAGTGCTGACTAAATCAGTGAGTTACTTTGTTTTTTTGTTTTGTGGAGCAATAAGAAAGCAGCAGGCCTGTGAGTTTCCACTTGGCTTGGTAGTTACTGGTTTCTTATATGTTCTTTTGGACATACCCTGGAATTTTCTTGCCTACCTGTGAAATTGAGCTACAGATGGCTGCACCTATCAGTTATGGTGTGGAAAGACTTTTGATTTTTTTAGATAAAAGGAACCTTTGAAATGCAAAATGAGATTAGAATGGCGACCTATAATTTCAGGAAGAGGTAGAAAGGATTTAAAAGGTGGATTCCAGTGTGCAGTTATCACCCTATAATCGTATCTGCTTTCATCTTGTTGTGATTATGTGTGCTGGTGTCCAAATTCAGGATATCTGGAAGCTCCTTGTAGAGCTTTTGAACTTTGAGCTTCTATGCTTTAATAATATAGGAAGTCACTGAAACAGTCTATAGTTTTTTATATAATAAACATAGCGTTTTCTTTTCAGACTCTAATTTTAGCCACAGGTTATCATTTACCTTATAATAATAGTCTTTTATTTGTTATAGGATATGAAATATATGTACATTTTGTACAGATGTGTAATGCAGTTTCCTAAAGTTTAATAAATATGCTTTTTTAAATAATAGCTTTGTTGAGATATAATTCCCATACCACACAACTTACCTATTCAGTTGCGAACCATCATGACAATTTTAGAACATTTTCATCACTCATCCCCCCAAAAATCCCCATACACATTAAATATTTTCTTAAAAAGGAAATCGTGAAGGAAAAATCAATAGTATGATTACAATATTAAGTATAAAACATATATATGTTTTACATTAATTAAATTTTAAAAATTTTAAAAAGTTTTAAACTCACATAACCAAAACAGAGGAGCAAAAAGGAGAAAATAGATGCAGCATATGATGTAGACAAGGGGCAAGTATAAGAAAAAGCTAGATTAATAAAATTGGCTATTGGATCTCAGAAGATTAGGCCAAACAGACACCATCATAAGGAAATGCAAATATTAAACACAAGTTATGGAAAAATTTCACCCTAATTAGTAATCAGAGGCATGCAAATCAAAATAAACTATCAGGTACTATTTCTTTTTACCATTTTAATTGCTGATAACTTTTAAAAAGTAACTAAAGCTGGCCGGGCGTGGTGGCTCACGCCTGTAATCCTAGCACTTTGGGAAGCCGAGTTGGGCAGATCATTTTAGGAGTTCGAGACTGGCTTGATCAACATAGTGAAACCCTGTCTCTACTAAAAATGCAAAAATTAGCCAGGCGTGGGGGCTTGTACCTGTAATCCAAGGTACTCAGGAGGCTGAGACAGGAGAATGACTTGAACCTGGGAGGCAGAGGTTGCAGTGAGCTGAGATCACACCACTGCACTCCAGCCTGGGCGACAGAGCAAGATAGCATCTCAACAACAACAACAAAAAGGTGCTAATGCTGGAGGTGGTATAGCAAAATTTTAAATTTTGCTGGTAGCTATATAAAGTCTTTGTTTTTATTTTTAGTTTATTTATATATTTATTTTTGACAGCTCCTGCAGAGCAGGGCTACTCCACAGGGATTGTGCTGAGAGTAGTCTATAAATTCTTAAAGCAGTTTATCAGTATCTATTAAAAGCCTTAACAATGTTTATTCCCTTTAACCGAATAATTCCACCGTGGTCAGTCTATTTGAAGAAAATAATCTTAAGCATACATAATATTGACAAAGATTTAGTCCAGCATTCCTCATAATGGCAAGGAACTGGAAACAACCTTGGAAATAAGTAAAAGAAGATAGAGTGAAGTCCCATCATATATGTATGTATCTTCTACAACAAAGTTCACTGTGCTTACAGGTGAGGAAAAGAAAGGAAGGGAATTAAAATAGTGCAAGTGTATCAAAGCATGTGGCCTGCAGCCAGCCTGAGATGGGAGATTGGATGCTTCTCCTTAGGTCGGACTTAGTTTCCTGTGTCTCTTAATGGGTGTTTCAGGGCTGAGTGCGACTCAGGGTTGAAGACGAGAAGCTTTTGTCCCTGGCCTCTAAATGTCACCTGGCCACTGTCCCTCACCTAGTGCTCAACCTTGGAAACCCTTTTCCTCTGTGTCTCTTTTTAAAGAAATTTAATAAATTCTTATTGTCTGTTTGAAATATTCAACAATTTAGGCTGGGTGCGGTGGCCCATGCCTGTAATCCCAGTACTTTGGGAGGCCAAAAGAGGGTGGGTCACCTGAGGTCAGGAGTTAGAGAGCAGCCTGACCAACATAGTGAAACCATGTCTCTACTAAAAATACAAGAATTAGCCAGGCATGGTGGTGCATGCCTGTAATCCCAGCTACTCGGGAGGCTGAGGCAGGACAATCGCTTGAACCCGGGAGGCGGAGGTTGCAGTGAGCCGAGATCGTGCCATTGCCCTCCAACCTGGGCAACAGAGTGAGACTCTGTCTCAAAAAAGAAAAAAAAAAAGGAAATATTCAACAGTTTAATATTTTGCTTCAATCTCTTTATAGACTGTATCATAAACTTTTCATTTTTATTTTTAGAAATCTTTTCCCCCGTTTTTCTTTTTTGCTATTTTCTCCAAAATGGGAAAGGTTATTGATACCATAAACTTTTATAATTTTCACCATAGGAATTTTTTTTTTTTTTTGAGATGGAGTCTCGCTGTGTCGCCCAGGCTGGAGTGCAGTGGTGTGATCTCAGCTCACTGCAAACTCCGCCTCCTGGGTTCACGCCATTCTCCTGCCTCAGCCTCCTGAGTAGCTGGGACTACAGGCGCCCACCACCATGTCCGGCTAATTTTTTTGTATTTTTAGTAGAGACAGGGTTTCACCGTGTTAGCCGGGATGGTCTCGATCTCCTGACCTCGTGATCAACCCCCCTCAGCCTCCCAAAGTGCTGGGATTACAGGCATAAGCCATCGTGCCTGGCCCACCATAGGAATTTATATACTGACATATATATAAGATTTTTAGCTCAGTTCTTTTTATGATACAGTTACCTTATATGTCCACTTAATGAAATACTATATGGCTATTCACAGTGATGGCTATGCAGATTATGTAATAGAATAGAAAATTTATGCCTATAGTGGTATAAGTGAAAAACATAAGCTACACAGTTATAATAACTAGGTAGAAAAACGCATAGAACCAAAAAGACTGGAAGAAAGAACAATTAGCTTTCAGGTGCCATTTACCAATTGTTGGGCATCTTTTTTTTAAAAATGATTTATTGTCAGGCATCTTTTAGCCCAGGTATCAAAATATAAAATTGACCAAGGACTTAGTGTACATCCTATATGTATATATATTTTTAATCGATTTCTATGCAGATGTTTCTGCACACCTGTCCGTGATTTGTCCCTCCTTCCCACTTGATAACTGTGTGGCCCACAGAATTCTTTGACCATAGTGATTGGACTTCAGAGTGAAGAAGTCCAGTTGCTTGTCAGTACCTTAGTAGTATTACCAGAATACCCAGTTTTTGCTAGGGTATCATATGATGCAGGAGGGCAGTTACTAGTAATGTTTCTTAGGTAAATTCTTTGAGCTGAGAGACAAGTTAGAGAATTCCCTTTGGAGATCAATTAAATTTAGGCTTAGAAAAGTAGAAGAAACAGACTTTATTACCCATTAAGAGTTCTCTGAGCTAATCAGTCTGGTTAACAAGTTATAGAGATATGCTAGAGGGAATGTCTCTTGAAGTCCAGGGTAGAGTTATGGACCAAGTTGGGAGCAGCTACCGAGGTCAGTCTGGGAAGGTAAGCTAAACAGCTAGGCTGGTTCACTGCCTGCCAGAGATGTGGTTGAGGATCACCATCCACGTTAACAGGGTGCATTTCAAGAAAGTGAAAGTGCCACTTTGAATTGCTGCTCTTTGACACATGTCAAAGTTCAGGAGAAGGGACATGCTGTGCGTAGGACATGGGGAAGATAGCAGTTGTACCAAGAATGAATGGAAGAGGAAGGGGAGCAGGAAACCTTGACTATTCCCCCAGGTGAGAAAGTGGAATTAGGTCATTGATACTTGGCTGGATCTGCCGGGCCCTTACTGACCCTTTGCCCTTCAACAGGTGACCCTGCCCTTAGCATGAGCCACTGGATGTTCCATCAGCAGGCCCTGCAGGAGTACATCCTGATGTGCTGCCAGTGCCCTGCGGGGGGGCTTCTGGATAAACCTGGCAAGTGAGTGTTTTCTCTCTGGGGAGGGAAGGGAGAGGGGAGGAGAGAGCAGAGGGGCGTGCACCTCAGGCCTACTCAGAGCCAGATCTCAAGAGCAGAGGTGTCACCTTCAGCACCTGCATAGCGCTAGGTTGTATGGGAAAAAGCACCCAGTTGGGAGCACCCCTTGAGGCCATTGATCTTGGCACCTCCAGCTGCCCGTCTTGTCCCCCAGCCTGCATGCAACCCCCTCCCCCAGACAGGGAAACAGATTGCTGGGTAGATAACTCTTCTTTTTTTTAAAAAAAACAAAAAAAAACTGATCTAAATAGAATAGGATACAGGATTTTAAAACCCCTCAGTGTTGTAAACAGAGACTGTAATCATGACAACTATTATAGAGTGGATTAAATGATTAAGCTCAAATCTGAGATGGCTTATGTGTTAGAAAAAGGGAAATAAAATAAGTCCTCTCACCTTTGTTACCCACCCTCTGTCTTCCCCCATCCCAGCACACGTCCTGCTGCTCTTGGCATCCAGGGGAAGGCCTGGTCCCACAATGTATCAGGAAGGATGTGGCCCATTTCTAGATATTTAGGTATTTTTCTAGAGAAGTGTATCAATTTATCATTAGTACTGCCCCTGGAGAGCCCTTTCCAGAAGACAGCTGGAGAGACTGACTTTAAAATTACAGTTTCCTTTAATAGTTTAAGGTAAAAAAAGAAAGAAAAGAAAAAAAATACAGTTCCCACTGCTGGGCAGGGCTGGAGGATGGGGCTTTTATTTTATTGTATTTTACTTTTTTGAGACAGGGTCTCACTCTGTCACCCAGGCTGGAGTGCAGTGTCACAATCATGACTCACTGCAGCCTTCACCTCTTGGGCTCGAGTGATCCTCCTGCTTCAGCCTCCCAAGTAACTGGAATTACAGGCATCGGCCACCACACCTAGCTAATTTTTAATTTTTTGTAGAGACGGGGTCTCCCATGTTGCCCAAGTTGGTTTTGAACTCCTGGCCTCAAACCGTTCTCTTGCCTCAGCCTCCTGCTTGCTGGGATTATGGGTGTGAGCCACTGTGCTCAGCCAGTGGGGCTTTAAATAACACTGCTGGGAAAACCATGCCTCCTCTAGCCACATGGAGGATGGGGGGGGACGTGTGATTGCACCAGTGGTCTCTGAATTGGTGTGGCTACATTTGTAGATGTGTGCGGAGCAGAGGAGCGCCTGCTCAGAGCTGCCTGTCCTTACAGGTCGCGTGATTTCTACCACACCTGCTACTGCCTGAGCGGCCTGTCCATAGCCCAGCACTTCGGCAGCGGAGCCATGTTGCATGATGTGGTCCTGGGTGTGCCCGAAAACGCTCTGGTAAGACGGGTGCAGGGCTTCACACCCCTTCTCCACAGGGACCTCGCGGACAGAAGGCTTTCCAAGTAAGCAGAACTGGCTCTGCATTTCCTGTGTGGACAGGCGGAAGCTTGTGGTCCCTCTGCCCTTCGAGCTGTGCAGCCGTTAGTGAGGATGTGACCACAGAGGAGACGCACCTCTGGGCAAGCTCAGGGTTCCAGATGGGCGGTCTGATCTGTCAAAGAGCTGTTGTGCCTTTATCCCAGGGCTGAGGACCTAGCCCACTGCTGGTATTAGCTTCCCCTAGAGGAGGCCACAGTTACGTGTCACTCTGAGGCTGTGAGTCCCAGCAGGCTCGTGATAGCACTGCAGCCATGCGGCACTGGCTGTACAGCCTGCCGCGTCTCTCCCAGAGGCTCAGCTTAGATGCCATCTCTTCAGAGAATGAGATCCCCAGAATGCTCTGCCTCAGTGCCTTGTTCATATTCTTTGTAGTACTTTACTCAGTTGGTGGTGTGTTGTTTAATGTGTGTTTGTCTGCTTTCCTGAAAAAACAATAGCCCTATGAGGGCAGGATGCTCACTGCTGCAGCCAGCTGAGGACAACCTGGAGGTGCTCTGAGCCTAGACGTGAGCCTGGACATGAATCCAATGGAGACTGTCCCCAGTGATCAAATCACAGGGCCCATGCAGACTGTCATGAATTTTTGTGTGCAGTTCCCTACTCTTACTAAGCCCTACTTCCACCAGTGTAAACATGGCCTGCTGCTACCATCTAGGTCACTGCCTTATTTTCTCATCTGTGTCATTGTAACCTTCCTTTTTTGTTTAAAAAAATTTTTTTTTTAATTTTTAATTTTTTTTTGTGAGACAAAGTCTCACTCTGTCACCCAGGCTGGAGTACAGTGGCATGATATTGGCTCACTGCAACCTCCACCTCCCAGGTTCAAGCAATTCTCGTGCCTCAGCCTCCTGAGTAGCTGGGATTACAGGCATGCACCACCACACCCAGCTAATTTTTGTATTTTTAGTAGAGACAGGGTTTCCCCATGTTGGCCAGGCTGGTCTCAAACTCCTGGCCTCAAGTGATATGCCTGCCTCAGCCTCCCAAGGTGCCAGGATTACATGTGTGAGCCACCACGCCTGGCCCCATCTTTGTTTCTTTTAATTGGGAAACATTTCAAATGGAAGAAACACAAATGGCCAATAGATAGTTGAAAAGATGCTCAACCTCATTCTTAATCAGAAAAACCACCACCCAGCTTTTCCAGGCCCTAATTATTTCCCCCTATTTGCCTCTTATGTAGCCCTCTTCCAGTTTTTTTTCCTCCCTCCTTCTCCAGAGGTAACCCTGTCCCAAATTTGACATGTATCATGCCTGTGGATGTTTTTGTGCTATTGCTACATACATATGTATCTATAAGCAATATATAGTTTTTTATAAGCAATATAACAGTTGCTTGCATGTTTTCAAACTTTTTGTAATGGTACCTACTGTACCAGTCATTCTGCATTGCTTTTTCCACTTGCCATTGTATTTTTGAGGTTTATCTGTGTTCACATGTGTTGCTCCAGTTTATTCATTTTAACTATTATATGATACTCCCTTATATAAATGTACCCCAGTGTGTTTCTCTGTTCTCCTGCTAGTTATCAATTTTTTGCTATTACAGTGTTGCAGTGAACGTTGTGGTATCTGTCTCATTGGGTTCACATGTTAGAATGTCTCCAGGAGGGGACCTGCTGGGTTGAAGGGGACACATATTGTCATCTTTGATAGATACCTCTGTAACTGCTCCCCAGTGTGGTTGTGTAAGATGAATCGATCCATAGTCAGACCTTTTCCTTTTTGCCAATTTGATGGGTGTGAAGTGGTATTTGTTTGATTTTGTGTTTTCCTGATTACTGGTGAGGTTGAGAATATTTTCAAATGTTTGTTGGCCATTTGTGTTGTCTTCTGCGAATTGTCTGCCAGTTCATATTCTGTGCTCATTTTCTTACTGATGGGTAACTTCAGTTGTTTTCCCTTAAGTATTTGTAGTTCTCTGTATATTTTTAATACTAATCTTCTATCAGTTACATGTGTGTAGTGAATATCTTCCAGCTTGTGACTTGTCTTTTCATTTTGTGACTCTGATTTGCATTGCTATAAGAGAATACCTGAGACTAGGTAATGTATAAAGACAAGAGGTTTATTTAGCTCATGGTTCTATAGACTGAGAAATTCAAGGGCATGGCTCTGGCTTCTGGCAAGGGTTGTGCTGCATTATAACATGTGGAAATCAAAGGGGAAGCCAACCCATGCAAACAGAGGAGAGCCTGAGAGCATCCTGGCTTTATAACAGCCTACCCTTGCAGGAACTAATCCATTCCCTCAAGGACTAATCCAGACTCCCCAGAGCAAGAGTGAGAGCTCACGCACTACTGCAAGAACAGCACCAAGGCACTCCTGAGGGATCCACCCCTCAAACCCAAACACATTCCACAAACCCCACCTCTCAACATAGCCATCTTGGGGATCAGATTTCAACATTAATTTTTGTGGGGACAAATAAACCACATCCAAACCATAGCATTTTGTTTTTGGTGTTTTTTTGTTAAATAGAAGATTTTAGGCCAGATATGGTGGTTCGCACCTGTAAACCTAGCACTTTGGGAGGCTGAGGTGGGAGAATCGCTTGAGCCCAGGTAGTCAAGGCTGCAGTGAGCTCTGTTTGCTCCAGTCTGGGAGATAGAGTGAGACCCTGCCCCCAGCACCCCTTCCCCACAAAAATATTTTAATATTTTAATTTTGAAGTGGTCAAATCTATTTGTCTTTTCTGTCATTCAGGGGTTTGTTTTTGGGGGAGGGTAGGTGAGGATTAACTTAAGGAATCTCTACCATTTTTTGAGGGAAGCAGACAAAAGGAGGCACACATTAAACAAATACATCACAAATTGTGATGCGTGCTATGAAGGGAATGAACAAGGCAATGCAGCAAGTCATTAAGTGTAACTTCTTCTAAATAGTCTAAAGCTTGCTTTTTTAATCTAGATTTTTAATTCTCTTGGATTTGGTTTCTGTGTATGGTGAGGCTTGGATATAATGTTATCTTTTTTCCATATGGATAACCAATTGACCAGCACCATTTACTGAAGTCTACAACCTTTCCTGCTGATGTGTATCTCATGTGTACCACACCCTCAAGTTTCCATACATGAAGGGGCCCTGTTTCTGGACTCTCTTATTTTGTTCCTTTGGTCTGTTTGCCTATCTGCACTCTTTTAAGCAAGTCTGAAAACAGGTAGGCAAGTCCTGTCTGCCTTGTTGTTTTTCTTCAAAATTGCCTTGGCTATTCTTTGCCTTTTGCTTTTTCCTGTGAATTGTAGGATCAGCCTGTCAAGTTCTAATGGGATTTTTATTGGAATTGCACTACATTTTAGATTAATAGGAGAGAACCAACTTTTTTTTTTTTCTTCCTGTCTTCCCAGGAGTACAAAGAGAACTGACTTCTTTTCAATATTTAGGCTTCCATTTATGAACATAATTTTTCTTTTCTTTAATGTCTTTCAGTGTTTTTTTTATAATTTTTTCCATAAAGGACTAGCATTTTTTTTTTTTCGGTTAGAGTTATGTCTAATTTACAGTTTTCATGTCTCTTGTGACTGGAATCTTTTCTTATTTTCAGTTTTGTAACTGTTTGTTACTAGTGTATAGAAATGCTAATAATATTTATAAATCTTGTGTCCAGCCACCTTGTTGAACTCTTTAATAGTTTTAAGTTTGTCTAAGTTAGTTTCCATTTTATTTTTCTTGCCTTGTATTGTTGGGTAAGATCCCCACATAGTGCTGACTAAAGGTAGTAGAGGGCATTCGTCTCTTGCTCCTGATTATAATGGGAAGGCTTTTTATAACCTGATCATTAAGCATGATGTTTACTGTAAGGTTGTGATAGTTACATTATATCAAGTTAGTGATATTCACTTTTATTCCTGATTTGCTAGGTTGTTTTTGTTAGTTTCAGTCATAAGGTAGTGTTAAATTTTATTGAATGCTTTCTCCGCATCTGATTTTTCTTCTTTAATATGATATGTTTCATTAATATTCTGATGTTAAGCCTTATATTCCCAGGATAAGCCCTTCTTGGTCATAGTAGAGGCAGTGTGTCTGTGTCTGTGTGTTTTGTTCAGTATACTGCTGGATTCAGTTTGCCAGTATGTTTGCCTAGTACTTTTATTTAGGATTTTTTTGCATGTACATTCATAAGAAAGATTGATCTAAAATTTTATTGTATTGTCCTTTTCCAGTGTTTCAGGATAATATCATAGCCTCATAAAATTAAATGGGTAGCTTCCTGCACCTCTTACCTTTTTTCTTTTTCTTTTCTTTTTCAGAGACATGATCTCACTCTGTCACTCATGCTGGAGTACAGTGCTGTGATCATAGCTCACTGCAGCCTGGAACTCCTGGGCTCAAGCTATCCTCCTGCCTTAGCCTCCCAAGTAGCAGGGACTACAGGTGCACACCACCAGAACCTGCTAATTTTTAAATTTTTTGTAGAGACAGGGTTTTGCTATGTTGCCTAGTCTGGTCTTGAACTCTTGGCCTCAAGCTATCCTACCTCAGCCACCCAAAGTGCTGGGATTATAGGTGTGAGCCATTGTACCTGGCCCCCGCACTAGCCCCTTTTTTTTTTTCAGTCCTTAAAAGGTTTGTATAGATCAGAGATTATCTGTTTCTTTGTAGGTTTGATACTACTTGCCTGAGAAACCATCTAGGTCTAGTATCTTTTAAGGTATGTGGGGGTGGCAGAATAAGCAATTGTTGTTACTAATTTCTTCATGTAGGCCTTTAAAAATTCCTTAAGTCAATTTTGGCAGTTTTCCTGGTTTTTAAAAATTATTGTTTTATCTGAATTTTTGTATGTTTCAGCATGAGGTTGCTCCTAGTATTCTCTCAAAATTTTTAAAATCTCTCCTGCAGTTGTGTCCCCTTCTTCATTATCCCACAGTGGGAGAATCCTGAATATTGGCCTAGGATTATGCCGTGTCAAATCTAAAGTTTCTTTTGGGTTTCTGTGATGTACTAGAATAACATCTATTTAATTTAAATTTCATATTTAAATTTTGTTTATATATTTAAATATGATCTGACAGCCTTACTACATATTAGGGTTGTGGTCCTTTTTTCTTTTTTTTTTTTTTTTGAGACAGAGTCTCGCTGTTGCCCAGGTTAGAGTGCAGTGGCACAATCTTGGCTCACTGCAACCTCCGCCTCCCGGGTTCAAGCAATTCTCCTGCTTCAGCCTCCCAACTAGCTGGGATTACAGACACTCACCATCATGCTCGGCTAATTTTTGTATTTTTGTAGAGACGGGGTTTCACCATCTTGGCCAGGCTGGTCTTGAACTCCTGACCTCGGGTGATCCATCCACCTCGGCCTCCCAAAATGCTGGGATTACAGGCATGAGCCACCGCGTCCGGCCCCCTTTTTCTTGATTATAAATGTAAATACATGTTTATTGTTTTAATAATTGGGATACATAAAATATAAAAAAGAAAATGAAAAACAATCATATCACTATTAATATTTTGGTATGGGTACAATTTTTGCTATTTATATACATCACAGGTACAAATACACTTTTTAAAAAGTTTGAGACCAGGTGTGGTGGCTCACACCTGTAACCCCAGCACTTTGGGAGGCCGAGGCGGGTGGATCACCTGAGGTCAGGAGTTCGAGACCAGCCGGACCAACATGGTGAAACCCTGTCTCTACTAAAAATACAAAAATAATCCCAGCACTTTGGGAGGCCGAGGCGGGCGGATCACGAGGTCAGGAGATCGAGACCATCCCGGCTAAAACGGTGAAACCCCGTCTCTACTAAAAATACAAAAAATTAGCCGGGCGTAGTGGCGGGCGCCTGTAGTCCCAGCTACTTGGGAGGCTGAGGCAGGAGAATGGCGTGAACCCGGGAGGCGGAGCTTGCAGTGAGCCGAGATCCCGCCACTGCACTCCAGCCTGGGCGACAGAGCGAGAGACTCCGTCTCAAAAAAAAAAAAAAAAAATACAAAAATTACCCAGGCGTGGTGGCTCACACCTGTAATCCCAGCTACTCAGGAGGCTGAGGCAGGAGAATTGCTTGAACACAGGAGGCAGAGGTTGCAGTGAGCTAAGATCGTGTCAATGCACTCCAGCCTGGGCAACAGAGCAAGACTCTCTCAAAAAAAAAAAAAAAAAAAAAAAAACAGTTTGAGATAGTATTGTACATACTGTTTTCTCACATAATATGTTGTAAGTATTTGCCTGTATCGTTAAATATTTAAATGCGTGTTTATAATGGCTGTATATTAACCTGTGTCCCATGTACTAGATAGTTTTAGCAAATACACCATTTTTGAACCTTTGGGCTTTGTGTGTATCTCTGATTCCTTATACTAAATTCTTAGAAGTGCCTTTCATGGAGCAAAGGATGTGTTATGTTTTCAAGGACCACCGGGGTGATTAACTGGCACCTTTTCTTCTCTTTGCAGCAGCCCACTCACCCAGTGTACAACATTGGACCAGACAAGGTGATCCAGGCCACTACATACTTTCTACAGAAGCCAGTCCCAGGTTTTGAGGAGCTTAAGGATGAGACATCGGCAGAGCCTGCAACCGACTAGAGGACCTGGGTCCCGGCAGCTCTTTGCTCACCCATCTCCCCAGTCAGACAAGGTTTATACGTTTCAATACATACTGCATTCTGTGCTACACAAGCCTTAGCCTCAGTGGAGCTGTGGTTCTCTTGGTACTTTCTTGTCAAACAAAACCAATGGCTCTGGGTTTGGAGAACACAGTGGCTGGTTTTAAAAATTCTTTCCACACCTGTCAAACCAAAAATCTATCAGCCCACGTGGTGTGGTTGGTGAACAGTGCATGCCAGGAGGAAGCAGTCCCTCCTCACCAGCTCTCCAGCCAGGACGATCACACAGAGATGAATGGCATCTGAGTATTACGGCATCCAGAGCCACTGCTGACTCCCACTTGCACGCCACCATTCAGTCACCAGACTGGGTGCCCTCCGATGGGTGGAATAAGTCTGCTTCATGCCAAGGCTGGGCTTTGGGTCCCACCAAGATGAGTTCTCTGTAAGACTGTGGTGGAGTTGCACCAGGAGGTGCCTCTGCCTCTCGACTTGCACCCTGGTCATTTGTAAGGGAAAAGAGCTGGAGGTGGGGAGAGAAAGATCTCCTTCAGTTGGGAGTCCTTCCACTTCAACACTGGAGAACTGAGCCTTGCATCTCTCCAGGGTCCAAGGCCACGCTTGGTGCACAGGCAAGACTTGCTTCAGCCCCAGGTGTGGTGACTTAGACCTAGGAAACCAATTATGAGTGGAAAGTGACCCTCTAGTTCAACTGTGCCAGAGGAAACAGCCCTCCAGTGCCCACCTGCCTCACTCCTCCCTATCATGTACCGTGAAAACCCCCTCTGATGGCCTCAAGGCAGTGCCTGCAGGCCGAGGCCCTTCTGGGGGTTTCTATCTTTCTTCCACCAGACTCCAAGCCCACTCTCCTCCAAGACTGTGTTGTCTTTTCTCACCAAGAGTATTAACACTACTAAGTCTTTCACCTTAACTTATGACTCAGGATTTATTCACGTCCTGCCCACTCTAGGCTCACAGGAATAAAATCAAGTGCTAGACACACTGGCTGCTACTAAGGCACTAGCCTCTGTAGCTGGTGGTGGCAGCGTGGGGTGCCGCCCAGCGTGCTGGGTCCTGGCAGTGCCTCTGCTGTGCTGCACATTGAGCCCTTTCTCAGTCAGTGGAGTATCAAGTTGGGCCATCTGTCTACTGACCTGGCCTTCATGTAAGCAGCTGTGGGCTGCGGGCAGACAGGAGCTCAGAGATGCAGCATGAGGCGCTTAGAAAAACCTGGCCATTTGCTGCCTCTAATTCCCTTTTGCTTTGCCATATTGGGCTATGTATTACCTCCTTGAAATAATAAAAGAATAACATTTTCTATGATGTCTCTTATTTGTGATCTGTACCAAGAAAATGCCCAATGGTAGGAGCTACTAAAGGTTGCTCAGGGATCGTCAGTCTCCTGTGTGCAGGATTCCAGACTGTTCACATCGGTGGTGACAGAGGAATGACCGAGTTCCATCCTCACATGCCGTCTCCTCCAGTAGAGGAAGCCGTGGGCCTAACAGAGAGTGGGAAGAGATGTTTTCCAAGCTCCCTGGGGTAATTCGGTATGCTATGTCCCAGCCCTCCACACACTGCACTTCATGGTCTGTCTCCGACAGACAGCAAGGACTGGGCCTAGTAGCCCCAGAGCAGGCTGACTTAGCAAGGGTGGGTGGATGTCTGGCCAGAGGCAGGGGCTGTCACAGGGACAGGCTGGAACTCTGTGGCCACTTGGCTTTCCCTTCCTCTGGCGAGAGACCCTCTCCCATGGGAGGCCAAGAACATGGATGTCCTGTGGCCTGACCCTCTTGGAGGGGAGAGAAGATGGTGTCCTTAGAGGGCACCCAAATCCATGTAAATAAGCCAAATGCACATCCAGGAATGTAATTCCTGCCCCCTGTGCTATTTTTGCCCTGTTAACAAAGGTTTGCACTGCAAGGCAACATATTGAAATGCATCCTTTCCATCACTATAACAAAAGGCAAAATCCTCTCAGCACTCGGAGCCTCAAGGTATTGTGAGATTAATTGCAGTAATAATTAATGTGGTTAATAGAAGGGATTGCTTCAGTCTGAACTGGCTTTTTACCAAGAAGGAGGGATCTGAGTTGGGCCCCAAAGGGTAGGTAAAGTTAGTCTGGGTAGAGAAGAGAAAGGGTTATTTCAGGAGAGTTTACACTGGCATATCCATGAGACATCCTTTTCCAGAGGGTTTCCTGACAGCCCTCAAGGTGAGTCCTAGAGATTTGTCTATTCACTCATTTGAGATAGGATCTTGCTCAAATGCACCCAGGCTGGAGTGCAGTGGCACAATCATGGCTCACTGCAGCCTCGACCTCCTGGGCTCAGAAGATCTTCCTGCCTTAGCCTCCCAAGTAGCTAGGACCACAGGTGCACACCACCACAGCTAGCTAATTTTTGTATTTTTTATAGAAATGGGGTTTCACCACGTTGCCCAAGCTGGTCTCGAGCTCCTGGGCTCAAGCAATCTTCCTGCCTCAGCCTCCCAAAGTGCTGAGATTACGGGTGTGAGCCACCGCACCTTTGGAGAGATTTATTATGTGACTCCTTGAGTAGAAGACATTTATGTAGCATTCAAGGTGGATGACCCCAAATACTTTCTCCCATCAATAAACACAAAACTAATACAGATCTCTGTATCCAGGTGGGCTCCAGTTTCACCCTTAGGCCCACCTTGAACACCAGATAAGTTGGGAAGCCTGCCAGACCCTACAGGGAGCGGAGCATAAAGAGAACCTCATGGATAATCAGGGGAAACACCCCTGAGATAATAATACCAGTAAACAATAGTTCCACACTGCTCTCCCTTCTTGGTATTATTGAGCATTCTTCCATACCTTTCATGACTGGGATGCTTTTCATGTAATATTAGTGTCAAGTGACAAATAGTAAGGATTGGACCAAGCATTCTAGTTGCCCACATGCACTGCTTGGTGGCATTTACTGCCTTTGAATAGGAAGGAAAGTATAATATGATTTAAGACACCATTGCAACTGGTAGAAAACTTGACCCAAACTGGCTTTTGAAGCAAAAGAGGCAATCTGTTGACTCAAACTGCAGAGTCCAGGAATTAGGCTGGTCCTATTAGGTTCCTCACCCTCCCTCCATCTTTCTACATTAGCCTCAATCTCAGGCTCTCCATGGGGTTGTAAAATGGCAGCACCAATAGCTCCAGACCCTACATCCTGTTGGGGTCAGGTTCAGCAGACAGGCACACTTGGTTCCACCCCAGCCTTCCTTCCAGCGAGTATCATTGTGTTTCACTGGCTTTAATCAAACCAAGTGCCTTTCCAAGAAGCAGTCCAATGGCTTGGAGAATACAGTGCACCAATTGGCCAAAGTCTTGGTCACATGCCTCTCCCTTGAGAGGGAAATGAGGCTTCATTAGAAGCACGTAGTTTTTGGGAACGGGGAAGGAACAAAGCTCCAAATGCAAATTAGGATTGTTGCCAAAGGGGTAAATGGATGCTAGAGAGGCAAATGGCCATTGCTCTCAAACAGTGATTACTGGGATAGAAGCCTGTAGGGACACTGTTGGCATCCATGCCACTCCTCCCCACCTGTGGCAGCCAAAAGGTTTGCCAGGGCTTGATGCCCTCCTACCTCCAGGCCCAGGCCCTGACTGGCTAAGCCAATAATTTTCATTTATCTCTCTTTGCCCCAGTAATTTGTTCAGGTTGGGAGTAACTCAGGCTTAAGTCAGTCAGCATGATTTGTCCTTGCCCCAGTGATCAATTCAGAGCACAAGCATGTGACCTAAAATAGTCTAAAGAGAGAGACGTCGTGGACACTGTATGACGGGGAAAAGCAGCTCTTTCCTATTAGGGGATGGTAGAATGTGTGGCCTGGGCCTCCTATAACCATTTTTCTACCTAGAAGGAAACCAGCGTGAGAAGCCAGCACACACATATGCTCTGAGACTGAGAAACATGGCCCTGATCACATGGCTCCCGAGGCCCACGTGGCCTCTGGATTTTCAGTTATATGAGACAATGTGAGTTGGACTTACTATTACCTGCAACTGAAAGCAACCTAATACAGTCATGTCACTTAATGACGAGGATACACCCTGAGAAAAGCAGTCAGGTGATCTCGTCGTTGTGTGAACATCATGGAGTGCACTTACACAGACCTAGATGGCCTACCCTACCGCACACCTAGGCTAGATGGGGTAGCCTGTTGCTCCTAGGCTACAAACCTGTGCAGCTTGTCACCGTACTGGATACTGTAGGCAACTGGAACACAGTGGTAAGTATTTGTGAATCTAAACATGGAAAAGGTACAGTAAAAATACAGTATTATGATCTCACGGGACCACTGTCGTACATGCATTCTGTTGTTAACCAAAACATGATGTGGCGTGACTATATACAAAACTCTACCACCAATTAGCCCCAAGACCAAGGCTTTACCTGCTGCTTAAAAAGTGCTGACCACTCTTGCCTCATCTGCCCAAACAATAACCCCTAAGACAGTCCCTCCTGTTCTACCGCCTCTCATTTGATCCTTGACTCACCTTGTAAGGTGGGTGAAGCAGGCGTATTACCTGCCTTTTACAACTGGAGAAACAGGTTGGAGAGCTTACGTAAATCACCCAAGGTTTCCCAGCTGTCAAGTGGTGGTGCCTGAGCCCGAGCCCGTATCTGCTGCCTCCAAAGCCCATGCCCTTCCACCACCGCAGGCCTCTGAAGGAAGGTGAGAGGTCTCGGGGAATAGGGGGCACTGGTGAAACATGCTTGGTTTACCTCTAGGCTGGATGGCTGAGGCCCTGAATACCAGCTGCCATCTGTCACTAGGTCAGGGATGGTGACAGCAAATAGGGCAGGCCCCTCACCCTTCTAATGAGGTCTCCACTTGCCACCAAGTGTGTGGCCACACCAGTGCAGTGTGATGCCGTGTGGCTCAGTGAGGCCGTGATGA